>NC_000002.12:199307799-199610830 GCF_000001405.40 Homo sapiens | reverse complement strand
CTATTGAAACAAATCCCCCAGATTCCTTTTTCAGTTTCTGTATATGCCTTTGCGTCTACCAGCCAATACCTGGAAAAACCTTCAGAAGACTGCAGTTGGACTACTGCAGCTGCTCACGCACACACACATACACGCACGCACGCACACACACACACACACACACACCCCGAGAGCCAGAGGGACCGGGCAGTTTAAGCTCTCACAGACACATCTTCCACCCCTTTCCCTGCCCTGTTCCCCCAGCCAATGATCCACTGGTGCAGAGTATGAAAGCCCAGGTTTCTGGCTTCAACTAGGAAAAAACCTGAGGCACAATTTAACTCTAGAGTTTTCCTACAGGGCTGGGCTGAGGTTGACTTTTGCTTGGATCCCATCCTTGCTTCGTTTCTTTCTTTTTGCTGTCTTACTTTCTTCATTCCCTTACAGGATTTTCCTGGGTTCACTTCCTTAATAAATCTCTTGCATACACACCCTTGTCTCAGGATTCGATTCTGAGAAACCTGTCCTAACACACTTCCCAAGGATATATACTATAGAATAGCGTGAATTCAAATAATCGATCTAGAAAAAGCTAAAATCCTTAAGGAAGTGAAGCTTGCAAACAAACAAACACTATTCCAGCTATGTTTCCAAAAGGAAAAGAAACAACAAAAAGCTAGGAAGTTTTATGGCATAGAAAGTGACATATAGGAAGCTTAAGTTCTCAACTCCTGTGTTGAATCTATCTAGTCTAGCAAGGAAAATAATCTCTTCCAAAAAGAAAGAGTAGAGCAACCTTGGTTAAGAAAATAGAGAGGACAGAGCAGAATGTACTAATTTCAATATATTCACATCTCTGGTCTAAGGCAAGGCATAACCCGGAACTTTAAGTAACATTTCATGATGTGATCTCATAAACACTTGTAGATTTTTGAGAAAGTATAAAGAATGGGGAAATTGCTTGGGTAATGGAGCTGGAAAAATGTTTTCCTGATTTTCGGAAAAGGGAAAAATGTAGAATGATAAATTTGATTGTTAATTGCTTCCTAGTTTCAAGAATGGATAATCAAAGAGACAAATACTAGAAAAAAGTGCAGTGAGGCCAGGCACAATGGTTCATGCCTGTAATCCCAGCACTTTGAGAGGCCCGAGGCAGGCAGATCACTTGAGGAATTCAAGACCAGCCTGGCCAACATGGTGAAATCTCTACTAAACAAACAAAAAAATTAGCTGGTCGTGATGGTGTACCTGTAGTCCCAGCTGCTTGGGAGGCTGAGGCAGGATAATTGCTTGAATCCAAAAGGTGGGGGCAGCAGTGATCTGAAATCACACCACTGCACTCCAGCAGCCTGGGTAACAGAGTGAGACTTTGCCTCAAAAAAAAAAAAAAAAAAAAAAAAAAAAAAAAAAAAAAGAAGAAGAAGAAGAAAGAAAGAAAAGAAAAGAAAAAAATGCAGTAATTACTAGGTACTAACATAGGATCACAAAGAACCTTTCACTTTTAAATTGGGTTACTGGGGGTGGGGTTTGGGGGAGGGAGAGCATCAGGATAAATAGCTAATCCATGTGGGGCTTAATACCTAGGTGATGGGTTGATAGGTGCAGCAAACCACCATGGGACATGTTTACCTATGTAACAAACCTGCACATCCTGCCCATGTACCCTGGAACTTCAAATAAAATAAGATTAAGTAAAATTAAAAAAAAATAAATCAGGTTATTGAGTAGAATATTCTTGACATAATGAGTAGTTATGAGTAAGGTGTTTGATAAAGGCTCACATGATTGGTTATCTTGTGGACAAGATGAGGAAATGTTACCCTGATGATTGTGAAGTGTAATCAGAACTGGTGTCAATTAATAAATTGAGGTTAACCTGGAAAAGATGTTCTTGAGAATGTGCTGTTGGGAGCTTCAATTCAACATTTTCTTCATTGATCTAGGTGGCTAGCACAATCTCCTATGCTCTGGCCTTTTCCATTCCTGAATTCCCACCAAACCTGCTTTCCTATTTCCAATGCTTCAGCCCTTCATTGCTCCCACAATGTACCAGCCTCCTCAGCTGCATCTAGTGACTGGGGTGGCATTCACACACACTCCAGCATACGCCTCAGTTTTTCTGTTGCTCTCAATCTAGAAATATTTCCCCTTTGGAATAATTCAACCTTCCATTTTCTTATGATTCTGTCTACTGAGAAATATTCGAGAAAATTGCAAACTAATAGCTTTCAATTCCAGATGTCCTTCCTTAGAGTAATTTCTTTTCTCTCAAGTTTTCTACCCTCTATGACTAACACCATTTATCGAAGATGAAATCCCCAGAGTACCCTGTTCTCTTCCTTACTCTTTATATAATTTTTGTTTGTTTTTTTTCACTCCTCTCAGCTCATACTTATTCGCTCTTTATATTTAATTGGTCATATAGTCTTACTTATTCCACCTCTGAAAAATTCTGAATTCTGTCTCCTCTTCACTCCTATTGTCCTTGCTGTACTTCAGTCCTTATTAACTCTTACCTGAAATATTGCAGTAGCCTCCTAACTGGCCTCTCTGATTTTGGTGTTCTTCTTTGCCAAGAGAAGATGCTTCATCATCCCAGCTGCTGCTGGAGATGTTCTGCTAACATAAACAGCTGATCAGGTTATTCCCCTTGCTTGAAAGTCCCCTAGTTTAATCTCCTTAATGGGGTAAGTAACGGCAGTCAAACCAGCTGATCCCACCTACCTCTCCAGTTTCATCTCTTGGGCTCCTCATCTCTGTGTCTCTCTAGATGGCGAATGCTTTGAAGACAAAGATCTTATTCATTTTTGTATTCCTCTTTCCTAGAAAAACACCAGATACATAGTGGATCTTTTGTAAATTAGTGAACAACTGAAAACACGGAAAAAGGCTTTTCAAATTATTCAGGATTCAAATATGCAGAGGGTATCATGGCAAAATAAAATTAATAGAAAATACAAATTTAGAAAGATTTCAATATGCTATATCTGAAACTAATGAAACTATTTTAATGGGGACCAATGATTCAAAACTTAACTGTGCAAGAATAAAATGAAGGAGGCCTGCTGTCTTAGTCTTTTTAATTGCTTGTAATGGAACAGCTGAAACTGAGTAATTTATAAGAAACAAAATGTATTTCTTACAGTTCTGGAGGCTGGGAAATCCAAGGTTGAGGGGGCCCATCTGGTGAAAACCTTCTTGCTAGCGGGGGCTCTGTACAGAGTCCTGAGGTGTATCACATGGCAAGGGGGCCGAGTGTGCTAAGATGCTTGCTCAGGTCTCTTCCTTTCTTAGAAAGCCAGCAACCCTACTTCCATGATAAACCATTAATCCATTAACCCATTAATCCATCAACCCATGAATGGATTAATCCATTCATGAGCACAGAGCCCTCATGATCCAATCACTTAAAGGTCCCACCTCTCAATATTGCCACATCGGGGATTAAGTTTCAACATGAGTTTTGGTTGGAAATAATCAAACCATAGCACCTACCTTACACTCAGTTAGGATGAAAAATACCCAGGGGTTTTGTTGTATTACAACTGAATAGTGGCCAGAAGTGTGTTCTGGCTAGCAAAATTTTATGAAACCCTAAGTTACATTTCTAAACAAAGGACGAGATAATGGAGAATATGGTTCCACAATCATTTGTGCTGGCCAGAACAAAACTAGGTTTCAGGGACACTGACAGCTGAAGCTCAATCAGAGAATGGCATGTAGGAGGAGGGAGGTTCTGGAAAATATTCATGTGAAGAACCATTAAAAACTGAGAGTATTTACCTTAGAGAAGAGAAAACTTAAAGGGAATATTAGTTTCCTTAAATTTTTGCAAAGTGACTGTGGAAGTGTTTGATATTAGCTGAGTTCTTCTGAGGGCAGAACTAGCATGAATGAAATGGCATTAGAAAGGCAGATGACTTCAGTTTTATATAATGAAGACATTTCTATCAATGAGAGTTATTAAACAAATACATGGGCTATTGTTTGAATTTCTTGAGAACTGGAAATGTTCAGGCAACAGCTGAATGATGGTATGTCAGCAGTATCGGAGAAGGAATTCTAGACGGCCTCCAAGATTTTTCTAACGCCAAGATTTTACAGTCCTATATTTTATTTTTAGTTTAATTTTAAAGGAGACCACCGAGAAAATCCATTTGGAAACTTTCAATAACAGTGTAAGGTATAAAAATCCCAAGCCACCAACTAAATTTGTCTAAAAGGCAACCCCTAACCTCCTTGGTGAAGGCCTGTCTTTTGTTTCATTGTTTTGGCGCCCTAAGCACCCACAAGGGGGTGCTTGTGGGGAAAGGATCATGGATGTGATTAAAATCCTTATGGCTAAGCTCAGGATTAGAATTAGTAGTTAAACAACTGTGCAAAGATGTTTGCAAATCCTGATGAGGAAGCAAAGGTAGAGAGAAAAATGTCCAAAATGGAACCTTCATCAGACCCAAGAATTCTCCTTTGTTTAAGTCCAGAGGAGGCTAAGTAGAAGCAAACACAGAGGAAGCATTTTGTTATCAACTCCAAGGCCCTAGAGCTGAACTCCTCAACATGTTCCTCTCTGTGTCTTTGGCTGCTTGCTCAGTTGCTTGTTTTCTCCAACTACAAAACATAGAGACTAAAAGGCACCACCGATCCCATTCACCAGAAGCCGGGATTCATGAGTTAATGTCTGCAAAGCATTTTGAGCTTGTTGGAAGAAAGGCGCTAGATAAATACAAAGTGTTGTTGTTATTATAGGGAAGAAAAAGCAACTGTTAGCTCAGGGTCTATAATTAGGAAGCAAATATAGTGTCTGGTGGCTTTGATAATAGGATTTCTATGAAGATGTGGCATGCAGTAAGACCGTTGACTGAAATGTTATAAATGACATGATTTTTGCCATCCGAGTCAAAATCCTTAACATTTTAGTTTTCGGTTTTGTCTTCCTGCCCCTCTTCCTGCCCCTCCCCCCACACTCTATTTTTAGGTAAACTCTAAGAAAGCAAGTGTCAAATTAACAGCCCTGAAAATTAATAAACTTAGCGTGTTTTTGGAGAAAGTATGGTCCTGAAGGCATCTGGACTTGCTTCTTTTTCTTTCTGAGGCCAAATCTCGAAGACTTTAAGTTGAGCGTCAAGGTGTTCCACTGAGCGCCTTCAGATCCTGGATTCTTATGCTCTCTGTTGAGTCTTCAATTTGTAATCCCAGGGCCCTGTTGGAGGCCTAGTCCTACAGACTGGAAGAGAAAGCTCTGGAATTCTTTCAAGGGAAGCACAGATCTGAGTGCAGGTCTTGGAAAGTAAGTAAAGGAGGAAATAGTTTTAAAATATTTTAATATGTTTATCTGCATATTTTCGGTCTACCCATAATGTTCTGAGAATTTAAATGGTTTAAGAAAATCACTTCTAAAAATAAGAAATATTGTTTTTTGTGGAACAGTTTAGCCCTTCAGACTCCTCTCACTCCTTCTGCTATCAATTTGCTTAGTGATTTTTACCTGTATTTGCCTCGATTTCCATCCTATAAAATTGTCATAAATGATTACTATTCTAATCAGTGCTGCTGGAGAAAGGCAGCAAAGGCAGAATTCACAGATGTACAATTAAATTCTAATCTTTGACCTGCCATTAATTAACCAGCCAGCTATGGGCTTCCAGCAAGTTGCTGAATTCCCTGTGCCTCAGTTTCCCATAATGTAATAAACTAATAAATAATTGAAATGAATTAAAATGAAATTCACTTGGATTTAAATAAAGTAAATGAAACTTCCATTAAGGACTTTTCCATTTTTAAAATCTCTTATTTGTATGATTACTTCATTGTCCTTCCTAAAGTAAACATTTATGATTATGTCTTTAATGTTGATTTTCTTGTTCAGGTTTTCTAATTTTACTGTGGGGACTAGTTTGTTCCATGGAACTTGGTGTCATAAGTCTGATTTGAATCTGTTACATTTTTAGAACACAGAAGTTTCAAGTGTGTGTGTGTGTGTTTCATTGGGTAGCTGTAGACTTGTTACTTTTATCCCATGGGTTTGGATTTTTTAAAAATATAAACATTGTTTCTATTATTACTACCAATAAAAATATGTAAAATAGAGATTTATATTTTCACAGTCTTCTTGTCAGCTGAGTTTGCAGGAATTTTGGTTCAATGCATGTATTTGTCAGTTGCACTGAGGCAGGCAATGCACTTGGCGTCTAGAGGGTGAGGAGGGGTGGGTGGGGATGGGTGAGAGTGAGGAGTTTGAGGGGAGTCAGAGGAGGTCTCTAATTACACCAAGTTCTTGACACACCAAGGGGAGTGATTAATGCTTTCAGAGGTGTTACAATTTAGTGTTTATTTGAATGTATTAAAGTTTGCTTTGCTTTAAAATTCATCACATTTACACTTTGAAAACAGGACTACTGAGTTTTTTTTTTTTTAATGTCAAATTCCATTTTGTTTTTCCTCTATTGACCAGATTGAAATGATCGGGACCTATGCCTCAGGCTCGCGTCATTGCAAAGTAGCCTTTGAAGGACACTTAAAAGATTCTCACACCGACTTAGAGCAATCTCGGAGAATAGCTGTGTAGCTCAACGAACCAGTGAGAGAGGCCTGAGGACTAAGGAGAAAGTGTTTGGAACGTGCTTTCGAGGTTGCCATTGCTCAGCGCAGGGCAGGGCGTGCGCGTAGCGCGGCAAGGGGGACTAAAGGGACCGGCCGCGGCCACGAGCGGGCGGGGTGCGCGCCGGGGGCTCCCGGGAGGCGCGGTGGGAGGCGGCCTTGTCTCCAATCGCAGCCACCAAATTGCTGCTCCCTCCCTCCGCTCCCAGCACTGGGCTGGCCCCACGGAGGAGGCTCATCAGCGGTCCCGGTGGGGTAGGCCCCTCAGGCAGTTCGCTGTGGTCACCTCCCAAGTTCTCCAACTCCCTGACACATCTGCTTTCCCGAGTGACAAATTAAAACGTCTGAAGCGGCCGGAGCCCGCTGCCGCCAGCGCACATGGCTAACATGTGAAGCTGTGGGATTCCCGAGTTTTGACGCATTCCGTTTAGGACACAGGGACAGCAGTATTTAGCAGTTGACACAAGAGGGGTTTCTACTGCCTGCCAGGCAGCTAAAAGGCTGCAAGAAATCTTTTGTGGGTTCCCTGAACGCTTTGAATTCTTCTAGCCGGCCTGACAGCCCTCCACTAGCACTCTGGAAAAGACTGCAGTGTTCTTCTAACACTGGGCGAGCCTTCATTATGAGGGTGAATGGGATCCCAGGAAGACTTGAAGTGGGGGAGACGATAAACGCCAAGAAAGCGAATTCTGTCTAACGCCGTGCTGCAAAAAACGCAGCAGAAACACCAGCAGACAGGATCCCACATCCGTCCCTCAAGATTCAAGGGGTGAAGGGAGCCGCAGGATCTCAAGTGGATCTTAACTCTCTCTGCCCCCCACACCTCACCCACCTCTCCCCTCCCCAGCTCCCTTCTGCCCCTGCAGGGTTTGTGTTCAACATCAAATTAAGTGTTCATGACAGCTAACCACAAGTTATTAAATGTGATTCACTGCCACATTGCTGGGCCTTCACTGGTGGTGCAGAATAACCACTTAGACAAACCATTTGATTCATGGCATTGATACAAAGACTCTTTCAGAAGAGAGAGGCCTTCTCAGGCCTTTAGCTGAAAATTGTTTTATTTCCGTTATTCTCTTAAACAGGTCAGTGAGCTGAATTAAACCCCAAATCCTTTCTAACTGCTTAGCTGTGAAGTCTTTAAGATATTACAGAGCTTGTGAGAAGTGGCTGCAGATTGCCAAGTCAGCGGAAATTTAAGAAATCAGTGTCAAAAACGAACTTGTGTTTGACAAGTAAGACAAACGATCTGCAGCCAGTACGAAGGGTGGCAATCTTCTAATGTTTAATGCTCTTAATAATTAGGTTTCCTATCATAGAAAGGCATTATTATTTTTGAATAACTCCCTGCTGTGAGAGAGAGTTGATGAAATAGTGATTGTTGCTTTTCTTGCGTTTAAATTTCTCCTGGTTCATGCTTGGAGACAGTGAAGAATGAAAGACAAATGATCTTTCAACCATCAGACACTCGGTTTCCTTTCTTTTCTTTTCTTTCTTTCCTTCTTTCTTTCTTTCTTTCTTTTCTTTTTTCTTTCTTTTGCCTTCCTTCCTTCCTTCCTTCCTTCCTTCCTTCCTTCCTTCCTTCTTTCTCTCTTCCCTAATTCATTTTTTTTTGTTTGTTTGTTTTTGAGTCATGGTCTCACTCTGTTGCCCAGGCTGGAGTCCAGTGGCAAGATCATGGCTCACTGCAGCCTGGACCTCTCTACTGTTTTTCTATTCAATCATTCCAAGCCCTGGTGTAATGTTGGCTTGTTGTGAGTGTCGCTGCCCTCTCCTGGGTGGAGTATGACATTTACTGCGGTGTTAGGTTTTGCCTGTGCTAAGCCAATGGGATTTAAGGATTTAGAAGGTCCTGAAACAGGAAGCTGAATGGTCTTTGTTCAAAATTGGCTGGGCTCTGTGTTCTTCCTGATGATGCCACGGAAGATTCCTGGATAAAAGTACTTTGGCCTGTGCTCTCTGCAGCACACGGGTGTGGAGGCTTACCATCTGTTTATAAATGGCATCCAGAGGTGATAGATTGTTGAGGTATCCCAAGCTTATTGAATTTAAAGGGGGTACCAAGTTTGTGTGGGATAAATTCAGATCTAAGTTATCATCACTCTGCCAACAGCATGTAATTCATTTTCTTATTACCAACATAGTCTATTAGAAAATAAGTTAGCTATGTAACAAATTGAAGTCTAAGAAAATATCCATATTAGGAAACCTAGTTCGATGATTAAATTAAGCAAGGATTACTTTGGCGTGAATAATTCCACAATCTGCTTTTCTGTCCTGAAAAATGAGTTTAGCAAGGCATGGCTGTGCTTGTAATATTTAACAGCTTTATTTTCAGAGTTTTGAGTTATTTCCTCTCTATCAGTCTTCCAAACATCTTGGTTTAATGTCAGCTAATGTCACCTTCACTATCATTTATGAAATTTACAGAATTGGTTCGAGTCAAACAAATGTCTTACTAAAGGGACCATACCCAGTGTAATACATATGTTTATTTGTGTATTCATTTATTTATTCAGCGTATATTGAGTGTTTCTTCAATGAAAGTTATCTTAAAGTAAATCAAAAGCATTTGGTCATTAAGATGTCATTTAAGGTAATAGTAGAAATGTAATAAAAGCCCAATTCACCAAGATACATGAAGTTAAAGTAAAAGCAAGTTTTCTGTTTAACCCATGATCAAGCCAGCAACCCTTTTCGTTTCATTTCTTACTGAAAAATCTAAGTGGATGACTCCCTTCTTCTCCCTTTTGGCTAGGATGGAGGGAAAGAATCAAATCTTTGGTGACTCAGTATATGGCTAAATTACCACCCTTTTTAAAAAAGTAATGTTTGTTTTATTACATTTAATACACACGTGCCCAGTATGTATGCTGAAAATGTTTTGTTGGCTTTGTTGTTGTTTTAGCTAACACTGACCTGTTTCTTTGATTTTTGATTCGTTTCCTCAAATACAGAACAAGAAGTAAACCCTGGATAATGGAGGATTTGGATTACAATTAATCAGTGTTTTAATATAATTTAATAAAAGATGTCATGTTGCCTGCAAGAGTTAAGGTGATCTTTACTCAGAAAGCAGTGCTATCATTAATAAAAGTGATTGAAAAACAAAGGAATAATTGAGATATTTTTCTTTACTTCGAACTATATATTAAAATGGTCACACTGATGGCTTTTTAACTTGCAACTTTTTGCACTCCTACAAATATCTGATATAATCTACTAAATTGGCAGGATCAGAGAGAAGGTTTAAAGTTCACCAAGAAACATTTTGCCACATGATATAAAGCAAATAAAGCCCTAGAGTTCAAAATTAGCCAACACATATGATAATTAATGGATGAGTATTGGAAGAGTAAGAAACTTGGAGAGAACACGAAATTAAAAAAAAAACCTCTAATGTAAATTGGCAAAATTTGCAGTATTTTATGATTCATGATAGATCCATTTGAGTGTATAAGTAGATTTTGAAAGTCAGTACTTGTCTAGGATGGCAAATGTATTCAACACGTATTTATTTAATCTAATCCCTACTATGTGTCATTCTCTCTACTGGATGCCAGCATTCAACAGTGAACAAGATAACTTTCATATACACTGTGCCCTACATTGGAGAAACTATTAAAAAAAAAAACCTCAGTTCTCACAAAATATCATAAATGCTCTTCATTCATTCCACTAAAAATTATTTAATAAGAGCCTAGTATGAACTGGGAAGGAAAAGGGGAACCATCTAGCAGAGCTCTTAGTCTGAGACAGGGTAGGAACCACACAAGCTCCCAATAAAGAATAAAAGAGTTGGCCGGGCGCGGTGCTCACGCCCGTAATCCCAGCACTTTGGGAGGCCGAGGCGGGCGGATCACGAGGTCAGGAGATCGAGACCATCCTGGCTAACACGGTGAAACCCCGTCTCTACTAAAAATACAAAAAAATTAGCTGGGCGCAGTGGTGGGCGCCTGTAGTCCCAGCTACTTGGGAGGCTGAGGCAGGAGAATGGCATGAACCCGGGAGGGGGAGCTTGCAGTGAGCCGAGATCGCACCACTGCACTCCAGCCTGGGCGAAAGAGCGAGACTCCGTCTCAAAAAAAAAAAAAAAAAAAAAAAAGAATAAAAGAGTTAGGAAGAGGCAATAGATATGTAGGTAGAAGAAACCGAATGCACAAGGGGCTGATTGAGAAAGCATAAAAGAGTTTGGTAAAAGCTCTTGCAGAAGGAAGGAGGGTAGGGTGAAATAAAGCTGGAGATGCAGTAACAGCCAACTGACTGAGCACATAAACAAGCCGAGCATCTCACAGCAACCCTTTGAGGTATGTGCCATTGTTATCCCCATTGTAGAGATGAGGAAATTAAGTCAGCAAGATCACACATCTAGAAAGTGCAGAGCCAAGATTTGAACCCAGTAGTCTGTCAGTATAGGCTCCACTTTTCATTGCTTCATGAGGCTGTAAACACGGAATGTAGTCTTGACAATAAGGAATTTGGTCTTTAGGCTAAGGACAAATGGAAGCCCTCGAAGCATTCCACTAGGGAATGAAATACTCCCATTTGCCTTTTAGACGGATCATTCTGACAGCAAGTGAAAAATGGATTGGAAAGGAACTATGTGAAGTCATTGCTTAGAGGCTATTGCAGTGGCCCAAGTGGAGAGATTCTAGAGGCCAGAACTAGGAGGTAAAAGGAGGGATGGGGAGAAGTAAGAGTTTAAAAGATGTTTAGGAGATAGAAATAAGACTTAGTAAGGAACTAGATGTCAGGACAGGGTGGGTGGGGTGTCAAAAAGAGTTCCTGTGTTTCTGGCTGGGGCCACTAGATGGAATTTGGTGCTGTTGATTAAGTTGGAAACACAGAAGGTAGACAAGCTCTAGGAGCATATGAGATGAATTTAGAGTGGGACGTTTTGTGTTTAAGATTCCTTCGAGACCTCTAAGTAGAGATCTTTGAGACCTTTGAGACCTTCAGCTACATACTAGAGCTTTGACAGCTCTAACATCTCAGGAGAGAGGCCTGGGTTGGCTGTGTAATTTAATCAACTTTAGCACATAGAAATAGGGGAAAACATTCACATGCAATGATAGAAGACTATGCCCCTCTTCCTTCTCTCTGCACCCCTTCACAGCAATTCATTGTATTTGCTGTTGTCTACTTGTCCTTCGTCCATCCTGTCTCTCATTTCCCTCTTCTTTTTTTTTTTTTTTTGAGATGGAGTCTCTCTCTGTTGCCCAGGCTGGAGTGCAGTGGCACAGTCTCGGCTCACTGCAACCTCCACCTCCTAGGTTCAAGTGATTCTCGTGCCTCAGCCTCCCAAGTAGCTGGGATTACAGACATGCACCACCACTCCTAGCTAATTTTTTTTGTATTTCTAGTAGAGGCAGGGTTTTGCCATGTTGGCCAGGCTGGTCTTGAACTCCTGGCCTCAGGTGATCCACCTGCCTCGGCCTCCCAAAATGCTGGAACTACAGGCGTGAGCCATCATGCCCAGACTCATTTTCCTCTTCTCACAAAAACGTTGAAAGTGAGAGAAGGGAAGTGAGCCCTTATCAATTCTTTCAGATCTTTTGCCCTGTACTTCCTCTTTTTCTCCTCCTTCTCCTGATTCCATTTTCTACTCACAGTGTAGCTGTCTATTCTTTTAGGCCACAGAACCAGGAGACATCTCTGAATCCTCTCCACACTATACCAATCACCCACTGTGTCCTAGGAGTCCCCAGGAAGAGTAGCAGATCAGGGCCTCATGGCTAAGTTACTCTCTCCTCTCCCATCTGAAAGACATTTTTGTTTGCAATCAGATTCATCTTTCTAAAGAGCAAAACAAATAAAATCATTCTTTTGCTTGAAGAAACTCAGGAGTTTCCAGTGACATTCAATACGTAGTCCAAAGATCCTTAGGGAAAGAAGGGGAGGGATCTAAATGTACTGAGAACCTTTTATGTGGCCAAGTGCTTTATGGACTGATTCAGTCAGTGTCCTAACAGGAAAGAGGTGGCACACTGAAATTAGGATAAATGAAAGATTTTATTTCCAAAGGAGTGATTTCAGAAGTGTTGGTGTAGGGAAGGAAAACCACAAGGGCTAGTGCAGTAACTAGGGGAGGGAGTAGTAAGACTAAGGGAATGTTAAAAACAAAAAAAAAACAAAAAACCCCTAGATATTTCCAAATTATTTCCTAGTAAGTTGTATCAATTTACAGTCTCATCAGTAATTTTGAAAAGTGTCCATTTCCTCACATATTTGCCAGCATCAAATGCTTTCAATCACTTTAATTTTTGCCAACTGAGTGAGCTGGAAGATTAAGAAATCTCATTGTTTTAATTGTATTTTCATGACTAATAGAAAAGAGAAACATCTCTCTGTATGTTTATTCGCCATTTGTATTTTTATAAATGGAAACTGAAGTTAAATAATTTTTCCAATATCACGCAGGTAAAGAGTGGCAAAATCAGACCCAAGAGTCAAACATAAATCCATCTACTCTTTAGCCTCTTCTATTTCCACCACACTATCTCTTTTCTGTGGTATGCCTTTCCATATAAGACCTTTCATATTCTGACCTTTAACTAACTTTCCATGTTTACCTTCCCTCTCTCCCTAACTCACCTGTAATTCTAACTTGTCCCTGAACATATCATGCCCTTTGAGACTTTGTTACTTTGCACGTTTCTCCCCAGCATTTTCCACACTTGGTAAGCCTCCATTCAGCCCTCAAACCCTGGATAAAGCTTCCACTAAGAATTATTTCTTGACTTCTTGAATTAACCTCCCGAGCACTCCATTTGTTTATATATTGTGGTTCACATCACATCACATTTTATTATGATTGTGATTACTTGTTACTCATCTGCCTCTTTCTCTGGACATAAGCTCTCTCCTCATGTTGTTTGCTTTGTTGTACTTCTGTCTCTCCTGCACTTTGCTCAGTATGGGGCTGAGAGTGTCTTAGCTCAGGCTGCTATAACAAAATACCATAGACTGTATGGCTTAAACAACATAAATTTATTTCTCACAGTTCTGGAGGCTGGGAAGTCCAAGACTAAGGTGCCAGAAGATTCAGTTCCTGGTGAGGGCTCCCTTCCTGGCTTGTAGATGGCCACCTTCTCACTGTATCCTCACCTGGTAGAAAGAGAAAAGGCTCTCTCATGTCTCTTCTTATAAGGGCACTAAACCCAGCATGAGGGCTCCATCCTCATGACCTAATCGCCTCCCATAGGCCCCACCTCCAAATACCATTACATTGATGGTTAGGTCTTCAACATATGAATTTTGGGTAATGCAAATCAGTTCTTAGCAATAAGTGATTGCTGAATAAATATCGAATTAAAGGTAAGAAGCTTTAAATTCCAAAGAAGAATACAATAAGGAAAAAAATCAAATCTGTGAAAACATATTAACCTTCTACAAAATATGTAAAATGCTATGCCAGCCAGCTTGGGTTAGCAGCTTTCTGATCTTTTCTCCCCTAAGACAGCCAGTCTTCTGATTCTCATGGCTCCTTTGCACTTCCACTAGAGGGTGCCCAAGAGAAAGTAGAAGACATCTATACTCAAGAGTTATCCACTGAAAAAAAAAAAGCTGGATTTCACTCCAAATTCTCTCAATGGAGTTTTGTTATCAGAGAACCTTCCAGTTTCTTCAACACTTACAAAGAGGGAAATTTCTTGTAACACTAAGTTTTGTATTGGATAAGTTTCTCTTTGTCATTCTTAATTTGCTCCAAGCTTTAGAGGTTTAAAATAAACTGAATTTTTCCTCTTCCCATGCATATTTCTAAGTCCTTCATTCATTTATTTCCAGACCATCCAGGATAATCATCTGTATTTGTTTCCTGTTGCTGTATAACAAACTGCCACACACTGGTGGCTTAAAACAGCACACATTTATTCCCTTTAGTTCTGCAGATAAGAAACCTAAAATCAAGACGTCAGCAGAGCACTGTTCCTTCTGGAGGCTTCAGAGAGATTTTGTTTCCTTGCATTATCAGTGTCTGAGGCTATCTGCATTCTCAGTTCCCGGCTCCTTCCTTGAAGAACTCCAGTCACTCACTCTGTCATCATGTCTGCTACTACCAACTCTGATCCTCCCATCTTCCTCTTTATAAGGACTTGTGTAGTTACATTGCGCCCACCTGGATAATCCAAGATAACCTCCCCACTTCAAGAACTTAATCACATTGGCAAAATCTCTTTTACTATATAAAATAGCCTATTCACAGCCTCTGGGGATTAGGACATGGACATCTGTGGGGGTCATTATTCAGCCTAAAGCTAATCTTAATTTCTGGCATTAATTGAGTGAATGCTATACAATGGGCACTACACAAAACACTTTATATACTTTCCTTGGTTCACTTCACTTCGCTGCCACTCCTAAAGGTTGTTTTATTATTGTCATCTCTGTTTTACAGATGAGGAAACTGAGGCAAAGAATTGTTAAGCACATTCATTCGCTCACATAGGTATATCAAAATCGAGACTGAGGTTCAGGTTGATCTCAATCTTAAAATTATTGTACCATTTACTCCCCAGACTGGATATTGTCATTGATAATTTGTTTCTTATAATTTGTATATTTTTACAAAAAGACTTTTACAGAAAGTCACAAGATGTCCAATCTACTCCCTCCTCTCTCTTCCTGGACAGCCTGTTCTCTTAAGCTGCCCCGGGCTTTCCAGACCAGAAAAATATTTAACAGATTCATTCACACTAAGGCACTAGAAGTTTAATCTGCCACCGGTCTCAGGAGTTTTTGCATTTTAAAGAAGGTTGGGAAGAAGGAAGGAAGAGAGAAAGCTGGAAGGAAGAAACTCAAGTGGGACATGCATTTAAACTTTGCTTTAAATAATAGATTATAAGCCTAGTATAAAAGGGGGCATATGATTTTGACCTAGGGGACACCCTTGCTGGGTGGGAGTCCCAGCCCTAAGCCTCTTTGCTCTCAAGTCCTTTTCTCACTTCCTCTGCTCCTCCCTGTATTTTACAGAGCCTATATCATCAGGGTCAGCCAGTGACAGCTACTGGTGGGAGGTTGAAAGGTAAGAGAAAAGGAGAAGCCAAAAGTATTTCTCCTCTGCCTAGGTCCACCCCTAACATTTACAGAGTCAGAGGTAAAAGGTCAAATGGAGATCCCATATCACATATCCAAATGTTTACAAGTTCTAAAACAAGCTAACAAATTGTTAAATAAAGCACATTCTAGCCTCCTACCTCATCAACTGTACTTTCACATCAACTTGAAGGCTAGTTTGAGTTAGAATTCTTGGACTCCAGGAATTTCACACCTGGACATGGTGGTATGGAAAGAGTTAACCCTGGCTCTGGGCTCTGCCACCCGGTCTAGGCCCTGACCCCAACCCTGGCCTCTGCTTTGGCCTGGCCTCTGGCCTGCCACCCACTTGCTTCTTGTGACCTGTCATACACACATATAGACATCACTGTCACCACGTCCAAGCTTTTTCCCCCTCCCCTCAAACACCTGCTCTGGGGCTCTTAGGCCATCTGAAATGAACACTGGAGGTGTGCCCCACTTGAGGAGAAGGCCAGAGGCCTGCACAGTCCCTGGGAGTGGGCTCAGGCTGTTGGGATAGACAGTCTCAGTGTGGCCTAGGAGTTACACAGGCCCTGAGGCCATAGGCACCTCCCTGTAGCCCCAAGCATTCCTCAAGGGTGGAGGACCCAAAGCTGGAGCAGGACGACTGCAGGCTCGTATCACGTGCAGACCCAGGTAGGCGGCCTTGTTAGCCCTGGTCAAGGGGCCATGCTGTCCCCTCTTTTTCTGCCTCAGGGGATATCTCAGCCAACTGTCCTTAGCTAGCTCTAGCTTCACCTTCTCCTCTGTCCCTCCAATCTAGGGGACCCCATGGCTTCCTGCTGTTTTTACCTCTGGGTTTCCTAGGTGTCCCTTGTGGGCTTCTTGTTCTCTTCCAGCGCCAGTGTAACCAATTCCCTGTGTTAAACTTACTTTGCTTTAAATGCTCAGAGAAGCTTCTATTTTCTTGATTGGATACTAACTGTAAGGGCAGCACGTAATGAAGGATTTCACCTAGGGCCATTTGGGAAAGGGGTCAAGTCTTGGTGCACTTCCCTTTTGGCATAAATGAACTTCAGAAGTTCCATGACACCGAGGGAAGTCTCTCCAATAAGGGAAGCCCCAATTGTCATCACCAATGCTAGCTTTCCAAAAATGTTTCTCAAAAAAAGGGAACAAACTTCCCTGCTGAAGTAGTCCATTTGAAATCTTAGGGAAAGAACCATCCCATTGCTAACCATTGCGTTTCTCCCCTTGACCTTGACAATTATTCACAATAGTTGCTTCTATATGCATGCTGCTCTTTTGCAGAACTTTATGAAAACCAGACTTTGTACAGTGTTCTAAGTTTTGCTGCATCAAAAAGAAGTTTAAATATTTTCATTTAATGTGGAAATATTTTTAGATGAGGAAGATGATTAAGTGTTGAAAATGTAGCGATTTGTTTGGCACAAAGAGAAAAGAAATATGAAGAATTTTTAATAAAAATCTGACCACAATGGTGTTGGAACACAATCTGTCTGAAATACAAGACAGATACTTTATCCCACAAGCTAAGCTGACTTTACTAATAGTTTTGGACAGTTACAGGTGTAATTTTAGCTACTAAAGGGAGCACAAATTGTGTTATAAGAATGCAATAGAAACAATGGGAAATGCAATTAAATTTTTAAAAGAAAAATTGAATATAAAGTTAGCAGAGCTAACACAAAGCATATTTTTGTAGCTTTTCACCAACAATGTATGTGAATTCAAGCTATTAAGAAAATCAGATTTACTTTGGAGCTTCACATGTGAAGAGTGTGAAGGTTGTTTTTGCTATGAGTGCTAGCTGCAAACATTACATAAACCTTGCACCTAATACAATTATTTTAGATATATTTGGTTTACATAATTTAATCCTTAAAGAAATACCAAAAAAAGAAAGAAAAAATGTTGATGGATCTGGAAAGAGGCCTATGCCCAAAACCCTTGCTTCTCTATAGTCATTGAGGATGTTTCTCTTTTTTTTTTTTTTTTGCCTACGTGGCTTTAATTTACCATTCTGAGACACAGTATGTGTGGAGAAAATATGTGGAGAAAAAGCTTTTATGTGTTTTTTTGATTAAAAAAAAATCGGTGCCACCAGCCCATGAGTGATCCTAAAATAACAAGGCAGTTATGTGTGTGTGTGTGTGTGTGTGTATGCTGAAAGGAAAACTTTGGGTAAGGAAATAGATTTAAGTTTCAAGTTTCCAAGGATCTATTTAAATGACAGCAAGGAAAAAAATATTGTAAAAGTGATGAAAAATATCCCAGCAGTATCCTTTCAGAAAGCCATTTAACTTCTGGTGGTTTAAGTTGTGCAATGTAATTTCTACAGCCTTTGAAATATGTGGGCACCCTCACTGCTATTTATGTTCCCAATACTTGGAATTGAATGCTCCATTAGGGCTCTGAGAAGACAGGAGTTTCCAGAAGAGTTTGGTAATTGCCCATTCATTACTCAAAAACAATGACAGGGAATCATCATCTCTTTCCCTAAGTAACGCTGGCGTGTGGTCTAAGGCAGGCGCAGGAAGAGGCAGGAAAGTGTCAGCTCTGAAGGCGTCTATAGACCGGTTAGGAATATTGTGCGTGGACTTAATGTGTGCACTGAGTCGAGCTATTACTCTGCTGCTTATGAAGGAGAAAGAGCTCTCCACACTGGTATGCTGTTAACACATGTGGGCTGAGGCCTGGACTCGCTGATAAGAAGGCTATCCCCACCTGTACCAAGGAAAGAAGCAACGACACACCTGTTCATTCTCTCTCTCTAAAAGTTTTCCATAGAGAGCGTCCTCTGTAACTTGAGCCTTGAGCAATATATATTTTTTTCTTTTAAGACAGAATCTCGCTCTGTCACTGAGCCTGGAGTGCAGTGGCATCATCTCGGCTCACTGCAACCTCCGCTTCCCAGGTTCAAGCGATTCTTCACCCAGGTTCAAGCAATTCTCCTCCCAGGTTCAAAGCAATTGCTCAGTCTCCCAAGTAGCTGGGATTACAGGCACGCACTACCATGCCTGGGTAATTTTTCACATTTTTAATAGAGATGAGGTTTCATCATGTTTCCAGGCTGATCTCTAACTCGTGGGCTCAAGCAATCTACCTGCCTCAGCCTCCCAAAGTGGAGAGATTACAGGCATGAGCCACCATGCCTGGCCAACGTGAGCAATTTTATTGGCAGTCAGTGACAAAGTGCACTACCCAAGCTGTATCTAATGACTTAGTTATCATACCTCCGAGAATTGTCATGGAATTGCAGACTCTGTCCCAGTAGAATCACCTTGCTGATGTCCTTTCTGCTTTTAAATCCCAGCTGTGTGTGCCATGTCCAACTGTGTGCAGTAGCTTAAAATAGTATACATTTTAAAACACTATTATAGAGACTTCTTAATTTTCATAACTCTGTGAAGGCTAGCAGGCAAACTCTCCATTTTACAGATGGTACAACTGAGGCTTTCTCTAGGTAACTGGTGCTAGGAGGAAACCTAAATTTCTTAGCTCCAGATGCAAAGCACTGTTGTTTCTGTGGATTTGGCTTCTTGTCACATTTACACTCTTGACCGCCTCTGAATTACAGTAAAGTTTATCATTGTGTTAACAGAAAATACTTTTTTCTTTTTGTGTCCATAGAAAGGGTTTAACTTACCGTTTTTTGAGTGACATTAAGAATTAGCAACATAGAAAATGATTTCCCACACCCCCACTCCCTGCCATATTGCCTTTTTCCTGGGATTATGTCTCAAACTGAATAGATTTACGAAGTGAGGTGGAGAAGGGTGTTTTGTGGGAGTTACACCCTCCTCCAAATACTTCTAGGTTGTAGTGTTTTCCTCTGAAGTAGATAGCTAATACTTAACATGAGAGGAAAAGATATTAAATATTATAATTAGTTTTAAAAAATATAAACAGAACCAAATCTTTAGCTCTTTGCAAAGTCTATGTTTTCTAATAAGCTTATTCCCCCATCTAGAGTTTCCCATCAGTGGGAATATTATACTCTTCCCATAGTATAGACCCTAGTGTGTGGGTGGAGGGAGGTTGGGGTCTTCTACCTCGGACACACAGGGTGCTCATTAGATGTTTTCTGATAAGTTATTGTGCTGGGGAGGAAATCTCCCATGGCGTTTTATTAAACGTTCTGGCTACAGCCTGACAGTCACAGTCCTTTTGCCCTTTGCTGTGAAGATCAGTGAAGGCAGTTGTAAAATGACCCAGTCATCAGACAATTTCAAAGTTTACAGCATGAACAATTGCATCTGAAAAAAAACTGGCAGAATTTTACATGCATCATATCTTACACTCTTATCCACCCAAATGAAGTGCCTCTTGAATACACTTTAAAGGCTAGATACAGGATAATTTCTAAAGATCATATCCAGAAAATGGAGTCATATAATAGCTCCATTTATGAGAGCTCATTGTGAAATAGATTTATATTTGTAGTGGGTCAAATAAAGGCCTGCCATCATAAGACCTCCTGCCTGGGGAAATAGGGTTAGCCTCTAAGAAGAGTGAGTCAGGCTGAAGGAGCTGCCTGTGTTTGAATATTTCTTCCCTCTGGTTCCACGTCCTTAATATTGTGCTTATACACAGCTGTGAATTTTTCTAAGTGTCAAATAAGAAATGAACAATGCCTGTGCTTGGTTTTGTCTCATAAAGGGTCTGAACAACATTAAGTGTCAGTGTTACATTGCAGATTGATGTCCCCTCCTGTTAACCTCTGTGCTCTGTGGGTCCCAAGTGACTCTGCTGGCTGCCAGCATCCTCTGCGTTCATGTGGCTCATTGGGAAATCCCACTGTTTTCCTGCCAAAGGGTTTGTTACCTAGGTTTAATTTCTGTTTGGTATGAAAAGTATAGTTAACTTGTTTCTGTGGGCTTTTTTAGAGAGATATGTAAAACCAAAGTTAGAGCAACGGAAAACAAACATTTAAGAAAGCACATAATTAGGGGATACAAACTCAAACTGGGGGAGGCTGATTTCATAAAGGGGATAGGACTGTGTGTGGTCAAAGAAGAGGAAAGAGTGTGTGTATGATTCGCCTGCTTTTGGAGAGCTGCCCCCCTTAGAACTGGAGTCCAAGGAGCTGGAAGTTTAAATGAAAACCTACAAATTGATAAGAACCAACAGCCTAAATGAATCTGATTCATAATTAAAATTGCAATTATTTTTTAGTTGCAAAAGCTCCAGTTATCCACAGGCTTCATAAAGTTACCAAATATTGCGATGCTAAGTCACTCCTTAAGAACTTCTCACTGCAGGTCTACATGGAGATGTTTTCTTCTAAGAGTCAGAACAGCATTGTTACAGAACCACAGGAGAGAGAGAGTGAGGGAAACGAACATTTAGCATGGTCCCTCTCCAAGAGGAAGAGATGAGAAAATTTAATAAAACAAAATATACCCACTCCCCAAAACATGGGACCATATTATTTTTCGGAGGAAAGATGAAAGAACTACGATTCTCATAAAAGCCAGGATGGTGCTGAATTTGGGGGGGTACAATGAGGAAGTTATTGCTGTGATATGGGTGGGTTTCTTCTATCTTTTTCTAGGTGCAAAGGCAGCAGTCATTTGAACGCCATCGAACAGCTTTCAGCTAACACAAAAGAGCAGACGGTTCCACTTATTTCTGAAATTAGATGCAATCATATCTGTGAATCACGCAGCAGCAAACCACCGTAATCTGCATTACAATACATTATCCTGCCACGCTCCCTAACTGCAGTCTACCGCAGCAACAGAAACACTTTGCGGTGACCTGCGCTGAGTCTGCCAAAAGCACCAAGCCACGCTAAGGCAGTAAAGCGACAAAAAAGAACTGCTTTCTGCTGCAAAAAAAGAGCAAATTATAACAGGAGTCAAGTCTCAGCTAATGCAAGACTAGCATCTTCTTGTTCACAGTTTGCATAATTAGATATCATGAATAGGTTTTTTATTGTTCTAAAAATACTCCTGCTTTGTTTAAATCAGCTATTTCCTTAACAGCATGACTTTGGTACCAGAATTAGTGAGGTAGTTAGGGCAGCAGCAGAGATAAGGTACTTTTAGTTAACATTTAGAAAAAAAAAATCTATGGATGATATTCCCCCCTCTCTTAGTAACTGTCAAAAGAGTCCTAGGTTTCCAACACCGTATAACAGGAGAGGCGGCCCACTGGAATGGCCTTGAGAATTGGGTCAGGGGTTTGAGGGTCAGAGGCACCCCAGGGTCCCAGAACTGATAAAACCAACTTTTATTACTTTCTTAAAATAAGACATTCAGAGCCACTACAAACCTCTTCAGGAATTAAAATGCTTAATACAGTGGGGCCCCGGGTAGCGGTACTTACACTTCAAATGATAACATTACTAAGTTCAAATCCAAGGGAAAAAAGTAAATTTTGTTTGTTTGTTTGTTTCACTGGTTTGAATCATACCAGCACTTCCCCCAACCTGGAAGAGTGAGGGGGCAGAGGGACATTTTACTGGGCTTCTTTATCTCCCACCGCTTTGCTGTTTTCCTTCTCATTCACTCATAGTCTGTGTGCTATAAAGAGTATCTTTCTTTCAAGGGAAGATGTGGGTGCCAGGCTCTATCAGTAACTAGTCAAGCCATTAAAAACTTTATTTTTCTTTTTCCTTCAGCCTGTGAGCTTGAACAGCTGCAGCTAAGGAGCTATAGTAGCAGTGACCAGTCCCTAGGGTCCATCTTGGTATCAAACACTGACAGGTCTCAGGAAGAGGAGGTCACAGCAAAATTATATATTGAATTTTTCCAGCCCCCTAGAAGCCCAGGAACTGTTTGGAGAGACCTGGGGCCAGGCAAACTCCCAGCAGCACTGTCGCTCTTCTCACAGGCAGTAGCTGCAATTGGTCAAAGCAGTCCCCAGCAGAGACATTTGGAATTACTGTCTCTTGGTCTACGTAGGACAGTCCCGATGTTCAATTTGACAAAACACCATAAAGAGAATCCAAAGGGCAAGGCTCATGCAATTCTTGCATGTGCCTTAAAATGCACTTTTAACCTTTGTGGTTTTTAATTTGCACTAATGATCTATAGGCTTCCAGTGACTGTGACAAAGAAAATGGCACTGATGCTTTTATTTTACTTTAATGTAGGCATTAGATAAAATGCATTTACCCCCAATTATTGCATTTATATTGAAGTTTTTATTGCTAGTGAGATTTCTTTAGACCTGTGCATCATTTCTTTTTGTAAAAGAAATAATATCCATCTGAATAATATTGTAATAAATGATGTATTGTGACTACTTCTGTTTCTGGTAGAAAAAGTTAGCCCCAAAGCCTCCTTACTATGGTTTCCAGATTGTGGTAGCGTGGGAGCTCAGTGAAATCATATAACTCATCCTTTCTCCTCATCAAAGTCATAGGAAAAACGGGAATACCATCTTGGGTCAGACCCTTGATGCATTTTTGATAGATAGGGGTGTCAGGGGTTATTTTCACAATATCACATCAAGATCACTAAATACATTCTCCAGGTGGTTCCATCTTCCCTTCACAATTTGAACTTGACATCCATGATCCCATCTAAATAAACAGGCTTCTCAAGTATTTGAGGTAACAAAGTTTTTAAGTTCACTATGAAACGTGAACTTCTTTTTACCTGATCTAAAACTACGGTTTCCTAGATCTGCAGATCTAGGCTTAGGTAAATGAGTATTGACACTTTTCATGATTTCTTTAACTTTGATTAGTGTTTATCTTCCCAGTTAGAAATGTGCTGCTTTTGCAGTCTAATCTTGGCAAAGAAACCCCTTAAAACCCAGGATTATTTTTCCACATCCCTCTATGGATAAATTTTCAATTTGTTTTGTATTTCTTGAGCTGTCGTAACCAAAACTGCATATAGCAATCCAGGTGGAGATAAACTGTGTTGTTGTACACAAGTAACCTAACACTTGTTCACAGTTGTTATTATCTCCTGGTGTTTGATCTCCTATAATCCAAGTAAGGTTGTCCTTCATGTTTCCAATGAAAGATACTTTTTAAAAAACCAACAACCTTCAGACCTCTACACATAAAAATCTGAGTGCGTATGCCTCATATTAATATATACTCCATTGGAATAATCAGGCACTGTGTTTTAATCAGTAATATGAGATGTAGAGTAAGTCTAGCTATTGTAAATTATTTCAAGGGACAGTTTAAAATTTTACCAAGAGGGGGAATGTTCCAAAGCGTTAGACTCTATTGAAGCATAAATCCTGACATAGTTTAATTTAATTGTATGTAAGCTCCAGGATAAGGTTTGAGCATATTACAAAGTACCCTACGATCTCTGTTTTCTTATTCAAGGCCTGGGACATCTGTTACTGATTTCTTGTGCCAGAAAAGGTGACAGCAGTCCAAGTTAGGGAGGGTGGAAGCATAGATGGGGATAATTCTGTATTGTTGTGTCCAAGGGGGAAAAGTAAAGTTTCACCAGGCAGGGCCTGATGTGGCACAAACTCCCCTTCCACCCAGTCCTTTCTTCAGGGCCACTGCCAACTCATGCTGCATTTCTCATGTTGATTATAAGTGAAGCTTTGGCAAGGGGGCATTCTGGGTATCAGACAACCACATTATAATTCTACTGAAAAGGATTCTTATTGTTTCTAAATTACCGGTTATAGTAAGCAGCCCTCATGTCTTGTAGGGGGTGCATTTTGAACAAACACACGTAATCTTAAAGCTGATCTCTGCAAACAAGGGAGAGAGATCACCTGTGTACCTCAATATGCAAAGTGGCTTCTGCTTCAAAAGTGGACCTGTTAAGTTACTGAACAACAATTAAAGAGCCCCTAGGATACATGTCGACAATGACTATGTGAAACCCAAATTGAGTTTTCTTCTGGTAGAGGACACAGCACACTTTTGCCACAGCCCCACAAGGCAACAGAAGCCATCCTGTATTGTTCTATTGTGCTTTCCTGACCTGAAGGGTATAAGCTGTGTGGAACCACTTGCCAGGGTCTCCACTATGGTGGCTCTGTCCCTTCAAATATTCACATTATGTAGCATATTGTCTTCCCTGAGAGAGACTGGTAAATGAAATGCAACTCAGGGACTCAAGGATGTTAAGATGGCATTGAGATTCCTCTGTCCGGTGGATATTTTGTATAAGTGTGCTGTCTACTAGACCTGCATTTTGATTGAGTCTATGCAATCAACACATCACTTGTTTTCTTCAATTTACTTGGCTGACTCCAAGACCTTCTTTAATTCCTCAGAATCTTTGAATTTTGTTTACTGAAGTACAGACAAAAATCACAAAGGCAAGTGATACCTCTCAGAAACAAGGTATGTTATCTGGATTGCAGCAGGTTCTGAATAATAATGGATTTAAGAAGCAAAACCAGAATGTCATCCACTGTGGGTACCATTCCCAGCAGGTCTGGCCTTTCCCCCAGGAGAAGACCAAAATGTCAGTTTCCCTACACTATTGTGGTCACTGTTGTAACACGAGAGGATAATAGCTAGGTCTTTTTGGTTTCAAACAACTGATTTATGATGCAAAACTGCTGAATATTTCTGGTAAGGGAATGCATTGTTCTTTTTGTTTTTTTTTAAAGTTGAGACCTTGAATATTTGACCAGAAATATTGAAGACCATCTTGCATTCTAGATAGTATTGCTGTTTCATTTACTGTACAAAGCAATTGCTGGCTCTTTGATCTTCGTTCACCCTGCTGTATCTCCTGGTTCTGTTCCTTCTCTGTTCTACTGTAATCCAAACATGTCATGTAACCCATCTTTTTCTGTTAAGGTACCTTTTTTATAGCTGAAAAAGGAGAGCTTTCTTGTTGATGGGTTTTTTTTTTTTTTTTTTTTTTTTTGAGATGGAGTCTCGCTCTGTCACCCTGGCTGGAGTGCAGTAGTGTGATCTTGGCTCACTGCAACCTCCGCCTTCCAGGTTCAAGCGATTCTCCTGCCTCAGCCTAGTGAGCAGCTGGGATTACAGGTACCCCCCACCACATCCGGCTAATTTTTGTATTTTTAGCAGAGATGGGTTTCACAATGTTGGCCAGACTGTTCTCAAACTCCTGACCTCAAGTAATCTGCCCTCTTCGGCCTCCCAAAGTGCTGGGATTGCAGGTGTGAGCCACTGCACCTGGCCCCTTAATTAGCTGTTTTGAATTAATGGTTGAATTTCTTTCATGTTTCAGAGAGCAGAGCATTAAGAATTATAAGTTTAAGGACTCAAGTAAGATTTGCAGATGTTGGTAAGTAGTCACTGTGTCACATATATGTATATTTAAGTGTAGGAAGCAGGGAAGTGGAAAACAGAGAGGTGCTTATGGGGGATGAATGCATATAATGTTTGAAGAACTGGAGAGGAGAGACAGGTTTACAAACCACAGCCACACCTGCCATGTCCAGTGCCCTATCTAGGCCTTCAATTAGTAGTGTAATCTGCTCATTTAAATAGGCCTCAGTGGTTTCTCTCTACAAAGGTCTTCTTGGCTCATGAAGTGGAGATGGGAAGGCTGTTGTGTTTGACCCTGGAGACCAGGTTCTGGTCCCAGTACTTCCACCAGCCAGGTGGGTGAACTCTCAGGTCTTTGAGGACTTTTTGTTTCTTCTGGAAACTGAGAGTCAGGGCTGAAATAATGTCAGGAGAGCTCACTCAGCTATAAGAATCTAAGAGCATCTGTGTATCTTGGCTGCTTTGAAGAGGTTGTACAAGCCAGAGAGAGAGCCCTCTGGCAGCTGGAATTAAGTAGGCCTGTAGCTGAACATGAATCCCAACATCTGAACATTGGTGGGCTGAGGTGCAAAGGTGGAGTGCAAGGATATGTTGCTGACTCTTTTGACCATATCAGAACTATGGGAGAAAAACAAAAGCACTTGTTCACAGGCGAGCATGCACCAACATAGAGATGTGTCCTCTCATGCCCGTAGATCCTAAATTAAGTTCTATTAATTTTTTGGAAGCATTATGAAGTTAGGGAGCAGTGTGCAGAAAGAGGACCAAAGTCAGTTTTAGAATGTTCCATCACTTTCCATTTCGGCCACCTTATTGAATCTGACTGATCTCAGTTTTCTTTTCTATATCTATGTCCTAAGTGTTTTGTGAGATGAAAAAAGGTTGTATATTCAAAAGAAAAGTGCTTTATAAAATAGTTTACACAACATTATCATTGTCCAATTATTACAGCCATATTTATAGCTAAACTCAAAGCATTCCCCATAAAGCTTGGAAGTCCTAAGAGAGACAAGCACTCCCCAACCATTGTGGAAGCCACAAGTTCTGTTAATTCCACAGGAGGCATTTGCAAAACGTTATGAGAGAACTCTGAGCCTTCATAAATCATGCCCCTTCCACCTAAGATGACAAGACTGTGCTCGTAAGGAGTGGAATGTCAACACACACATTTTACAGTTGAGAATACGTCAAGTCCCCACAGAGATTAAATGACATGCCTAAGTTCACACAACCAGTTAGCAGCAGGACCCAGATTAGATTCTTGGGCTCCTATTGTCCAATCATTCTTTTTTTGTTAAAAAAAGAAACTTTCCCATGGTAACACTGTTTTAGCTACATCTGTTAAATTTATGGGAGTTACCTTTAGGGTGAGTGATGATGAGTACCCCAAGTCGTTGGTATTAATTACCTAAAAAATTTGAAAAAACGATAAAATGGAAAGTGAAATCAGGTTAGAGCAAGAAGGAAAAAAGAGAAGACCTTAGCATCTTTTTCTCCACAATGTCTACACTGCTAAATATCACCTAACTTGCCCCTGAATGTTGGGGGTGTGGAGGGCAAGGGAGCACTAGAGGCATGTTTATTTGGCAGTTACCAGTGGATAAGTGAATTCTTTCTAAAATTTCAATTTAGGGCCAAGATTTATCTAAATATGTCACTGTTTAGACCACTAAAAAAATATGGTATAAAAGTTCTGATTCTCATTTCACAATATGTTAATCTTTCTTTACTTATTCCTCCCAAATGTTTTTAAAACAATCTCTCTCTGGGACAATTGGATCCTGCGTATCCTGTCAAATTCTGGTAGAAAGCAAATTTTTATAACCAAATTATAAAGCTTTCAACACTGAGGCTTATTTATGGTGGAAACATTGACAGAATATTAACTATAGTGGCTTCAGTGATACATGTTCCAGTGAGGCAGAATTTCCAAATTGGGCAAATACTAAAATTATTTAGCATCTATTTTAATGCCCTTCTCTCAACATCGTGCACCATCTCCCCATTTCAAGAGTATATGATCCATTTTTGGAGTGATTTTTTTTTTTAAGATCTGACATCAACTTTATACATCATTTGAATAAAAGACCTGGATGTTGCAAATTTTTTAAACTAAAACTTGTTCTAGTTTCCCCAGGAATTAACTTTAAAAACAAGATATGGCAGAGCACTGTCCTGTAACCACTTGATGTTTGATCTTAAATTTAACTCTCATTGACTATGACCAAATCTTCCAAAAGAAAATAATATTTTGCTTTTACCTCTGAACCACAGTTAGGAGGGGAAGGGGAAACTCAAATTCAACCCTTCCTTTTCAAAATTACTGAGTCCGAATATGGGTCTCTATGAGGAAAATTTCTCCAACAGGCCAGGCAAATTTTCACCCATTTGAACAACAATCAAAATGCATAATACTTCTCTTTCCGAAGTCTTAACAAGCACCACAGACCTATGTTATGCTTTATATTTAATGAAAGAAAAAAAAAGATGGCTAAGAAATTGAGGCACTGATGGAAATAACCAGCCGTTGTGTAAAGTCTTTCAAAGCCCAGGGACTTGATAGCAGGAATCCCTGCTCCCAGACCACCTCCCCAGATCTAAGTGGTTAATCAGACAAGGATGCCATTAGGGTCTGAAATTGTTCATGTGCTTTGTGGCAGCCGCAAACCCCTGGCCTCCTGTGGAATGAAAAAAATACATAACACGAATGAAGGCGCAGATCAAGCCTGCCCAGCCGCAGGCTCCCAGTCAGAGGCACCCCAGGAGACCCTAGATGAAGCTCATTTAATATGTATGCGAATGTTTTTGGGAGCTTTTTCCTCTTTGGCTTCGTGAAAGAGATGTTGATACCAAATGTATAGAAAGGGGACAGGAGAAAGAGACATTAAACATTCGCCTGTCGGGAGAAGGAGCAGAAACAGTAGCAGCTGGCTGTGCCTGAGAACAGAGAAAGGAAATGGAGTAAGAGGGGAAAGTGAAACTCACCATTTGAGCTCCCTTTTCCTAAGCTGACATACACCAAAAAGGGGCAAAGTGGCGGGGGGTGGGGAACAATGGATGGAATTAAATGTGAATGCGTGAATTCTAGGGGATTTAGTGATCTGAGAGGTGTCATTCGTTTGGTACCGTGATCATTCTTTTTAAAAATATACTTCTTTGGCTAATGTGTGCTTTTTAAGACACCGATCTTAGCTTCTTTTCCGTTATGCAAAGCTACCAAACCATCTCATTTGTCAAATAATTCCCATTGAAACAGATGAAAGAATAATGGAGGAGGAAAACAAAACATCTTTGATGTGCTGCTTTATCAGAAATGTGTGTCAAAGGTCAAAAAAGCAGTGCTCCAGAGTCTCTTAAACATGTCATTGTCATAATATAAAAACTGACTTACTAACTTAGATTATTTGGAGAGTTAAGTGCTTGTGTTATTGCAAATTAAACTAATTAGTATCATTTCCTGACAGCTGCAGCAAGTGTTAGCAATTCCACGATTTTTCTTCAGCCGTTCGTATGGGATGCATAGAGGGGAGACAGCTTTGTGATTTAATGGAATGGGATCAGCTTATCATACTAAGGGCACAACATTCCACCCCCAATAGAGAACAGCTTCCACGCTCACTCCTTCCCAGTTTATCCACAATTATTATACTATTCACTTATTAAATAAGAAGTACAGCAGTGTGAGGTGTCAGTGGTTCCTCAAACAGCCATGAGAGGGAAATGTGTTGGAATTTGCCTGCAGTATTTCCCTTTTGGAATTGCCGAGATTATGCTCTCTAGTCTTTGAACCAAAATTGTAGCTGCCCGTAAAACATGCTGGAACTAATTTTCTACCACAGCTAGCTTAGTTGTTATAAAGCAGCATATAAAAATGCCCCAAGTGGAGCTTCCAGCATCTGTAAATGAACAGCTGAAGCAAAAGTTTACATATTTCATCAGCTTTTCTCTGGAATGGATGAGCTTCTAACCATGAATGGTTATCAAAGACTAATGATGGGTGTTTTTGCAACACTGAACACAGGAAAACTTACATAGTGACTTCACCTATTAGACACAAAAATTAAGGAATTATTCAGACTGTATACTGCAACACTGAACACAGGAAAACTTACATAATGACTTCACCTATTAGACACAAAAATTAAGGAATTATTCGGACTGTGTACTGTCAGTCATAATCTGATCCTTATAACAATGAGTTCCTAAGTAAGTTGAAGAAGCGACAAACTTTTTAGAAAAGAAACATGAAAAAGAAAAAAAGGAGGATAAGGACAAGAGAGAATGAAAGGAAAAAAAATATGCGAAAAGGAGAAAAACTAAAGATCTGTAAGAAGTATGTAGTGAGGAGTTAAGATCATAATGGACTCTTGTATCTCATTCTTGATTTTGCTCTGACTTCTACTAATACTGATTTTTCATCCCATATTTAATAAAGGAGCAGAGGACCCAGTGACATCTCTGGAACTATTTAAAGTGAACTAGTTAAGAAGTGAAAGAAGGAGCTGAGAGCAAGGAGAAGGCTAGTGGAAACCCTATTCTGCCCCTGCGGACTCCTTTAGTATATAAATAATTGACCTTCTTACAAACAATTCAACACTTTTGCAATCAGATGTCAAGAGCATTTTATTGTCTTTTCTCTACTGCTTAGAATTACTTTCTGTCTAGGACAAACTAAAGGATTACCAGAGAAGGAGCAGTGAGACTGGGATCCAGACTTCATCAGCTATACATCAGAGTCACCAATAACAGCAGAATCTCTTAGAAGGTGGCAGGCACTGGTATTTTTAAAAACTCGAAGTTGATTGTGATGTGCAGCGGGGTTCAGAGCCACGGGATAAAGAAATGAGGCTCAGCCTGTTTAGAGAAGAGCCAAATGGCATGGTGATGAGCAGGATGGACTTTTTAAAATCTCCAAATTGTTGTGGAAAGGCAGGGCGAGGGAGCACTAGAAATGTACAAACCCTTGGGCCTGGCAACTCAACTTCCAGGAAGATATCCTACAGGTGTACACATAACTGGATATGAGGATACTGATGGTATTATTATTTGAAATAGCACAAGATGGTATAAAACCTTAAAAGGCAAAGGTTAAATGAAGTATGTATAGGTACACTATTAAATACTACACAAATGTTCAAAAGAATGAGCAGATCTGTGGGTGCTCATGTGGCACAGCCTTAAGATAAATTAACTTTAAAAAGGAGAGAGAACAGTATATATGTTATACTATCATTTTTGTAAAAAAGAAAAAATGGGGATATATGTGTTTGCATAATCATAGACTATCTATGGAAAGACATAAAAATCTGGTAACCATAGTTGCCGTAGTTATCTTTGGGGAGGGGGATTTAAGCAACTGGGGTTCAGAAGAAGGAGAAAGACTTTTCACCATATGCTGTTTCATACTGCTTAAATTTTTTTCAGTGTGCAGGGTAAATGCATTGCCTCTAACATTAACTGATCTTAAAAATTAAATTTCCTTAGTAAGATGTGTTCTATTTAATTCTTCTAGAATGCTACATTGCTATCATATATGCAGAGTTGCATTTCTATAACTTATACCTTTAAAAAGTCTTCAGTCATTTTTTTTAAACTGAACAAACTGATAGTGCTATGTGCTTAATTCTTCTTTGTGAAAACTTTATTAAAGGTTCAGCTTTTACTGGTGATATTTATCCAGTTTGATTCAAAGCAGTTGAGCTATTGCTCACTGAGCCCCTGTTAGGAGCAGACTGTTTCAATAGTGCTGTGAGAAAACACATGAATGTTCTTACCACAATATCTGGCACATAGGAGAAACTCTCTTGACTTTGTTGGGTGATGGAATGATGCAGGAATGAATGAAAGAGGAAACAAAAATATAGAACTTCAAAAATTGAGCCAGGCGCGGTGGCTCATGCCTGTAATCCCAGCGCTTTGGGAGACCAAGGCAGGTGGATCACCTGAGGTCAGGAGTTTGAGACCAGCCTCGCCAACATGGTGAAACTCCATCTCTACGAAAAATAAAAAATTTATTCGGGGAGCACCAAGTAGTAAGCAGCTACTTGGGAGGCTGAGGCAGGAAAATCGCTCAAACCCGGGAGGTGGAGGGTTGCAGTGAGCTGAGATCGTGCCACTGCACTCCAGCCTGGGCAACAAGAGCGAAACTCAGTCTCAAAAAAAAAAAAATCGAACTCTGTACATTGCAAGTCCATGTCAAAATTTTCACTGATCCACAGCAAAATGAGAATAGTAAGGACATGAAATGGGTTTTTATTCACTTTAAATGTCTATCTTCATAAGACCTTCTATATTTTATATGTTATAAAGTTATTTATTTTATGAAATAATGTCATAATAAATAGTTATCAAGTTTTATTTTTGAAGCCATTATTTGGTAAAATAAAAGTTTGGCAAAATCTTTGTTGAGCCTCCAACTTTTACATGTCCATGAAATGTAAAGGTTTGGTAACTCGGAGAAGCCAGAAGTTATAAAGATGTCAGAATAGAATGACAATGGAAAAAAAGACTTTTTGTCCACTGGCTGCTTTTTATTATAATAGTTTTTTTCTATCTATTGTTCATTGTAAGACGTTATTTTAAGGTATATTAAAATAAGCATTAATAAATGTACATTTTCAACATGATTTGTTTTTTAAAACAATTATTTAATACTTGCACCTCAAAAAAGGTTTTTAACTTGGAAATAGTAACTCTTTCCTAGAAATGATTTTTAAGAAGATTGAAAATGAACCCAAAGGTAGTAAGCTAAAGTGCCATAAGGAAAGATTTTACTTTTCATTAAAGCCATAATTAAGGTGGGGGCGCAGTGGCTCACACATGTAATCTCGGCACTTTGGGAGACCAAGGCAGGCAGATCACTTGAGGTCAGGAGTTTGAGGCCAGCCTGGCCAACATGGTGAAACCCCATCTCTACTAAAATTACAAAAATTAGCAGGGTATGGTGGTCTGCACCTGTAATCCCAGCTACTCAGGAGGCTGAGGCAGGAGAATTGCTTGAACCCGGCAGGGAGAAGTTGCAGTGGGTGGAGATAGTGCCACTGCATTCCAGCCTGGGCAACAGAGCGAGACTCTGTTTCAATAAATAAACAAATAAATAGCCATAATTAGCCATATTAGCCAAATACTAGCTCCTTTACTTCTCAGTGACCACTTAGATCCTCACTGCTATGAAGGCCTGTTCATTATTAACCAAAAGGAAAACAATAATGGAGCTACTACCTCAATTTCAATTTGATGAAAAACTGTGGACTACAGTTTTGCTTTGTTTTCTTTCCCTCAAGGACTAATTTTTTTTTTTGTCTTCCAGGCTCATTGGCCCATTGTTTTTGGAGGCAAGACATAATCAAATGAAAGACCCAGCACACTGGGAATTAAATGACTCACTGGAATTCAGTTCAATTTCAGTCACATCTTTTGAGTGTCTGTGACATGCTACCTACTCTGCTAGGTACCTAGGACACAGAATGAGTGCAGCCTGGCCCCTGTCTATTGCAGATTGCTCACAATTTGCCCAGAATTTATGTATGTATGCAGTTAGCCATAATGTATAATACTAAATCTATGTTCTCCTAGAAACAAAGTATTATGGAAAGAAACGAGGTGTGGGGATGGGTAATTCTACTGGGTCAGGGAAGCTTTTGAAAACTTCTAAGAGATAGCTGCTTTTAAACTGGACTTTGAAGTATCGATGGTGAAAAAAGACATTCTTTACTGTGATAGCAATTATTACAAAGTTGAAATGATCTATTAAGGAGTTTTTTTCCCCATTAAAGTGTGAGCCTTAAAAATAAGGCCTCTGCCTTACTCAGTTTTGTGTCTTACTAGCCCTTAACACCACGGCTGTTACATAACAAGGGCTCAGTACATGAATGAAGGAATTGGCTAGGCAACACAATACATTTTAAAAGGCATATTTGTAAAACATGAGATTACAGTCCCTCAACCTTTAACATACAAGATGAAGAAGGACAACTGAAGAAACTCTAGTATGTAACACATACGCATGATTCCTCAACTACCTGCAAAAGCACTGGATAAACAGTTTTGAAACATGCTTTCTACTCTGAGTTTAGCATTGAAATTTATTTATCATCTTCTTATCCTTGATGACTAGATGTTAATATTTTTCAACATCTAAATCCTAGAGCCTGGCAAAGTTTAAGAATTTGGTCTTACCTGAGGCGAATGACTTTACACAGCTTAAAAGAGGATGTAAAATAGATGGTCAGTAAATGTAGTTGGCTGATGGCAGTGTCTCTGGCTTAGAGAAGTTAAAGGACAGCCCATTTAAAGAAAATCCCTTGCTATGTTACATCTTTTCACCAGGAAAGGGAAAAAAGATATTTCTCTCCTTCTCCCCATCCACCACTCCTTTCTTCCTTCTTTGTTTGCTTACCTTGTCAAAGATTATTCTTGCAGCCTTAGTTTATTTATTTTTATTCTATGTCCCAATAGGTAGTTCTGGAATCTCCCCAGTGTGCATGTTCATTTTCCATTTGAATCTACCCACACACACCCACCTCAGTCCCCTAAGAAGATGAAGATGGAGTCTGTTTCTCTTTTCCCCATTATTTTTTCCTTGAGTAGCACTAATAAACACCTAAGGGGTTGTGTTGCTGTTGCATGTACTTATTTTTATGACTGAAACAGAAAACACATCACATTCTCAATACCCCCACTCCCAAGCATTGTGAAGAAATGTTGCACAGGCAGAAAATGAGCTACCTGTGCCTATGACGTGCCTTTGGTTTAAGAGAGGATAGGGCTTTAAAAAAATACCTTAAAGAGGTGTATAATTGTTGGAAGCATGATGAGAATGTGATATTGGAACAGAATATAATTCATATTTTCTAATGAGGTCATGTCAGTTATAATTATTGTAGCCATGATGTGGACTCATTTTCTAGACTACCGTCCCTGTAACGCCATTTACTGTGAAGTTTGGCTCACATTTGCAGTGTCAGGGAGGTGCCAATATCTATCTTTACACAATAGAACAGAGAAACTTCTACTATCTTTTGAGCCAGATATCCATTTTTAAAATAGCCTCGGTTGAAATTTAAATGATGCTCCATAACAATTCGAAACTCAGTCTGTTTTATAAGGAAACAACACATTTTTATGGGGCAGTCTTCTGCAGATTCAAAAGCAGCAGTGGTGGCTCTGAAGGAGCGCTAATAAGCTACTGGATAATAAGCATATATGTTTTATTAAGTGCCTAAATAAGCATTAGCATCATAGATTTCACTGCAAGCTATATACAGCCCTTTCAGGATTCTAGACATGGAACCAATTATTAATTCTTTTGCAAAGTAATTTACTCAGGAAGGAACATGTTAAAAAATGATTCTTATGCCAAAATTTCAGTCTTTTCTGAAGATGTTTCCCATTTAGTCTAATGGAAATTTGGCCTGAGTTACAGGAAGGGCCTGGACAGCAGCCGTATATAATCAGAAAGCTTGTCGTTTGTTAATTTTACAATTGTTATTCATGTTAACTAGGCAAACTCTATATGTACAGAACCATTTTCTCATTCTTTGCAACAACCCAATAGGTTGGCTAGTATTACTATCCCTGTTTCACAACTGGGTGGCAAACAGGAGTGAGACAGAAGTGAGGGCTGAGCTCTTTTGATGATTTACTGTTTGCCTCAAGGGCCTTTCTTATAAACACATAAACAAGTGAAAGCAGTTAATGAAGACCTACCGTATGCCAGCACCTAGTAACTTCATGTTAAAATATTTGATATTTTTCACATTTAAAAATCATGCTTAATTTTTTTATTATTACAAGAACAATATAGAACTCAAACTAAAAAAAAAAAAGAAGGAAAAAAGCAATAAAATACTCATAGGCAAATAGGAGAAAGTTTCTATGTAGAAAGTATCTATAACCCCCCATTCCCAAAGGTAGTCAGAGGAAACCTCTTGGTATACATATCCTCTGGACTTTTCTCTCCTTTCCTTTGTTATATATTTTTCCATACTTTTACTTGAATGAGACTACAATACATGTACTGTTCTTAAACTTGCTTTTTTCACTTCAAAAAAATCACTAGTATATTTTCACAAAAGTATATACAGATTTCATTTTGGTGTTAAATGACTTTTGTACATCACTGTTTTAATCAAGTAATCTGGTGATTGCAAAGGAGAAAGTTAAAAAAAATTGCATCACATAAATAGCCAGTGTGAATATATAATTCTTGATATTTCCTATTTATATATACTTTATGTATATGTTCTTTATGAGTCTCTTAAATCATTATTATTTAATCTTAAATCATTATTAAATCATTATTTAATAGTTTAGGTAACCAACTCTCTATTTATGGATAATTAATTTTGTCTCAGTTTTTGTTATTACCATGTAAATATTTCCATGGATATATTTTATTGTGCATTTGTCTAATAATTTCCTTAGGTTCAGTTTTTAGAAATACAATTCATGAGTTAAACTTTAATACACATTGCCAGGTTGCCTTCAAGAAAGGCAAAATTTTGTATCTCGTTACCAATTTATCTCTAATTATCAATGAATCTGAGAATTCTTTTCATATATTTGTTAGACATTTGTACTTCATTTGTGACTTACCTGTTCATGCTTTTGTCTATTTTTTTCTGTCATAGTGTTTATCTTTTTTTTTTATAGTTGATCTGTAATAGGCCTTTATATATCTAGGAAAATATTTCCTTGTCAAATGCATTGCAGCTTTTTTCTTGTTTGTTGTTTGTCCTTCAGCTTTGTTTATGGCACCTTTATAATAAATCAGCTTAGAAATTTTATGTTATCAAATCTTTTCATCATCCCCTTTACATCTTTTGACATTGGTAACACCGCTGAAGAATTACAAAAAAATGTATCTGGCTTGGTGTGGCAGCTCACGCCTGTAATCCCAGCACTTTGGGAGGCCGAGGTGGGCAGATCCATTGAGCCCAGGAGTTTGAGACCAACCTGGGCGACATGATGAAACCCTGTTTCTACAAAAAATACGAAGGGAGTTGTGGTGCACACCTGTAGTCCCACCTATTCAGGAGGCTGAGGTGGAAAGATCACTTGAGCCTGGAAGTTCGAGGCTGCATGATTGCCCCTCTGCACTCCAGCCGGGGTACAGCCTGGGCAACAGAGAAGCTGTCTCAAAAACAACAACAACAACAACAACAACAACAAAACAAACAACCCAGTATCTTACATGCTCTCATTTTTTACATTTAAAATATTTACAACAAATGATTTTCTGAAATTTATTTTTAGGTATTGCATGAGTAAGGGCCAAAATTTTTTTTCACAGTTTTCTACCATTTGTCTCCAAACAATTTATGATCTGAAATACCACTTTTTTCATAAATTCCCACATATTCTGTAGTATGTTTCTAGACTGCTCTGTGTCGTTGAGCTATCTGCCTATTTCTATATTGGTGCCTTACCATATTAATTATCACAGCTTTAGAGAAAATTTTATTATGTGGAAGGGAAGTTTTATCTCATTAATTTTTTTCAAAAATTTCCTTGACTATTTCCATGTATTTGTCCTCTATATAAATTTTATAATGAATTTATTAAGTAACCCCCCCTCCAAAATTACTTTAGCATTGTTGACTATTTAATCTTGAGAAGCAAAAGGATTTGTAAGTCCAGGCATTATTCTTATGGGTCAAAACTCACATGAAATCTGGATACTGTGTTTCAATAAAAGCTCATGAATTCTATACAACTGTTATGGTAAAACATATTCAACAAATATTTATATGTCTCTGGCATAGTATTCTTTTCAATTTTGAGGTTTCTCCCATATATTAGTATAAATAAGATTTACAAGCTAAGACTGTTTCAAGCTTGTGCCATGGTTTATAAAGTTGCATTTGAAATTAAAGTAAAATAATTCATAAAGTTTCTATGATTCTGTTACTTACCATCTAACCATATTGATTCCTATGCTTTGGAGTGTTGTCTGACTCAGAGAACACCCACTAAATGCATATAATGAGCATCTGCCAAAGGAATCCAGATAGTATTCTGTTCTGTGTGCCTTCATATCACAGTGAGCAGGGGTGGGGAATGGAAGCCCAGTACATTTTCTTCAATATAATAGCAGTGATGGTGAGCCCCTGGTGCTCCTCAGCCCCATAGCTTCAGGATTCAGTTTATCAACTGTCAATAGGCAAAGGCATGTTTTTCTTTTCCCATGAGCTGATTAAAGTTGTGGTTTCTTGTAATTCATGGCATTCCATTGTATTTATTTCTGCTGGGATTTTCAGGCTGGATTACTGTAACTAATATACCACTAAGTCTGTGCTGCAAAATCCTTGACCTTTTGAATCCTCTTTTTTAGCAGAAAATTGGCATAAGAAATTTCAACACAATAAATGCTTTAATTTTTTCTTAATCTTGATCCAGAATTCACATGGTTCAATTTAATTACGTCAGAGGCTCTTTGCCACCAGTATTAGTTTGGATTAAGGGTTTTTGGAAATTGTGGTGATAGGAGAAAAAGAGAGATGAGATAATTCTATTTGCAGTGGATTATTAGGAGAGAAACAAAAATATAAAATATGAATCCTTTGTTTTTTTTCTAAAATAATTTGTGCCCACAGCTCAATTTGAGCACATGGATTTGGCTGGCCTCCCAAACCATGTGACTTGGAAATTGATTTAATCTTTCCTCCCAAATCATGTGACTTGGAAATTGATTTAATCTTTCATATGTGATCAAAGAATCTTTATGCACCGCCCCCCCGCTCCTCCTTCAGTAGCAAAATGATGGACTCTTTGCATCCATAGCCTACCTGTGTAGGATTGGGAGAGATTTCGAACTAGGAGAAGAAATGGAGGCAGCAGCAGAAAGGTGTTATGCTCAGAGTCTGTAGGGATATTGTTGGTCCAAACTCATGTGACTTATTTCTGTTGTTTTAGGAGTCTGCAAACTTTCTCTTTAAAGGGCCTGAGGGCCAATAGTAAATTAATTTAGGTTTTGCAGCTGACATACGGTTTCTCTGATTTCTTCTTCTTCTTATTCTTTTGCTTGTTTTTTTGCTTTTGTTTTTACAACACTTTATAAATGTAAAAACCATTCTTAGCTCAAAGATAGTTCAAAAACAGGCCATGGGTTCGATGTGGCCCACTGACTTAGTTTGCCAACCCCTTTATGGGCTCATTGGAAGATAAAGTCACACAGAAATCATCAGATTATGAGATGCTGCTGATTATAATTGCAATACTACCTTATGTTTTAATTCTGTTTTATTGTTACCCAGCCCATGCTTGAACATTGTCCCATTTGATCCTCAAGCTAACACTTACGAGACATCATTATTCCTATATGAGAGAGAAAACAAACCCAGGGAGGTAGTGACTTGTCCCAAACTACACAGATGCTAAAAGGGAAATCCAGGAATGAAAGCATCTTGTGGTTCACGTTTGTTGCTCTTCTTTTATATTAAACTCAGATTGAGTAAGAGAAAATGTCGGTATAAAGGAAATCAGATTGAGAAAGCTGCTAGCTCATCATTAACATGTCTGTCCTCTGAGACCCTCAAGCTTTAAGTTGAATAAAAACCCAAGAACATACACTCCCGACTTCTTTCACAGTGCAGTGGCCCTAAGGGCTTAGGTAAATTACCACATCAACTTGCAGCCTGGTCAGGATTTTGGAAAATCTCTAGTTATCTCATAATTCCCACCTATGCTGATAAAAATGATGTGATTCGTGTTTTATTAATGCTTTAAAAGACTGATCAAAGAAGTGATAGTTTAGCTTCTAGGAACATACTCTATGATACCGTAGTTGGATTGAGGGAAGAGGGAGAACAAAACTGTTCATTTCATCAGCCTGCCAACAGGAGTCTGAGCAATGAAATACAACAGAATTGTTTGGAAAGACACATTAACTCAACTTGTGTGGCCCAGAGGCTAATCAAAATCTACATCATAAAGAATATGCAAAGGTACATATGGGACTCATTCCTGCATTTTTATGGGTTAGAGACATGAACTGTGTATCCCATTATACAGCAGAATAACACTAGAATGAGAGAGATAAGGTCCAAGAAATACAGTAACTTTATGGATTATATTGTGATATCTTTTTCGTTAAACATTATAGGCCAACATTGTTTAGTAATAATTATTTTTTAATTTGGATTTTTAGTTGCTGTTTTCTAGATTTAAAAGTGCGTATCTTTAAGAAGGCTGTCACCCTGTTACACTTAATAAATGAGTGCTACCAGAGTTCTGTGACCACTTGTGGCTTCTGCAACTTGAAAATGTGGAAATGTTGGAGAAGGTTCAGAAAAGACTATGAAAAATAAAAGTACTGTAAAAACAAAGGCTGGGAGCAAGATTAAAGGGATTTATTTTTTGCTAAGGTTTAAAAATACTTAACAGTGACTGATGCAGTGATTGGCGATCACATTAAAGGTTTCCACACAGAGCATACAGAGCGATCGTTTTCTCTTTCCATCTGAAACAAGAGCACAAGAAGAGAATCTAGAACTTTGATTTCCAATTTGTAGGCTCCCATGGAATTACTTAGAGGGATCCTCAAATTGTTATAATTGTATCAAACACTAAATACAAAAAAGGATAACGATGTTATCTTTTTTGTGTGAAATGTTTGCTACTAAAAGGGGGTGTTTGTTTTTGAAAATGTTGAGAACCACTGATCTCGAATATAGCATTGGGAAATAAGTGAGGTACAAAAACTGACAACCAGCAATGAGAATTATTAACCTACAAGCATTGAAATGTACTTTGATAGACTGATTAAAATAGAGACCATTGTTATTTCAAGGTAATATAGAAGTTTGTTTATTCCTTTATTTATTCCACAGTTAGTCTCTGAATACTATCTATGTGTGAATGCACCAAGCATTGTTCTAAGCCTGGAGCTGCAACAGGGTTGAGGCGGGCACACTTTCTGATCATGTTATTCACAGTCTCTTAGTCACTAGTAGAATATATTAATTCATGTCCAGCATGAGATTGTTTCCAGTCCTACAATTTTATTATCTTACCTTAATAGCAAGGAATAACAGATTTTGAAAAGGAAAGGTGAAGTTTTACTTTTGAGGCTTATCTCTGCATTTGAAATGAGATTGTAACCAAATAATGAACAGAGGAGTCACCTTTTAAAATCCTAAATTTTATTTCCCAGTTTGTGGGACAGCTAAAGAATATTCATTTTACCTGTACCTGTCTTACATGAATGTTTCCTATATTCAGAACATATGTTGTTGATTTTCATTTAGACTCCAGATCCTTAAAGTACTTCAGAGAGGAAAGTTTGCCTCCTCCCCCTCCCCCTATTTGTTCTTTTCCAGGGTAAAGGTGGAGATGACTGTAGTTTTTTAGTTGTAAATTGGATTCATTCCATAAAAAGATGATGATTTAATCTCCGATTACTCATTGAGCTTTCAATTCACTTAGAGGTCTTCATGATGAATAATTTTCTTTAAAGAACATCATAAATTTATATCCTAATGGACTTGCCATGTGAAGTCTATGATTACAATATAGATAAGAGATATTCATCTCTTCTGTTTAAGGGCTGGACCCTAGTGATATGAGCTTTTAAAGCTTATCCTTTTTCCTTTTTCTTTTGTGTTCCATTTAAAGTTATCTTTAATGTCACAGACAGTACAAGAAAGAAACAAAATTTGTCATCTTTTCTCCAGAAGTATTAGGAACCATGCTTTTCTCCTTGTTAAATGAAAATTCTTAAAATACCTTACCATAGACATTTAAATCTGCAGAGATTGTTCCAAATCTCTTATGGCAAATATTTATTGAGCATTTAAATGTGAGCCAGGAACTGGTCGGGTGTGGTGGCTCATGCCTGTAATTCCAGCACTTTGGGAGGCCAAGGTGGGCGGATCACGAGATTAGGAGATCGAGACCATCCTGGCTAACACAGTGAAACCCAGTCTCTACTAAATATACAAAAAAATTAGCTGGGCGTGGTGGCGGGCGCCTGTAGTCCCACCTACTCGGGAGGCTGAGGCAGGAGAATGGCGTGAACCCGGGAGGCAGAGCTTGCAGTGAGCCAAGATTGTACCACTGCACTCCAGCCTGGGCGACAGAGTGAGACACCATCTGAAAAAAAAAAAAAAAAAAGTGAGCCAGGAACTCTTCTAAGCACTTCATGTATATTATCTCATTTCATCATAACAATATAACAATGCTATGAGACAGATACTATTGTTATCCCCATGATACAGATGAGGAAACTGAGGCACTGAGAGGTTAAGTAGCCTGTTCAAAGTTACACCAGTGAAGCCAAGGATCAAGCCCTGGAAGTGGCTCTTAACCACATTCCCTACACTGCTTCTCAAGAAGGAAATGATTGGGTTTCTTTTGAGGCATTCTTTTTTTGTTTGGTTGGTTTTTCTTGAGACAGAGTTTCACTCTTGCCACCTAAGCTGGAGTGCAATGGTGCAGTCTTGGCTCACTGCAACCTCTGCTTCCCAGGCTCAAGTGATTCTGCCTCAGCCTCCTGTGTAGCTGAGACTACAGGTGCCTGCCACCAAGCCCAACTAATTTTTATATTCTTAGATGGGGTTTCATCATGTTTGCCAGCCTGGTTTCGAACTCCTGACCTCAGGTGATCCACCCACCTTGGCCTCCCAAAGTGCTGCGATTACAGGCATGAGCCACTGCACCCAGCCTCTTTTGAGGCATTCTGACATGGGCACAATCTAGAAACATTAATCAAAAAATTTTCAAACGTGTTTATTTCTAGAATGCCTAGCATGGTATATTCAATAATGGAATACAGGTACTCCTTGACTTGTGATATGATTACATCCTGAGAACGCCCTTATAAGTTTCAAATATCCTAAGATGAAAATGCATTGAATATACCTACTGAATTTCATAGCTTAACTTAGCCTATCCGACCTTAAACATGCTCAGAACACTTACATTAGCCTATAATTGGGCAAAATCATCTAATGTAAAACCTATTTTATAATAAAAGGTTGAATATCTCATGCAATTTATTAAATACTGTACTTAAAGTAAAAGATAGCACCATTGTAAAGTCAAAAAAATCATTACATTGAACTATCTGAAGTCAGGGATCTTCAGTACCATACAGCAGTGAAAAATGAATGAGCTACAGCTGAATGTATCAGCAAAGGTGAATGTCACAAACATGTGGAGATAAAAACCAAATACATAATTATTATTTAATTCATAAAAAGTTAAAAAATATGCAAACCAAATAACATAATGTTTAGGGACATAAGTATACAATAAATTTTGAGAAAATTCTGTACACAAAATGCAGGATTGGGAGAAAGAGGGAAATATAATTTGGGAAGACTACATAGGGGATTTCAAATTACTGATAGTGATACACAGGTGTTTTATTACTATTTTAATCATGTATATATGTTATATATTTATTATGTATGATATTTCATAATTACATATTTTAAGGAAATAATATACAAATGCAAGGAAATATCTTTATTGCAAAGTGGATAAGGCAATTTTTCAATAAAGCATCAAATATTAACTAACATTTTCTTAATTAGAACTTCTCTATGCTCCAGTGAATTTTTAGTCATTATAAGAACTGACAGGCCGGGCACGGTGGCTCATGCCTGTAATCCCAGTACTTTGGGAGGCCGAGGCAGGCAGATCACTTGAGGTCAGGAGTTCAAGACCAGCCTGGCCAACATGGTGTAACCCCCTCTCTATTAAAAATACAAAAATTAGCCGGGCTTGGTGATGCATGCCCGTAATCCCAGCTACTCGGGAGGCTGAGGCAATCACTTGAATCCAGGAGCCGGAGTTTGCAATGAGCCAAGATCGTGCCATTGTGCTGTATTGGGTGACAGAGCAAGACTCCATTCCCCACCCCACCAAAAAAGCAACTGACAGATCCTTTGAATGGTAAAAGAATAATCAAATCATTTCTAAGGTAGCAGAGTTGAGAGTATATTTTCTGATTTTCTCATTTAAAAAATTGTTTATCAATATAAGAAAATTATGATGACTATTAACAGATGTATATGAATCACCATCACTTGCAATTCCTCACTGCCACCAGATAACAGCATTTATTGAGTAACACCAGAGGTTTTGCCATCATTTGGAAAGATAATCAGTATTGTTTTATTCTTTGTGAGACTCTGAATCGGGGGAGAGCTAACTATTTTTAACTGATATCTTAGGGATCATAGCAACTGATCTGTGGTATCAATTCCAATTCTTGACTGTTACTTCTCAAGCCTGTATGTGAATTCAATAACAACAGTGAAATTATCCTGCAAATGCCACCCTAATGTTCATACGTGAAACCTGGGTTCTCTACATGCAATTGAACTACCTACACAGGTGACTTGAACCTACGATATGAGGGAAGAGAGTGGCAGCCTTTCTAGAACCCACTTCACTTAGACCCACCTCTGACTTTGAACCCCTCCCACTCTTTCTCTTCTGGCTATTTTCGTGCTTGGAAACAAAAGACTGGGAAGTAGAAAAGTTTAGCTTTTTATTCTTTTCCCATCACTCTCAAAAGTCTAAAATTCTGAACTTATCAATGTTGAAGTTCACTAAGAAGTAGAAGGTATTCAATCAATCCATTTAAATTAGTGAGTATTTTATTGAGTGCCCAGATAGTCACAGACTGTTCTAGGTGCTCAGAAGAACACAGAAGATAGGTAAATGTGATTATTGCTTTTAAAAACTGTATAATTGGGGAGGCAATACTAAATACATTCTATAATTTAAAGCAATACAAATAAGATGTACAATTACTTAGCATAGTATAGATATAATGCTACCAAAAGTCAACATCAGTTTTTATTTTAAAAGATTTTTTTTCAAAAAATTCTATGATCCTAAGATTTTATGTTCTGAACTATTCAAAAGTTAACTGGAGTCTAAATTTTGTATTAGACTCCAGTTATTGTATTTTGTATTTGGTATTTTTAACAAAATGACATTCCATTATTTAAAGTAACACTACATGTTGGCTGCTTTGCCTATAGAGTAGCCATTCTTTCATTTCTTTATTTCTCTAGTAAAGTTGCTTTCACTTAAAAAAAAAAATAACACTGTATTTTAAGCCAATTTTAGCAAATAAAATCCAACAATATATAAAATGAGTAATGCATCATGACCATGTAGGGTTTACCCTAGGAATGCAAGGATGTTTTGACATTAGAAGATCGAACATAGCAGGGTGTGGTGGCATGCACCTGTCATCCTAGCTACTTGGGAGACTTACACAGGAGGATCACTTAAGCCCAAGAGTTTGAGGTTACAGGGAGCTGTGATCATGCCATTGGACACTAGCCTGGGTGACAGAGCAAGACTCTGTCTCTCTCTCCCTCAAAATAAATAAATAAATCAAACAGACTAAATAGAAAAACCATGTAATCATCTCAATAAATGCAGGAAAAGATTTGGCAAAATCCAACATACATTTCTGAGAAGAATGCTTAGAAAACTAAAAATAGAAAGAGATGTCCTTAACCTGATAAAAGGCATCTTTGGAAAACCTGCAACTAACATCAGACTTAGTGGTAAGACTGAAAACCTTCTTTTTTTTTTTTTCTTCGGAGTCTCGCTCTGTCACCCAGGCTGGAGTGCAGTGGCATGATCTTGGCTCACTGCAACCTCCACCTCCCACGTTCAGGAGATTCTTCTGCCTCAGCCTCCCGAGTAGCTGGGACTATAGGCGTGCGCTACCACACCCGGCTGATTTTTGTATTTTTAGTAGAGACAGGGTTTCACCATATTGGCCAGGCTGGTCTTGAACTCCTGACCTCATGATCCGCCCGCCTCGGCCTCCCAAAGTGCTGAGATTACAGGCGTGAGCCACTGCACTCAACCCAAAAGCCTTCTTAAGATCAGGAACAAGCTAAGCCATGTCCTCTACCACCAATTCTATTCAACGTTATACTGGATATTCTATTCAGTTCAATCAGGCAAGAAAAATAACAGACACCATATTAGGAAGGAAGAAATAGAACTGTTTTTATTCATAGACAATGTCATCATCCATGTAGAAAATCTGACGGAATCTACGATGAGCCAGAATAAGTGAGTTCATTGAGATTTCTAGTTATAAGATTAATATACAAAAATTAGTTGCATTTCTGCTAACAACAATCAGAAATTAAACTTAAAAGGCAATACCATTTACAATAACATAAAAATACGGAATACTTAAAATTTGGCAAAAGATACAAAAGAACTGTGTGCTGAAACTATTAAACATTGTTGAGAGAAATTAAAGAAAATCTAAATAAATAAAGAGATAAATTGTGCTTATGGGCCAGAAGACTCAGTATTGGCATAATGATAAATTGGCCATCATAATACAAAGCCCAGAAATAGATACATACATAGATAATTGATTTTTTTTCACACGAGTGCAAAGGCAATTCAGTGAAGAAAATGGAGGTTTTTCAATAAAGGGTGCTAGAACAGTCAAATACCCATATGCAAAATAGTAAACTTCCATCCACATTTCATACTATATTTAAAAAATTAACTCAAAATGGACCTCAGAATTAAAAGTAAAACACAAAACTCTAACACTTCTAGGATAAAGTATGAGAGAAAATTTTTATGACTTTGAATTAGGCAAAATTTTCTTAAGGCAATTTCAACACCCAAAAGCAAGCTGTAAAAGAAATAAAAAGACAAATTATGCTTCATCGAATGAAAAACTTCTCTCTGAATTATGCTGTTAAAGAATAAAAAGACAAACCCCAGACTGGGAGAAAGTATTTACAAAGTATACATCTGATAAAAGGGTTATATCCAGTATATATAATGAAGAACTCTCTCAAAACTCAACAATAAGAAAACAAATAACCCTTTCGAAAAAAGGGGTAAAAGTATTAAACAACCACTTCACTGAAGAAAATATATGAATGGCAAATAGGCATATAAAAAGATGCTCAAGTCCGGGCATGGTGGCTCATGCCTGTAATCCCAGCACTGCCTGTAATCCCAGCACTTTGGGAGGCCAAAGCAGGCGGATCACGAGGTCAGGAGTTCGAGATCAGCCTGACCAACATGATGAAACCCATCTCTACTAAAAATACAAAAATTAGCTGGGAGTGGTTGTGTGTGCCTGTAATCCCAGCTACTTGGGAGGCTGAGGCAGGAGAATCGCTTGGACCCAGGAGGTGGAGGTTGCAGTGAGCCAAGATTGTGCCATTGCACTCCAGCCTGGGTGACAGAGTGAGACTCTGTCTCAAAAAAAAAAAAAAAGCTCAAAATCTTTAGCCATTAGGGGACTACAAATTAAAATCAGAATGAGCTATCACTACATATCTATAAGAATGTCTAAAATAAAAAAGACTGACCATATCAAGTGCTGGTGAAGATGAGGAGCAACTTGATCTCTATAGATCACTGGTGGGAATATAAGATGCTGAAACCACTTTGAAAAAGTTTGCCAGTTTCTTAAAAATTTAAACAACCATCCACCATATTCCATTCCATTATTCCTTACCCCTCCCCTCCCAAAAAAGAAAGTATATGTCCATACAATGATTTTTACACAAATGTCTATAACAAATTTAGGTGTGGCCTTGACTGGATTAAGAAATACATAGAAACCTGGTAAAGCATTATTTTGGGGTCTGTATGTGAGAGTGTTTCCAGAGGTTAGCATGTGAGTCTGAGTGGACTAGATGGGGAAAATCCACCCTCAATATGGGTGGGCACTATCCAATCCACCAGGGTCTGGGGAGAACAAAAACAAAGAAAAAGCAAATATGTCAATCTATCTGCTGAATCTGGGAGACACCCTTCCTCTCCTGTCCTTGGAAAACAAACTATAGACTCCCAACCTTTGGACTCCAGGACTTACCCCAGCAGCCCCTCTAAGTTCTCAGGCTTTTGGCATTGAATTGAGAGTTAACACCATAGGCTTCCCTGGTTTCAAGGCCTTTCTACTTGGACTGAGCCATGCTACCAGCACCCCAGGGTCTCTTGTTTGCAGATGGCATGTTGCAGGACTTCTCATCCTCCATAATAGTGTGAGCTAACCCCCCTAATAAGTCTCCTCTCATATATCCATATATATATATATATATATACTCTTGATTCTGTCACTCTGGAGAACCAAGCCAATACAAATAGCCAAAAATTGGAAACAATCCAAATGGCCATCAACAGGTGAATGGATATACAAATTGTGATATACCCGTATGATGGAATAATGCTTAGCAATAAAAAGGGATGGGCTATTGATACACATAACATGGATCTCATAATAATAATGCTGAATGAATAAAGCCAGAAAATAAGAGAATATACTGTATAAGTCCAGGACCAGATGGATTCACAGCCGAATTCTACCAGAGGTACAAGGAGGAGCTGGTACCATTCCTTCTGAAACTATTCCAATCAATAGAAAAAGAGGGAATCCTCCCTAACTCATTTTATGAGGCCAGCATCATCCTGATACCAAAACCTGGCAGAGACACAACAAAAAAAGAGAATTTTAGACCAATAACCCTGATGAACATCGATGCAAATATCCTCAATAAAATACTTGTGAACTGAATCCAGCAGCACATCAAAAAGCTTATCCACCATGATCAAGTGGGCTTCATCCCTGGGATGCAAGGCTGGTTCAACACATGCAAATCAATAAATGTAATCCAGCATATAAACAGAGTCAACCACAAAAACCACATGATTATCTCAATAGGTGCAGAAAAGGCCTTTGACAATATTCAACAGCTCTTCATGCTAAAAACTCTCAGTAAATTAGGTATTGATGGGCTGTATCTCAAAATAATAAGAGCTATGACAAAACCACAGCCAATATCATACTCAATGGGCAAAAACTGGAAGCATTCCCTTTGAAAACTGGCACAAGACAGGGATGCCCTCTCTCACGACTCCTATTCAACATAGTGTTGGAAGTTCTGGCCAGGGCAATCAGGCAGGAGAAAGAAATAAAGGGTATTCAATTAGGAAAAGAGGAAGTCAAATTGTCCCTGTTTGCAGGGCAATCTTTTAAGGAGATTTTGGGCTGAGACGACATGATTGTATATCTAGAAAACTCCATCGTCTCAGCCGAAAATCTCCTTAAGCTGATAAGCAACTTCAGCAAAGTCTCAGGATACAAAATCAATGTGCAAAAATCACAAGCATTCTTATACAACAATAACAGACAAACAGCCAAATCATGAGTGAACTCCCATTCACAATTGCTTCAAAGAGAATAAAATACCTACGAATTCAACTTACAAGGGATGTGAAGGACCTCTTCAAGGAGAACTACAAACCACTGCTCAATGAAATAAAAGAGGATACAAACAAATGGAAGAACATTCCATGCTCATAGGTAGGAAGAATCAATATCATGAAAATGGCCATACTGCCCAAGGTAATTTATAGATTCAATGCCATCCCCATCAAGCTACCAATGACTTTCTTCACAGAATTGGAAAAAACTACTTTAAAGTTCATATGGAACCAAAAAAGAGCCCACATTGCCAAGTCAATCCTAAGCCAAAAGAACAAAGCTGGAGGCATCATGCTACCTGACTTCAAACTATACTACAAGGCTACAATCACCAAAACAGCACGGTACTGGTACCAAAACAGAGATATAGACCAATGGAACAGAACAGAGACCTCAGAAATAGTGCCATATATCTACAACTATTTGATCTTTGACAAACCTGACAAAAACAAGAAATGGGGAAAGGATTCCCTATTTAATAAATGGTGCTGGGAAAACTGGCTAGCCATATGTAGAAAGATGAAACTGGATACCTTCCTTACACCTTATACTGAAATTAATTCAAGATGGATTAAAGATTTAAATGTTAGACCTAAAACCGTAAAAACCCTAGAAGAAAACCTAGGCAATACCATTCAGGACATAGGCATGGGCAAGGACTTCATGTCTAAAATACCAAAATCAATGGCAACAAAAGCCAAAATTGACAAATGGGATCTAATTAAACTAAAGAGCTTCTGCACAGCAAAAGAAACTACCATCAGAGTGAACAGGCAACCTACAGATTGGGAGAAAATTTTTGCAATCTACTCATCTGACAAAAGGCTAATATCCAGAATCTACAATGAACTCAAACAAATTTACAAGAAAAAAACAAACAACCCCATCAACAAGTGGGCGAAGGATATGAACAGACCCTTCTCAAAAGAAGACATTTATGCAGCCAAAAGACACATGAAAAAATGCTCATCATCACTGGCCATCAGAGAAATGCAAATCAAAACCACAATAAGATACCATCTCACACCAGTTAGAATGGTGATCATTAAAAAGTCAGGAAACAACAGGTGCTGGAGAGGATGTGGAGAAATAGGAACACTTTTACACTGTTGGTGGAACTGTAAACTAGTTCAACCATTGCGGAAGTCAGTGTGGCGATTCCTCAGGGATCTAGAACTAGAAATACCATTTGACCCAGCCATCCCATTACTGGATATATACTCAAAGAATTATAAATCATGCTGCTATAAAGACACATGCACACGTATGTTTCTTGTGGCACTATTCACAATAGCAAAGACTTGGAACCAACCCAAATGTCCAACAATGATAGACTGGATTAAGAAAATGTGGCACATATACACCATGGAATACTATGCAGCCATAAAAATGATGAGTTCATGTCCTTTGTAGGGACATGGATGAAGCTGGAAACCATCATTCTCAACAAACTATCACAAGGACAAAAAAACAAACACTGCCTGTTCTCGCTCATAGGTGGGAATTGAACAATGAGAGCACATGGACACAGGAAGGGGAACATCACACACCGGGGCCTGTTGTGGGGTGGAGGGAGGGGGGAGGGATAGCATTAGGAGATATACCTAATGTTAAGTGACGAGTTAATGGGTGCAGCACACCAACATGGCACGTGTATATATATGTAACAAACCTGTACATTGTGCACATGTACCCTAAAATTTAAAGTATAATTAAAAAAAGAGAATATACTGTATGATTCCATTTAAGTAAAACTGCAGAAAATTCACACTAATTATAGTGACAGCTGATCAATTGTTGCTTGGGGCAGAGGTTAGGGAGGGGTGTGAGAGAGAGATTATAAATTAATAGGCATGATAAAACTTTGCGGGGTTATGGTTATGTTCACGATCTTGATTGTGACGATGGTTTTACTAGTCTGTGTTTGTGTTGGTATAGACATAAAAATAGATATCATATCATATATGTATATCTAAACTTATAAAAGTATACAGTTTAAATATATGTAGTTATTGTATTGTCAATTATGTATAAATAAAACTTTAAAAATTATATAGGTCCTACAACTTTGTTCCCTTAATTATTCAAGAGTTTAACCAAAGTCTCTGACTATGTTTAAAATATTCACTGTTTCATCCCAAATGACACTACCCATAACTGGAAAACTAAAAATTCCTTAAGTGCATAATGAATTATTTTTAAGTACACAATGCAAAATGAACACTTATTTATTAAAATAATGTTTTTTAAAAAACTTTGAAGCGATATCCAGACAAACGATAAAGATCTAACAGGAATTGCAGGCTTGTGAAACTAAAACTAGAATATAAAATGAAAATTATGTACATGTCCAAACAAGAATATACATAGAGGCCCTGTATAACATTTTCAGTGGGATTTTCTCTTGGTGCAGTTCTAACCCTATGATGAAAAATATCTTTTCTTAAAGTGTATAATTACCCTCCGTCACTCTTAAATCTCCTCTGGTGTCTAATGGTGAACAGATGAGCTGAAATTAAAAATAAAGGCCTTCTACCAATTTAGCACCCTGCACATAATGTACCTATAATGATAGTTTGATTGCCAGTGCCCATTATTTTGTTGCTGCCTTTTTTTCTATTACTGCACCAGAGCCCTGGGTTTCAAAAAGAATGCAGCATCCTGTTTGATAAAACCAGAGCAATTTACATGAACACCAGTTTTAGCCTGTATTAGAAAGATGCACAGAATAAAGTGGAAAACATAATGTAACGCCACGTGGACCATTTAATGTCAGTGGCACTCTTCACTTAAATATCATATTACATTTTGGTTAATTTATTTTCCAAAAAAGAAAAGTGAAAAGCATGATTTTTCTCCAGTAGAATAAGGGACGAAAATTGAAGTGTTTATGGATAATAAAATGAATAAGAAAAATATATCAAAATGAGGCTAGGGAGTTCTCTACCACAGTTCCCTCAGTGGATATGGAGCAAGTAAAAAATAGGAATTTAAGGTAAAGCCAAAAGAGATATTATCCAAGTTTGGTAGAGAGCAGGCAAGTCTTGAAATACCATTATAATTTTAACTATTATTTGGATCTGAAAACCTCCTGTTCTAAGACCGTTATCTTCGATTACTCTTATCCAATCATATATGGCATCTTATTTATATTTCTATTTTTCCTAGGGAAAATCATGATAATCATAATAACTGCTAATAAGTCATGTAGGAAGGAAGCCTCCACACTATATACATTATGATTGCAGTAAAAATAATAAATTGGATTTTTCAAATGGTTGTGATCACTTCCCTCACTTTTAACACTAAGTAGACCAGTTATTTTAGTGAAGTGTGGACATGGCCTCAGACACCTGCCTCAGTTCCCCGTGAGGACGTTGCTCCCCGGGACGCGGTGCTCCCTGCTGACGTGTGTGGAGGATGTCCAGGCCACTGGGCGCTCACGTCTGGGCCGCGGAAGTGGACGTGGGAGTGAAGAGACCCCTAATGCGACCTAACTAATATGCAGCACATTCAAAGTTCTGTGAGAAGATGTGTTATGTAAAACCCCACTCACCACCAAACACAGAGTCTCAGTGCGGAGCTGAGGGCTCAGTTATCGCTTCCCCTGCCTGGCAGACCTGAAGGATGTAAACAGCTTGTGGTAACATCAGGGCCCAATCTAGCGCCAGTAAAAGATCTCCCTCTCCACAGACCTCTGCAGTTACTCAGGAGGATTGTAGACGGTTTTCAGTTACCCTAAAAACATCCCGTGTAGGCCCGTCTTGTCCGTGGACAAGCAGACTGTATGGATCATTTGTCTTTCCGTGGACGCTTTTCCTCGCCCTCCACCACCTGTACAAGCAACTCTGGCCCTCGACGTGCATCCCTTCAATCATTATAACCTTCTCCCTCAGTCACTTCCTTGATTTTATAGCAACGTGTGCTCCGTTTTCCCATTAGGTGTTCTGGAGCTTGGATAGGAATTTGAATCCATTCTTTGGGCTGTTTTCTGAGACCAGTTCTGTGTGGGGTCCTAAAGCTCCTTGTCGATGTGGGAGGCGATTTTGAGGCGATGGAAGCCTCCTTGGCCCTTGCACTCCCCGCTCCCGGGGGCAGTGGAGTTCGGCGGAGAGCAAGATTTTACACATATTAAGTGCCTCTGAGTCCTGTAGAGAACCTCCAGCCCCAGACTTCCGCATGAAACAAGGGCGCACAGACTGGAGCTGTGGGGGTTTGAGGAGAGCCGTTTATTTGGAGAGCCTAGCACAGGAGGCGGCCCTGTCTCTATGGCTCTGAAGAAACCACCTTTAGACTGCTAAGTGCTGCCCTGGTCTCTTTAGGAACGGTTCAATGTCAGCAAGCTCGAAGCCAAGCAGAAGAAAAACAGCCAGAAAGGAAGAAGGCTCAGGGGGAGTGACTCCACCAGGCCAGCCGAGAGGGAACAGGGTCTCTCCCCTTGACTAACAGCCAGTGGGGCATGCAGGCACCCCGGCAAGTGCTACTGAGCAACAGCTCCCAGGAGCCAGGCCTTACTCAAAGACAAAGGATGAGCACAGGACACAACCCATTCAAAGGCTTCCCAGCCTTAGCCATGGCCTCCTGCACCTCTCATATAAGCAGCCGGTAATGGAGTGTCCCAAGGAGGTGTTGGAGCTCAACCTTCTAAAGCCAGATCCAACAACTACCCATTTGAATAGTTGGCCGCTGGCTCAGAGCCAGGCGTTCCTGTGGCTGGATTACGTATTCCTGTCTTCTTCTTTCTCCTCCTTGGCTGATCATAGACACAGCAGAGACCCTGCAGGGATGGATAACCTGCGTTTTAGATGCTGGGAGACGGGGACATGCCAGGTTGTGACATGCCTGGAAGACACAGCTCCGTCTTCCAGGCCCAGCAGGGAGCCCGCCTCCATAGCGGAGAGGATGGTCGAGCTGACCTAATAAATATTTTCCATCTCTAACCTCAGTAATTATTTTCATGTGTCACAGCTCAGTAAGGAATGATGAAAAATAAAGTTTCCCTGATTAGACAAGACCCGCAGATCACTGGGAGTAGAATCTGAAACTGTTCTCTGTATTGCTCAAGAAGTCATTCTCCACACTCATCAGAGAGCTGATGTCACCCCATCCCTACTCAACTACACAAAGTAAGTGAGTTTGTTTCGTTCCTGATTACATGTCTATTCTTTCCTTGTTATCTCATACACCCCATCCCTCCCCACTCCAAAATCTGCAACAGTAGACTTTTTATCTGCTCTTTTCTCCTTTGAAGGTTTGAAAACTTACCTATTTCTGTGTGAGAATCTCAGATCCGATTCTGCCTGCAGCCACAATACTTCTCTGCGGGGTGGGAAATGTGGTCGGATGAGTGGTAGGAAAATGCCTTTCGGAAAATTTTTTGATTTGCTACACTCTATTGAGTCCTAGTGGGAAGTCAGCATCCCTTTACTATTTTGGAAAATTCTCAGAAACGATATGCACAAAAGTTTCAGCAAAACATTTTCCATCCTAATAACTTTTCTACATTGTCCCAAGGTAAGAAGAGAGGGGCTAGGGAAGGGAGCCTGTTAAAACATGGTTCTTCCTTCTTCTCCATGCTGAGCTAGGGGCAATGCCATCTCTAAACAAGAGTCCCAATTTAGGGAAGCTTTTGGTCCAGAGAAGGATGTGGTTAGCATAATAAAAAAAGCCTCATTTAAACTATTTGCCTTTAATTTCGGTTCAGACCTCCTCAGTAGAGTTTAGTTGGCAAGGGGATATTGATAACCCCAGCCAGGAGGTCAGATGCAGCAGGCAACCAAAAATCCAAGGGCTTCATTTGGCAACTTCAAGAACAACCCCCTCAGAACAGCTCACTTAAGGCCACAGTGTCTTTAGGTTGATTGCCTGAATTCTAAGTCTTGATTTAAACCATCTCATGTCTGCAGGTTGAGTATCCCTTATCCAAAATGCCTGGGACAGAAGTGTTTCAGATTTTGGATTTTGGAATATTTGCATGTATGTAATGAGCTGTCTTGGGGATGGGACCTGCATCTAATCATGAAATTCATTTATGTTTCATATACATGTTATACATACCTGCACTGCTATGCAGTTTCTCCAACAGCTTGATTTTCTGTGGTATAGATAAACATAAATGCTTCCTCTTTCATAACACTGTTACTCGCAGGAGTACCTGTAGTCCTTTTTGACATTTTCGACAGTATCTTTACACCACAGTGCAAAGAATAAACAACCAAACTAACAAAAAAACAGTGAGCGATGCACCTAGGTTTGGGCCCCATGTGGGGACATTGTGCAGGAACCCCCTGTTGATGCATCCGGCTGGCACATGGGTCCTTCTGTTACCCTTGGTGGATGTACTTGTGTGGGGTAATCTGGGCATGAGCAGAAAAGATATATCGAAGCTGAAGGGGGATAGGAGGGTTTTTTTTCCCTTGGGGATGCTGAATAAACGGTGTGTTGTACACCTGTGTTTTGACTGCAACCCATCGAATGAGATCAGGTGTGAAATTTTCCATTTGTGGTAACATGTTGGCATTCAAAAAGTTTTGGGTTTTGGATCATTGCAGACTTGAAATGTTTGGCTGAGGGATGCTCAACTGGTTTTAGAATTAGGATAAATTCTCTTCAAGGGCTTATTGCTTAATGAGATCCAACATTGACAGGATACAGACTACCAGAGAAAAAATCACTTTCTAGGGATTCGTCCTAATGTTGTTTTCCATCACACTGTCCAAGAATCTTCCTAAGGAAGAAGTGGGCTTTACCTTTGAGAAAACTTCAAAAGTGTGATCTGCTTCCTCATGTCCAATCTAAGAGGCAACAAGTTTGGTAGTTAAGTGTGCTGGTTTTGAGGTCAGTATACCTGTGTTAGAGCCACGGTTCTAACACAGAGAAATCTTAGGGACCCTTTAGTGACATCCTTCTTCTTACAGAAAAGGAAAATGAGGCCAAGAGAGGAAAGGTGACTTCCTCAAATGTTTACAGTAGAACCCAGGTCATCTAAAATTGCTTCTAATGTTTCTTCTCAGAGAACTGGAAGAACTAGCAAAGTGGCTTTCCAAACCATAGTCTACTTTTTCTAGTTTTTGTATGAGTCATTTTGTTTTGCTGTGTTTTTTTGAAGTATAACATAGATGCTCGCAAGTGCACAAATCATAAGTGTACACCTGGATCCATGTTCATAATGTGGTCACATCCATATAACCAAACACCCAAGTCAAGGAACAAAATGTTACCAAGTCCCCTCCCACTTTGTTGCCCTTTCCAGTCACTGTCCCACTAAGAATAGCCACTGTTCTGACTTGCCTGGTTTTAAACTTTAGGTAAAGTGGATCATATGGTATGTGCTCTTTGGTCTGGATTCTTTTGCTCAATGTTATATTCATGAAAGTCATCTCTTGTATTATATGTAGTAATAGTTTTTTTTTTATTGACAAAGTATTCCATTATGTAAATACCAAATTTATTTATCCATTCTACTGTCGACATTTGTGTTATTGTCAATTTTTATCTATTATGCATAAAGGAAACATTTTTGCACATGTTTTGTCAGGCATATGTATGTATCACTGGCGGAGTAGAATTGCTGAGTCATAGAATATTTGTAATTTAGTTTTAGTAGACACTGCCCAACAATTTCCCAAAGTGATTGTACCAGTTTACACCTTTACCACCAGTGTATGAGAGCTCTAATTGCTCTATATCCTTGCCAAAACTTGCCACTAACAATGCCTTTCTCAAGAAATAAATTTATTGCTTTTCTTTCATTTGTAGAAAAGTTAGTTGAAGAGGTGAAAAGAAGAATTTTGTCACAAATTTATTTTATATTTCTAATTGCTTTTGAGATGTCTCAGGTCCTACTCCCTAAAGATTTTCTGTTTTACCCCAGTATTGTCAGCCTTAGGTAAATGACTATAGGAATATAATTTAGAGTTCTTTTTTTTTTTTTTTTGAGACAGAGTCTCGCTCGGTCGCCTAGGCTGGAGGGCAGTGCAGTGGCGGTCGCCCAGGCTGGAGTGCAGTGGCGCCAGGCTGGAGTGCAGTGGCGCGATCTCGGCTCACTGCAAGCTCCGCCTCCCGGGTTCACGCCATTCTCCTGCCTCAGCCTCCGGAGTAGCTGGGACCACAGTCGCCCGCCACCACACCCGGCTAATTTTTTTGTAGTTTTAGTAGAGACGGGGTTTCACTGTGTTAGCCAGGATGGTATCGATTTCCTGACCTCGTGATCTGCCCGCCTCGGCCTCCCAAAGTGCTGGGATTACAGGCATGAGCCACCGCGCCCGGCTAGAGTTCTAAGAAGGCTATTCCTAGAGGACTTTCTGGCCACACACTTAGCTAAAATATTACAATTAAAGATGGCTTCCATTGGCTCTTAAAGTCTTTCGCTTTTCAGGGGTGCTTTATTGAGAAACAAAGATTTACTTTCAGCTAAGACCATAGCTGACAGTTCTAGGACAGCTTGAAGGTAGGTATCCTGATGTTAATTCCGCAGACAGATGCGGAAAGGATATCATCAGTAGGGGTGAGGAAGAACACTATCACCCACCCCTCGGGTCAAGTGCTAGCTTGCAGCCTCCACATTTTAGAGACTACTTTCTTATCAGAATGTTTACTTAGCCTGTAGAGTTATGGTAAGACCAAAAAGGAGATAAACTTAACCTTAATGCTGGTATTTGAAACTCAGTGTAGACTATTTGAAAACAAAATCTTTAACTGTCACTAAGTCCAAAATTAAAGTTTTGCCCCAAATAGAAACCAATTGATCTAGTGTTTTTATGCTGTATTAACAGCACAATCTAGCGAGCTGCATCTCTGAGGCCACCAAAATCAGTAATATTTGGGCCAGCACTCTATAAAAATAATTTAATTTACATCTCCAATACCTGAGATAGATATAAACTCAATTGACTTACATTAATGACATAATGTAATTTGCTGAAATCTTATACTGTGCCAATGCCAGTTGTATAATAATCTCTTTAAATACATTATTATACAGTCCTGACAATATCCCTTTGGGAGGGTTATGTTGTCCCCAGTTTGTGTATTAGAAAACTGAAGCATAAAAAAGTTAAAGACCTTGCCCTTCTATAAGTGGCAGCGTAGGGATTCAAGATAAAGTCTGTTGGACTTCGGTTCTCTGGTAGGAACCACTGACCTTGACTGGCTCCCGAAGAAAACATACAGCAGGACTTCAAGCTGGAAAAACCTGCGAGTCGTAATCTGAGCCCTGTGTTTATCTCCACCTTTCTCTACCTGTCTCTTCCCCTATCTCTATCACTCTCTCTACCTCATTCATGACCTGTCACCCACCAACTTTCTTGCCATGGAAGGTGCGCCTTGTGCATTTGCTTCTTATGATAAATCTTCGACAGAGAAGGCCTCACAAACACATTTTAGTTTGAAGCAGACTCTGCCGCAGCACCATCTGCCAGCTTGATAAAGACAATCCTCCTTTAATGAGGAATGTTGAAATGTTGGAAATCCAGGCCAACTTCTAGCATTACAGAGAAAACTTAGAGTATGGAATCCTTGGAGGAAGAAGCCGAGAGTTGGGTCCAGATTTTCAGGGAAAACACACAACTTGCCTGAGTTCAGGAGAAATGCGGCCTTGTGCTCTGTCCTTGGGAGGCTTCCTGCACCCTCCCAAGTGGCCTCCGTGGTCTCACTGCCAGGGGCCAATGCACTGGGAAAAGTTCTCAGTGTGTTCACATGTTTCTAGCTTGTGTCTTTCCTTACATATGTGTGGGTTTTTTCTTAATAAAGCTTTGGCCAAAACTAACTATTTTTGAATGTGCAGTTATTGAGCAAATACTAGACATTTCTCCAACATTCCCATTGAACTTGAATATTCCAGAAAGGCACTTTACCCTGAAGAGAGTTTTACTTCAGGCCTGGGGTGCATTCTTTCTAAAATGGTGGAAATCAAAATTAGGTATACCTGGGAATTATTGCACACATAGTGTATATAATTATAGAGTTAATACAATGCCACTTTAAATCATTGAAAGAGAATGTATACTTGAATGTAGTATAGTCACTATAGCCAAATTGATAATTTTTTTATGTGTTACACAGATTTTAATATAAGCAGGCCTGCTAAAATAAAAAACAATTTGGTGCATTATAACGATAGATTTGTTTTATTTCAGCTGTTTAATATTCCTCAAAGGTAAAGGTGTTGTTTATGTTCTTAAATTTTAGCCATCTTTTATTAATTTAGAGAGTAATGTAATCTATTATTATAACTACTGCTTAGCTGAATTGTCTATTTTTTAAAAGTTTTTATAATATGATTAGATAGTAAATGTTAGTCATTACTAAAAAGACATGTATCTTAGAACTTAACAATAATGTTATACCATGTATAATAATAGTGAGAAGAATAAATCCATGGCAAGTTTTACCTTAGGGAAATTATGTAATATTTCAACCCCCAGACAAAATGCTATGAAAGGAAACAGTTTTTTTTTTTTTTTGAGATGGAGTCTCGCTCTGTCATCCAGGCTGAGTGCAGTGGTGCGATCTTGGCTCACTGCAACCTCCACCTCCTGGGTTCAAGTGATTCTCTTGCTTCAGCCTCCCGAGTAGCTGGGACTAGAGGCATGTGCCACCATGCCCAGCTAATTTTTCTATTTTTAGTAGAGACGGGGTTTCACCATGTTGGCCAGGCTGGTCTTGAACTTCTGACCTCAGGTGATTCCACCTGCCTTGGTCTCCCAAAGTGCTGGGATTACAAGCATGAGGCACTGCACCCGGCCAGGAAATCTTACAAGAACTTTAATATCTCAACACTGCCACATTCCTTTATTGCTTAATATAAGATATAGCCATTCATGTTTCTTTAGCTAAAACCACTGAAGAGCTAGAAATAAGCTGAACAAACATAATTAATTTCAGTTGACTATAATATACAATGCCGCAAACACACTGACACACACTCCCTCCTAGATGGGCCCACCTAGAGCAGGAATGAAGATATAGTTTTCAATACATATAATACAGGTAGTATTAAGTTTTACCAGTCAGAATGATAAGATAAAACTTTTTTTTATTTTTTTTAATTCCCCATAAGTATATAGCAGGTTCTAGTCCTAAAGGATTCAATATCATGCTAAAAATAAGTCACGGTGAAAGGAAACCCCCATTAACCCCTATTATGGCATGTCTCCTTAAATTTGAGTCAGGACTGACATTTTTGTTTTTATGAAAGTGCCATAATACACACAACAATGAAGACCTTTGACCCTAATCACTTCTTGCAGGATTCTGTTGTACCTGGTGGAATCTGTAGATCACTGATCTGTCAATTGCAGGCTTCTGTGGGAAACATGTTGTCCCAAGGACAGTCAGCCACCAGCACTGTACCTGCATGTACCAGTTTGCTATCCTTGTTATCAAAATTAATCCTGCTTAAAAAAAGCATTTCAGAGCTTCAAGTGATAACAACATTCAAAATTTGACAGACAAATAAATCATCATTCCTAATTTATGTCCTTCACAGTAGAGATATTGGGGAAAACACTATTGTACAGTCCACATCATCAATCTCAAGTTTTTTTATATGTGCTCTGGGTTACCAACTCAAGTTATAAGTTGTTTTCAAGAATGACATTGAATTTTACATATCCTGTCAAAAACCAACCTTATTCTAACTTCTACTTTTTCCAGCTTCATCCTTTTTATCTTAGTAATCACTAAATCCTGTCAATTCTTCCACCTACATTTTCTCTCTAAATCTTTGCTTTCCATCTTCATTACCTCTGTTTTATTGCAGAGTAATAGCAATGGAGCTAAAATTGGTCTTCTCTACACTTTCACATGTTTATTAAACACCTACTTTATGCCAGACCTTGTATCGACTCAAACAGAAGTTTGAAAATAATACGCATATGGAACACTGCATTAGTCTGTTCCTGTACTGCTATAAAGAAATGCGAGACGGGGTAATTTGTAAAGAAAAGAGGTTTAATTGGCTCATGGTTCTGCAGGCTGTACAGGAAGCATAGTGGCTTCTGCTTCTGGAGAGGCTTCAGGGAGCTTTTAGTCATGGTGGAAGGCAAAGGGGAAGCGAGGGTGTGGCCAGAGCAGGAGGAAGAGAGAGAGGACAGAGGCGCTAAACGCTTTAAAACAACCAGATCTCACAATAACACACTCACTCACTATCACGAGGAAAGCACCCAGGGAGGCGATGGTGGTAACCCATTCATGAGAACTCTGCCACCATGATCGAATCACCTCCCACCAGGGCTCACATCCAGCACTGGGTATTATAACTTAACATGAAATTTAGACGGATCTGTGACATGGGACACAGATCCAAACCATATCAAGTACTTAGGAAGTCACAGCAGCTAGACGGTGGGTGCTAGAGGAGAATGGCAAAATTCGAGGAGGGAACTCAGAAGCATTGCAGTGAATCTCAACTTAGCCAAGTGATTATGGCCAAAAGTCAGAGAGCAAGGCAAAAACTTCTCAAAAAATTTCATTGCCCGGCCGGGTGCGGTGGCTCATGCCTGTAATCCCAGCACTTTGGGAGGCTGAGGTGGGTGGATCACCTGAGGTCAGGAGTTCGAGACCAGCCTGGCCAAGATGGTGAAAACCCATCTCTCCTAAAAATACAAAAATTAGCTGGGTGTGGTGGCACGCACCTGTAATCCCAGCTACTCATGAGGCTAAGGCAGGAGAATCGTTTGAAAAAAAATGGGAGGCGGAGGTTGCAGTGAGCCGAGATTGTGCCACTGCACTCCAGCCTGGGGAACAGAGCAAGACTCTGTCTCAAAAAAAAAAAAAAAAAAGTTTCATTGCCCTTGAAAATTTTTCATGAAGGCTCCATGTTGGTACCATGTGCCATCTCTCAATAAATTCATCCCAGGCAGGCTTTTCTCCCACCTTTGTGGAGAAGGCTGTTCCTTCAGTTGACTACCAGATGAAAAAAAATGGCTTCCATTTTGAATTCATGGGGTACCAGAAATACATCTGTTGAAACACTGGCTGACATTCCATTCAGTGTCGTGAGATGTTCACACCATGAAAGTCCTGAAGAGATTGTTGAGTGAAAGAGCAAGTTACATTTCCCATCTTCTTCTCACTTTAGGACATGCTCTCACTTAGTAAAATGAAATGTTTAAGTTTTGCCTACAGTATTTCAACATTTAAATTGCCATTTTGGCAGGGTGCGGTGGCTCACGCCTGTAATCCAATAATCCAGCACTTTGAACAGCCAACGGGGGGTGGATCACCTGAGGTCAGGAGTTCGAGACCAGCCTGACCAACATGATGAAATCCCATCTCTACTAAAAATACAAAAATTAGCCGGGCGTGGTGGTGGGCACCTGTAATCCCATCTATCCTGGAGGCTGAGGCACAAGAGTTTCTTGAACCCGATGGGGCGGAGGCTGCAGTGAGATGAGATTGCACCACTGTGCTCCAGGCTGAGTGACACAGCAAGACTCAAATTGCAATTTTATTAATTAGCCAGGTGTGGTGGCACTCGCCTATAGTCCTAGCTACTTGGGAGGCTGAGGTAGGAGGATCCCTTGAGCCCAGGAGTTCCAGGTTACAGTGAGCTATCATTGTGTCACTGCACTCCAGCCTGGGTAACAGAGCACAAGACCCTGTCCCCCACTCAAAATAATAATAATAATAATAATAAAAGTAAAATAAAATAAAAAAATTGCAATTTTGTTACTCTTGATTCTTCTGTCAGGCATTAATATTTGACTTTTAGAAAATCAAAGCTGAAAGTGTGAAGATTATTGTTTGGCCATAAGTGTTTAAAGGCGTTTACCATTATCAGATTAGTGATTTAGAATGGTGAGTTGTAGCTTGGAGGAGGTATATAAGGGAGGGATAGAGGACATAGCGTTGGATATTGTCACAAAGGCTTAAGAGGGCTGTCAATTTTATCACCTACATTTTTTCTCTAAATCTCTCCTTTCCATCTCTGTCACCTTACTTGACAGTTTTTTCAGGCCTTTCATGGGGTGGACATCTCACCACACTGAATGGAATGCCAGTGTTTCAACAGATGTACTCCTAGTACACCATGAATTCAAAGTGGAAGCCAATTCTTTTCATCTGGTACTCAACTGAAGGAACAGCCTTCTCCACAAAGGTGGGAGAAAAGCCTGCCTGGGAAGAATTTATTGAGAGATGGCACATGGTACCAACATGGCACATTCATAAAAGATTTTCAAGGGCGATGAAACTTTTTGAGACTTTTTTGCCTTGCTTTTTGACTTTTGGCCATAATCACTTTGTTAAGTTTGATTCCATTGCAATGCTTCTGAGTTCCCTCCTCGAATTTTGCCATTCTCATCTAGCACCCACTGTCTAGCCTTTGTGACTTCATCAGTGCTCCACATGCATGCTCTTTTCACATTTCTGTTTGAGTCAGTACAAGGTCTGGCATGAAGTAGATGTTTAATAAACATGTGAAAGTGTGGAGAAGACCAGTTTTAGCTCTATTGGTATGTCAATAATTTTTACTTAGCATTATGATCATTATATGCATGTGCAATTGGAACTAAAAAAAAATCACTCACTTGGCACTGAAGCATGACGAATATAATTTTTGGGAAAACTCCCCAGGTTTCTCTAAGCACCATGTGGAGGCCTCATGGACCCAGAGTTCCTGACTTGTCTGAAATATAGCTATATATCCAAAGAGGGGGGACTCTATTATGCCTACAGGAGTCCCTTTATGAGGTATATGTGAGATTTCCCTGGTTCTGTTCTTTGCAGTGAAGCTTTCTGCTGTGACTTTAAAGTGAGCAGGAGTGTCTCCATTTCAGAAATACAAGTGCAAACAAACAATCTGTCTGTCTGCATAACATTTCTTTAAAGTCAGATGAGTTTATGTGAAGTGTGGTAGCCCTGGGAGGGGGCTGAAGACTGGCTAACCCTACCACAGAGCCTGTAGGAACCGAGTGGCCTCGCTAACTTTCCACCAAGGTTTGTGTCAAGGTTTGTGGGGGCTGGGCGATGTTTCATACCAAATAACTCAGACAGAGGATTAAACACATTTCTATGCAACTGTGGCAGATTTGGGTTTTATTTTTACCCCACAGTCCTTAAATTACAATACCTCTTTTGATGTGGCATATGCACATTGTGTATTCTTAACTGCTTATTTGGATACATTTGGGACTCTCAGAAGCCTTTTTTTTTTTCACTATAGATGCCAATAAATATGTCTGCAGGGGGAAGGGAGACTGTACTTTTAGATTCCTGGCTTGAGGATCCTAATAAGTTTTTTAAAATTTATAACCTAATAATGAGCTTTGTCTACCACTGCTTCATACTGAAGGAGTTTTATTTTCCTTAAAAGGAAAGATGCAGGATTTTTTGGTCTAAAAATGACCTGCTATAGTTTCCCATCTGGAAATTCTAACTACCTCGTTGTCTGGTGTTTCCTGTTATAGTCTCTGAAAATTAAAACTGTGGAGAAGCTCCATTGAATGAGAGCCACAGACTCCCGGTTAAAGTCCTTTTCCTTCTTCACTTATAAGTAACTTTATCCTAAGGCCACTATATCCTTGTTCTTGCTGTCCTTTGACTTACAGTTACAGTATTATTTTTTTCTATTTGACATGTGCCATAGTTTGAATGCTTGTGTCCCACCAAACACATATGTTAAAATCCTAAACTCTAAGGTTAAGAGGTAGAGCCTTTGGGAGGTGGTTAGGTCATGAGGGCTCTGTCCTCAAGAATGGGATTAGTACCCCTATAAAACAAGCCCAAGGGAACTTGCTTGCCTCTCCCACAATGAGAAGATACTCCCTGTGAATCAGAAAACATGCCCTCACTAGATACTAAATCTACCAGTGCCTTGATCTTGCCAGCCTCCATAACAGTGAGAAATAAATGTTTGTTGTTTACAAGCCACACAGTTTGTAGTATTTTTGTTATACCAGTTCGAATTGACTAAGACAATATCTAGGGCATTTGTAATATTTTTGCCATCACGAGTAATTCTGAAAATGCTTTATAATAAATGAATACGAATATAGAAATTCCAAAAATGATAAGTACTATGGTTTGCATATTTGTCCCCTCCAAAACTCATGCTAAAACTTAATCCCCGCCAGGCACAGTGGCTCATGCCCATAATCTCAGCACTTTGGGAGGCCGAGGTGGGTGGATCACCTGAGTTTGGGAATTCGAGACCAGCCTGACCAATGTGGAGAAACCCAGTCTCTACTAAAAATACAAAATTAGCTGGGCATGGTGGCGCATGCCTGTAATCCCAAGTACTCAGGAGGCGGAGGAAGGAGAATTGCTTGAACCCGGGAGGTGGAGGTTGTGGTGAGCTGAGATTGTGCCATTGCATTCCAGCCTGGGCAACAAGAGTGAAACTCCATCTCAAAACAAACAAACAAACAAACAAACAAAAACAAAAAATAACTTAATCCCCAACGTAACAGTGTTAAGAGGTTGGGTCTTTAAGAAGTGATAAACCATTCATAGATTAATAGATTAATAGATTAATGAGTTATTGAGGGAGTGGCTTAGCTATCATGAGAATGGGGCTGTTATAAAAGCCACTGTGGCTGTCTTTTGTGAGCCCCCTTGCCGTGTGATGCCCTGTGCCACCTCCTTGGTACTCTGCAGAGTCCTGACCAGCAAGAAGGCTCTCATCAGATTTGGCCCTTGACCTTGGACTTTGCAGCTCCAGTGCTGTTAAGAAATGAATTTCTTTTCTTTATAAATTACCCAGTCTCCGGTATTCAATCATAGTGACAGAAAATGGACTAAGACAACAAGAAAGCTGCCAAGAAGAATCACGGTGCACTCAAAGTGACTATAAAAGAACAAATGGGTAGGGGAATTGATGCTGTAGAGGAGAAGAAATATATTTTCATCATCAATCGCTAGGTTCATGGCTGAGGCCCCTATGACAAAAAATAGATTAACAAGGGAAAAGCCTATGAAAGTAGTAAGTTTTACATGACATGCGAGGAAATGAAGACCCCTCCCGCAAAATGGGTAAACTTGTGTATATTTTGTGCTAGGTTGGAAGAAAATGTGGATAGTCATAGGGAAGTATGATTGGATTAAAAAGTGTGATCTAATGGTCATAAACTGGGAGAAAACTCAGTGACACTGTGTCTTCAGAGATAAGGATGTTCTTTACTCCCAGTACAGAAAGGGCACCTCTTGAATGAGGGTCTTATGATCTGCTTCAGAGGAAGGTCAGTGTGATGGTTAATATCGAGTGTCGACTTGATTGGATTGAAGGACGCAAAATATTGTTCCTGGGTGTGTCCATGAGGGTGTTGACAAAGGAGATTAATATTTGAGCCAGTGAACTGGGAGACGCAGACCCACCCTCAATCTGGGTGGGCACCACCCAAAGCTGCCAGCGCAGCTAGGATAAAAGCAGGCAGAGGAACATAGAAAGACTAGACTGGCTTAGTCTTCCAGGCTACATCTTTCTCCTGTGCTGGGTTCCTCCTGCCCTTGAACATCAGACTCCAAGTTCTTCAGCTTTTGGACTCTTGGACCTTTGACCACAGATTGAAGTCTGGACTGTCTGCATCCCTACTTTTGAGATTTTGGGAGTTGGACTGGCTTCCTTGCTCCTCAGCTGGCAGATGGCCTATTGTGGGACTTCACCTTGTGAACATGTGAGTCAATATTCCTTAATAAACTCCCCTTTATATGTACATCTATCCTATTAGTTCTGTCCCTCTAGAGAACCCTGACTAATACAGTCAGAAACTCCTTCCTGGGTTTTATGGCCTGCTTCAGGGAGAGGGCCAAGAGAAGTTGAGAGAGTGACCTTCCTGCTTCTGTGGTTTTCTCAAATGCCAAGATGCCATATTTGGCAATAGTGTGTCCTGAACCCTCATTATGCTTATGCTGACCAGTGACCAAGGTCTTCCAATTTGGAGGCTCAAATTGGAAGCTATGACCTTCAAGTTCAGTGTCTAGTGCTTCCAATTTCTCATTCATTTTCACTGTTGAAGAAGGCCATTTAAGTTAATCAGCGACACTTTGATGACCTGGCATATTTTTAGCCTCTGGAGCCTTGCGTGTGAGGCTAGGGGCAGGGGATTGGGATTGTGGTTCAGCTTCACTGCCAAGCATAGCATTGTGTGTTACCCCGACTTTTTTCTGGAGTTCTCAAGGTCCTAATTGAGTAATCCCATTAGTGGTGTATTTTAGGAGAAAATATTGTAGGGGAAAGAACGAATACTGCTCCATAATCAGGCAGAGTAAACTTCGTATTACAATAATCTACCATCAGTCATCATGCAAAATGATATGTCTCGTTGACTTGGAAAAGAAATCATTTGAAAGCTCTATCCTTTTCTTTTTTGGCTATTTGGAGTTTTCTATTTTATACCTTTTAGTCATTCTTTGGATCTTGTCAAATTGGAAACATCTTAGTAAAGAAGGCAATTTTCTTTAAAATTTTATAGGAAATATAGTGATAATGGGTGGGTGGGAACTTCTTTCAGATCTTATTTGATTCAGCTAATTAGTGAGCTTCTGAATAACAGAGTAAATTTTTGTTGGTAACTTTACGAAACCATTTTGCCCTTTGTTCAAAAACCCTCTCACATTTTCAGACAAGTTTTGTCTGAATCCTAAAAAATGTAGAAATTTTTAGAAAAATAAAATAGAGGAGTATATGGATATATGGACATAAGAAAGAGAAAATTTCTTACTTAATGTATTGTCGTATAACTTCCCAGAGGAGGAAGTCCACTTTGAATACTATTGTGTAGATGGAATGATTATATGCAAATTGCTTACAATATTTCTTCTGTTTATATGCATGTATGTGTATGGAATCTGTGGGCTTTTTTGTGTGGGTGAATATGTGGTCAAATTATGTGGATGGGCTTGTTTCTTGGGAAATATGGGGTGTATACAGGAAATTAGGAATTAGAAGCCCTTATGGTTTTACTTTAACAGAGGTAGGGATGGATTGGAGTGGCTTTCATTTTCCATATGAAATCATTTAAGCTGGAATTATTCTCATAATATACATCAAGCAGGAATCCAAAACAGTTTTAAGAAATGCATTGTCACAAAGAAGGTAAGCTCCCAAAACTAGAAAAAAAAGGATATATTCTTTTAATGGGGAATACCTGACCTGAAATGTAATAATTTTATTTCTATAAAACTGACTCCCAGATCATTGAAGAGACAACTCTTCTACACCTTATACTTTCGAAAACCTGTCTGAATCGTTTAGACAATTTAAGACAAATAGTTATATAGCCATCTGCCTAGATACGCTTAACCCTAAGCCAATGAGTGTGTAACGGTGGAGAGCTCCAAAAAGAGTACAGTCTGCACGCAGCGTAGAACTGAAAAAGGACACCAACATCCACAGATGGATTTGCCTACCACATTGAAATCAACATGGCAAAGATGGGAGGAAATGAAAAGTGTTTATTTCCTCAGGAAATCTCATATATTCATTCTGATGGGAACACATCCATTCAACAAACATTTAGTGAGAGCCTACTATGTGCCAGACCCTGTGTTGGATGCCAGAGAAGAGTCATAAGAGAGCTTCTTCTGGACCGCCATATATATGGTGCATGTTATAGCAGAGTCTGGGCAGAGCACTGACCAATCTCCTCAGGGAAGATGAGCCTCACTGAGGAAGGTGACATTTGGCTAAGTCCTGAAGGATGAGTAGGAGTTTCTATGTGGAAAATGAGAATAGCATCCCTGGCAGCAAGGCCAATGCTGAAGAGATGCACAAAGTACATGGTGTGTTTGGGGAACAACAGGAAGTTTCGTGTGGGTGGAACACAAGGCTAGGTAGATAACAAACACTTTCTGGCTCTTACCACAGGGGTCACAGTCTGGTGTCCCATTCAATTTGGTTGGCAGACTTTTTTTTTTTTTTTTTTTGGCCCATACAGTGTTTTAAAAATATTTTGAATTAGTTGCCAAGATTTAAAAATTGGAAGATTTCTCATAAAATTCCAGATTTCTGGCTTCTCTTGAAAAAAAAAATTAGAAGATCTGGCAACACTGGGCCCACATTCCCACATGGCAACAAATGACTGGAGCTGAGTAGCAGCTCCCATGCCCCCTCCCTCTCTGAAAGAAGTATGTGCTTGCCAGTTCACCCCAGTCTCCACCTTGCTATCTTCTCTCCTTCGTGTTACATGCCTGGCCACTTCCAAGCCTGTTGGTCACTGGGCTAGAATAGCGAACATAACAGCCATGATTCTTGTTCTCATGGAACAAAGTATTATAGAAGACTTCCTGGTGACGAGTGGGAGGAGCTCAGATTAAAAGGGAAGTTGGAGCCAGAATGAGGGAAGAGCCTTGTATATCTCCCTAAGGAATTTGGACTTCATCCGACAGGCCTATATGGAGACAATAGATATTCTTAAAACAGTGATGTGACTAAATCTATCCTTCAGAATTCTGACAGTAGAGTGGAAGATGGCATGGAATGAGAGTCCACGGCAAAGAAACAAGTAAAAAGCCATCACAGTGGCCAAGAGAAACCCAAACTAGACAATGATACCCTATTTATGATCTTAAGAAAGCCACAATCTAAATTTGAACAATTAAAGCATTTTCCAAAGAGAGATCTTATAAAACTTCAAACACAGCAACATGTTAATTTATGTATTTTAAATATTGATATGTAGAATGAAAAAAAAATCTTCACCAGAGTAACACAGTAAGGAAATGCCAACTTTTGAAGTTTTGTGCTAAATAGCAAACGTTAAGCCTCACACCTTCAGAAACTCATCTCTAGGCAGCCCCACAGATCTTTTCCCATCAATTTATAATTCATAATATATCATGATCTAGCCCTCCATGAAGGAATTTGTATATCAGACCAGTTGACTCAATTGCAAAAAAAAGTTCATAAAATGAAAGACATAATTTTTGCCGGTTCTAGGTTTCCCACAACAATGGAAAACCAGAATTCTGTTTACCTGAGAAACTCTTCGGGACATGAATAATCAAATTTTAATCCCAGAAAAATGTGGTCAAGTTCGTTAATACTCTGTGGATGAAGATTTTGCTTTTTTAGGTTTCCATAGATTTTTATGTAATCCTAAGATTTATTTTATATTTTTACAGGGAGTTGTCATTTTATCCTTCTCTTCATTATATTATTTTTTCTAGAACTTCTCTAGAGCAGGGAAGATGATGATCAAAATTCAGAAAGAGCTAGGAAGGATTATGATGCCAATGGATCTCCTACTTTAAAAAATATGAAGTTTTATACAAATGTACAGTTGTATGATTTAAAGGAAAAGCAGGTTGCTTAAGTCTTTTTTGTAATAAATAACAATTCTTCAAATTCCTAATGGGTATACTCTAAAGGGCTCATTATCAAATAAAGCTGCTCATAAATGCCTCAATCTTCCATACTGCCAAGCATTTCTGTCCTTTCCATAGCCTGTAACTTGCTTCTTGAGTTTTCTTTCAAGGACTAATACTCAGGTACACAGATGAGTTAAGTTCCATGTCTTCTGTACAGGTACATCAAACCACCTTAGATGAATGAGATCAGCTGCCCTAAGTAGAGAAGAAAAAATGCCTTCTAAGATGCCTTCTGATTTTGTCAACACTCTGTGTGTTCTTTGCATAAGAGAGTAAAGGCTTACAGCCTTTTATTACCACATAGGTATTAGATCAACAGTCCTTTAGTAACATGATGATTGATATGATGTATTGCAAATTAATGATCACATTCTTTTTCTAAACTCTTGTGTAAAAAGCAACTACCTGAGGTCCTTCAAAGTATAAGCCTAGAGTATAATGATAGCAAAAGCTTGCTTTGTACCAGGATCTGGTCTAAGTAATATGTATGTATGTAAATTACTTAAACATCACTGCAGCCCTATCAGGTGGGTGCTATTATTTTCATCATTGCCATTTAGCAGATGAAAATACTCAGGTACAAGGAATTCTAAATAATTTTCCCAAAGTGTCACAGTTGAGAGAGTTGGTTTGACTCCATGCAGTTTGGCACCGAAGTCTGGACTCTTAACCACTGTATTTTGCTTTGTGCTATATAGATACACCTGCTTAAACATTCAAGGATATTGACAATGTACAAATGCAAACTCCCATCAGGCCTCAAAATCTCTGCATTTTGGCTAATGTGGAGACAATTTCAGGATCTGTAGCATCTGCTATGTAAAGCTAAGATGCAAGACCCAGCCAAATTTCTCAAACAAATACAAGATTAAAAAATGCCCTTCAAGTATATCTGGTGTTGCTGCATCTGGTACAATGGGAAATAGCTTTGCAGTTAGTTTTACTTAATGTAAAAGATCATGATGGATAATTTCCTCTTTGCTATGCCTTGGTCAAAGTACTCAATAAGTATTTGCTGGATTTAATTCATGGTCAGAAAATAGAGGAGATTCTCTCAACCTAGAGAGAGGTTTAGCATGACTTCACAGAGCACTCTATTACGGTACACAGACACTTACTGGCAATTCTCGGCCTAATTATCTGTTTTCATTTATCTTTTCTCCCTAATATCTATTTTCCTTATTCTATATAGAATCTTGAGCTTTATATATTCAATATTATAGTTTTATTCAGGGTTTAAATATTTTCTTTTTAACCTAAGGTACACAAGGACAAGCTTGGTAAATCAATTAAAAATGGCGTTTACACAGAATAACCAGTTGACTGTCAATGCATATCTGCAGTAATTAGTACTCATTCATGAAAAGCAAAATACTGCTTAAAATGAGAGCACATTAAATTGAACTTTTTTCATTGATAAATGATAATGCCCTCTAACGTATGTCAAAATGAATCCATTTTCTTTAAAGAGAAGTCCTAAATAAGATACCATAAATGTTCAGAATGTTAATTCTTGATGGCATTAAGACTTTTTCAGTGATTCAGCTGACTCTGTGGAAGCAGTAAAATATATTAATATATTTTTTAATAAGCAAGGGTTTTAAAGTTCAGATCCCTAATCAATTACTCAGTTTTTTCTAATGGCAAATAAGAATAATAATGTCTACTTCATAGAAATGCTGTGGGACTGAAGATACTGCAGAGTGCCAGGAAGTCACTAAGTAAGGCTTATTGTTACTATCCTTTTGACTTAACTTAGAAGTATTTCATTCTATTTTTAGCATGTAATCATTAGTTGTGTTAAACCACTCATTAAAAATGAGTGTTGTCTTTGGCTGTCCATTGAAATCATCTAGGGTGCTGTAAAATATATTAATGCCAGAGTCCCACCCTCAGAAATTCTGAATTATGTGGTCTGGCATTTGGAATTTTAAAAGCTCCTCAGGTGGTTCTAATGTGCAATCAAGATTGAGGACCAATGCTCTAAAATAATTCACCTCAGCAATAGACATTCTTGCTATACCATCAAGCATTGCAATCAACATTCCAGCAACATTGGGACTTCTGGTTTATGAAGGTGCCAACTTAAGCAGCCTTTGGCTCACAGTCTACTAACTCTCCATTTAAAATACCCACTAGGACACTTAAGTATGCAAATTCACATTACAAAGGAAAATATAATAAAGTCAAGCGTTCACCATGTGCCAGAATCTTCGTGGTATTTCCAAGAATAAGAGTACACTGGGGGCCGGGCATGGTGGCTCACACCTGTAACCCCAGCACCTTGGGAGGCTGAGGCGGGCAGATAACCTGAGGTCAGGAGTTTGAGACCAGGCTGGCTAACATGGTGAAACCCCGTTTCTACTAAAAATTCAAAAAATTAGCCGGGCATAGTGGTGTGCACCTGTATTCCCAGCTACTCGGGAGGCTGAGGCAGGAGAATCGCTTGAACCCGGGAGGCAGAGGTTGTGGTGAGCCGAGATCGCGCCATCTTACTCCAGCTTGGGCAACAAGAGCAAAACTGTCTCAAAAAATATATATAAATAAAAATAAAAAATAAAAGAGTATGCTGGGGCTGAATTCACAAACAGTGTCGTTTGCACTCTGTCCCACTTGAATCAGAATAACACCTTTGGTTGATGAGTAAAGAGAAGAATGCTCCTGTTAATTTTTGTTCAGTGATGCTGGAGCTAGTTCAATCAGAAAATGAGGCAAAGTTGATCTTCATTCTCTGATATCCTTTCTTCCGCTTGATCGTTTCAGCTATCGATACTTGTGTATGCTTCACTAAGTTCTCATGCTGTGTTTTTCAGCTTCATCAGGTCATTTATATTCTTCCCTGAACTGGTTATTCTAGTTAGCAATTCGTCTAGCCTTTTTTCAAGGTTCTTATCTTCCTTGCATTGGGTTAGAACCTGCTCCTTTAGCTCAGAGGAGTTTGTTATTGCCCACCTTCTGAAGCCTACTTCTGTCAATTCGTCAAACTCATTCTCTGTCCAGTTTTGTTCCCTTGCTGGTGAGGAGTTGTGATCCTTTGGAGGAGAAGAGGCTTTCTGGTTTTTGGAATTTTCAGACTTTTTGCGCTGGTTTCTCCCCATCTTCATGGATTTATCTACATTTGGTCTTTGATGTTGGTGACCTTCTGATGGGGTCTCTGAGTGGACGTCCTTTTTGTTGATGTTGATACTATTCCTTTCTGTTTGTTGGTTTTCCTTCTAACAGTCAGGCCCCTCTGCTGCAGGTCTGCTGGAGTTTGCTGGAGGTCCACTCCAGACCCCGTTTGCCTAGGTATCACCAGCGGAGGCTGCAGAACAGCAAGTATTGCTGCCTGTTTCTTCCTCTGGAAGCTTCATCCCAGAGGGGCTCCTGCCAGATGCCAGCCAGAGCTCTCCTGTATGAGGTGTCTGTAGACCCCTACCGGGAGGGTGTCTCCCAGTCGGGATACACGGGGGTCAGGAACTCACTTGAGGAGGCAGTCTGTCCCTTATCAGAGCTTGAATGCTGTGCTGTGCTGGGAGATCTGCTGCTTTCTTCAGAGCTGTCAGGCAGGGACGTTTGTCTGCTGAAGCTGCTCCCACAGCCGCCCCTTCCCCCAAGTGCTCTGTCCCAAGGAGACGGAGGTTTTATCTATAAGTTCCTGACTGGGGCTGCCGCCTTTTTTTCAGAGATGCCCTGCCCAGAGAGGAGGAATCTAGAGAGGCAGTCTGGCCACAGCAGCTTTGCCGAGCCTGGCTAACATGGTGAAACCCCGTTTCTACTAAAAATACAAAAAATTAGCCAGGCGTGGTGGCACACACCTGTAATCCCAGCTACTCCGGAGGCTGAGGCAGGAGAATTGCTTGAACCAAGGTCAGGAATGGTACATGCTCTTAAGACTGCACCGTCCAATATTACAGCCTCTACTCACATGTTGTTATTTAGATTTACATTAGTTAAAATTAAACAAAATGAAAACTTCAGCTCCTCAGTCATACCAGCCATTTTCAAGTACTCAATGGTCATATGTAGCTAGTAGCTACTGTGAAGGACTCTGCAGATTATAGACTATTTCCATCATCAGAGAAATTTCTTTTGGACAGTGCTGCTATAAGATAATATTTTCAATAAAATCTGAAATATGGGAATAGAAATAATACCAATTTTGTAAGATTTTTAAAGCCTACCAGGCAAAGACCATCAGGGACACACCTGAAGTCAACATTTGTTTATCTTGGTGCATAAGGGGGAAGGCACTCCAGAGGATCTCTGTGGCATTTCAACAGCCCAGGAGTTAATGAATGGTTCTTACAACTTTTGGAGGTTTGGATTAGTCAAAGGATGGCCTTGACCAGGCAAATTGCCGGAACAGTATCTGATCTTCAACTACATTAGCCTGTGCAGTTACTGTTTATTAGATAAGTTTGTCTGTGGTCTTTTCTCATTACATACAGATCTGAGTAGGTCCTGTTTAAAAAGTTTGAGCCTAGAGGCCAGGTGCGGTGGCTTACCCCTGAGATCCCAGCACTTTGGGAGGCCGAGGCAAGCAGATCACTTGAGGTTAGGAGTTCCAGACCAACATGGTGACACCCTGTCTCTACTAAAAATACAAAAATTAGCTAGGCGTGGTGTCGCATGCCTGTAATCCCAGCTATTTGGGAGGCTGAGGCAGGAGAATCACTTAAACCTGGGAGGCAGAGGTTGCAGTGAGCAAGATTGCACCACTGCACTCCAGCCTGGATGACAGAGCAAGACTCCATCTCAAAAAAAGAAAGAAAAAAAGTTTGAGCCTAAAAACTGTATGATGTACAAGATGACTTTAGTTCAGTGCGGTTTATCTGTTTTGAAGCTTTGAAAGTAACAGCTTCTGTTTCACTTCTCAGTATCTCTGCCACTTCTGCCACAGCCCAACTGCTAGTATGGCCATTTTTCATTTTCTTGTAATCACTTTCTTCGGGAAATACAGTCTATTTAGTTTTGCACCTGTGTTTATAATGCCTGAATCTATTAAAAAGATTTGAACATTTGTAAGGTAGTTGTTTTGGTGACAATAAGCATTATACCTTCTAGTTATTTTTGTTGAATGGTTATTTGTTGAATCATCTAGTATGACAGTGGGCAGGCAGCAGCAGTTAAGACTGGAGCTCATGCATTTGGCAGCTATCGTGGAGATAAACACTGATACAAAGATTATAATCAATGATTGAAATATGCCCCAAGTGTCCCACAAACTACAGTATTTGGATATTTCTTAAATGACCTAGTTTTTTTTTTAATCTTTAGTTCAGCTATGAGTGGTGTAACTTTGTCAGTGACTGAAGACGTGATCCACTAGCTGAAAATTACATAGGACATAGGTCTTGGCACGAGTGAGGGACAGAGGTATCTACTAACAATTCAAACACCAGAACCAGGAAGGGAAAACAAGATGGCTTAGAGGATAAAGAACAAAATGTGTGAAGAAGCACAAGACCAGTAGCTTCTGGCCTCTGGTTTTGCTGGGAGGGGATGGTCTTGAACCAAACCTGACCATATGCAGTCATCTGTTTGTTCCAAGGATCTTGAATTCACTTTCTATTCTGTGGACCATTTGCTTTAGGAGACTCTATAGAGACCCTCAGATTAATGTTTCTATTAAGTACAGTTTTTAAAATTTTTACTGTTGGAGAATGGATGATATCTTCTCTGGGAAACATGTATCATTGGGTTCTTACTGCTATGTTAGTTGTTAATAGTTTATGAAAAAGACTCCTCTGATAAGGTTTAAGTGAAGTCTTTATCTGATCATCTTTCTTTTTTTTAAGAGATGAGGTTTCTGGTACCAAAACAGAGATATAGACCAATGGAACATAACAGAGCCCTCAGAAATACTGCCACATATCTACAACTATCTGATCTTTGACAAACCTGACAAAAACAAGAAATGGGGAAAGGATTCCCTATTTAATAAATGGTGCTGGGAAAACTGGCTAGCCATACGTAGAAAGCTGAAACTGGATACCTTCCTCACACCTTATACTAAAATTAATTCAAGATGGATTAAAGATTTAAATGTTAGACCTAAAACCATAAAAACCCTATAAGAAAACCTAGGCAATACCATTCAGGACATAGGCATGGGCAAGGACTTCATGTCTAAAATACCAAAAGCCATGGCAACAAAAGCCAAAATTGACAAATGAGATCTAATTAAACTAAAGAGCTTCTGCACAGCAAAAGAAACTACCATCAGAGTGAACAGGCAACCTACAGATTGGGAAAAAATTTTTTCAATCTACTCATCTGACAAAAGGCTAATATCCAGAATCTACAATGAACTCAAACAAATTTACAAGAAAAAAACAAGCAACCCCATCAACAAGTGGGCGAAGGATATGAACAGACCCTTCTCAAAAGAAGACATTTGTGCAGCCAAAAGACACATGAAAAAATGCTCATCATCACTGGCCATCAGAGAAATGCAAATCAAAACCACAATAAGATCCCATCTCACACCAGTTAGAAAGGCGATCATTAAAAAGTCAGGAAACAACAGGTGCTGGAGAGGATGTGGAGAAATAGGAACACTTTTACCAGTTGATGGGACTGTAAACTAGTTCAACCATTGTGAAGTCAGTGTGGCGATTCCTCAGGGATCTAGAACTAGAAATACCATTTGACCCAGCCATCCCATTACTGGGTATATACCCAAAGGATTATAAATCATGCTGCTATAAAGACACATGCACACGTATGTTTATTGTGGCACTATTCACAATAGCAAAGACTTGGAACCAACCCAAATGTCCAACAATGATAGACTGGATTAAGAAAATGTGGCACATATACACCATGGAATACTATGCAGCCATAAAAAATGATGAGTTCATGTCCTTTGTAGGGACATGGATGAAACTGGAAACCATCCTTCTCAGCAAACTATCGCAAGGACAAAAAACCAAACACCAAATGTTCTCACTCATAGGTGGGAATTGAACAATGAGAACACATGGACACAGGAAGGGGAACATCACACACCAGGGACTGTTGTGGGGTAGGGGGAGGGGGGAGGGATAGCATTAGGAGATATACCTAATGCTAAATGACGAGTTAATGGGTGCAGCACACCAACATGGCACATGTTTACATATGTAACAAACCTGCACGTTGTGCACATGTACCCTAAAACTTAAAGTATAATAATAATAAATTAAAAAAAAAGATTACATAAAAAAATAAAATAATAAATAAATAAATAAATAAATAAAAAGAGATGAGGTTTCACTACATTGTACAGGTTGGTCTTGAACTCCTGGGCTCAAGTGATACTCCTGCCTCAGCCTCCTAAAGTGCTTGAGCACAGGGATTACAGGCATGAGCCACCTGATCATCTTTCAAACGTTTCTAATCATCTGGTTAATATCATATGGAGGCTGATTAGGTGGCAGGCATGAAAGTCTATTCATATCTTTTGGTGGAAAGAATAAACATATCTTGCCAATGTATTATATTAAACTACAGTATTAGATCGGAGAAAAGTAAAATTCTCTATTGAGGCGTCACATAAAATTAACTTGTAGGTATTTAGTCAATGATTTTCCTAGGGATAATATAATATAGGTAGTGAGGACAGTGATAAATCTCTAGGCCTTCAATTTATTCAAAAATATATGCTACAGATACTACATATTAAACCTGGAGACAAAAATCTTTGTATAGATTATACATGTATCTATATGACCATGTTTTCTTTAACATACAGAACATACAATAATTGAGACATATTCATAGTAATACATTTTATTTATACATAATTGACATGGAAATGTTGAACTTTTCTTTAAATTTGTCAGTTAAAAAGAAATTTATCCTAATTGGTAAAGAAAGAAGCTCTCTAATAGTCTGGAGTTAATTAAAATTTAGAGAATGGCAAACAAGTCTAGTTATTCCTGTTATCCTTCCATTTATAAAGTAAAGGAGTAAATCTTTATGTTACCTGTATTCATTTAGGAAACCCAAAGTTATTTCAGGGGATAAGAGCTATTATAAAAATATTTATTTATTTATTTATTTTCCAGAAGTCATTGGGGTACAGGTGGTATTTGGTTACATGAATACATTCTTTAGTGGTGATTTGTGAGATTTTGGTGCATCCATCACCCGAGCAGTATACACTGTACTTTATTTGTAGTCTTTTATCCCTTGCCCTCCTCTCTCTCTTCCTCTCAAGCCCCCAAAGTTCATTGTATCATTCTTACAGTTTTGCGTCCTCATAGCTAGCTCCCACGTATCAGTGAGAACATACAATATTTGGTTTTCCATTCCTGAGTTACTTCACTTAGGATAATAGTTTCCAATCTCATCCAGGTTACTGCAAATGCCATTTATTCATTCCTTTTTATGGCTGCATAGTATTCCATCATATACATACTACAATTTCTTTATCCACTTGTTGGTTGATGGGTATTTGGGTTGGTTCCACAATTTTGCTATTGTGAATTGTGCTGCTCTAAACATGCGTGTGCAAGTATCTTTTTCAAATAATGACTTCTTTTCCTCTGGGTAGATACCCAGTAGTGGGATTGCTGGATCAAATGGTAGTTCTACTTTTAGTTCTTTAAGGAATCTTCACACTGTTTTTCCATAGTGGCTGTACTAGTTTACATTCCCACCAGAAGTGCAGAAGTGTTCCCTGTTTACCACATCCTCACCAACATCTACTGTTTATTGATTTTGTGATTATGACCATTCTTGCAGGAGTAAGGTGGTATTGCATTGCAGTTTTGATTTACATTTTCCTGATCGTTAGTGATGTTGAGCATTTTTTCATATGTTTGTTGGCCATTTGTATATCTTCTTTTAAGAATTATCTATTCATGTCCTTAGCCAATTTTTATGGGATTGTTTTTTTCTTACTGATTTGTTTGAGTTCATTGTAGATTTTAGATATTAGTCCTTTGTCAGATGTGTAGATTGTGAAGATTTTCTCCCACTTTGTGGGTTGTCTGTTTACTCTGCTGACTGTTCCTTTTGCCGTGCAAAAGCTCTTAAGTTTAATTAGGTCCCAGCTACTTATCTTTGTTTCATTGCATTTGCTTTTGAGTTCTGGGTCATGAAATCCTTGCGTAAGCCAATGTCTGGAAGGGTTTTTCCAATGTTATCTTCTAGAATTTTTACAGTTTCAGATCTTAGGTTTAAGTCTTAATCCATCTTTGGTTGATTTTTGTATAAAGTGAGAGATGAGAATCCAGTTTCATTCTCCTACATGTGGCTTGCCAATTATCCCAGCACCATTTGTTGAAAAGGGTGTCCTTTTTCCACTTTTTGTTTTTGTTTGCTTTTCCCAAGAGTCAGTTTGGTTGGCTGTAAGTATTTGGGTTACTTCTGGGTTCTCTATTCTATTCCATTCGTCTATGTGCCATTTTTATACCAGTACCATGCTGTTTCGGTGACTATGTCCTTATAGCATAGTTTGAAATCAGGTAGTGTGATGCCTCCAGATTTGTCCTTTTTGCTTAGTCTTGCTTTGGCTATGTGGGCTCTTTTTTGGTTCCATATGAATTCTAGAATTGTTTTTTTCTAATGCTGTGAAGAATGATGGTGGTATTTTTATGGGAATTACATTGAATTTGTAGATTGCTTTTGGCAGTGTGGCCATTTTCACAATATTGATTCTACCCATCCATGATCACGGGATGTGTTTCCATTGGTTTGTGTCGTCTATGATTTCTTTCAGCAGTGTTTTGCAGTTCTCCTTGTAAAGGTCTTTCAACTCCTTGGTTAGGTATATTCCTAAGTATTTTATTTTATTTGTAGCTATTGTAAAAGGGGTTGAGTTCTTGATTTGGTTCTGTACTTGGTCACTGTTGGTGTATAGAGGAGCTACTGATTTGTGTACTTTAATCTTGTATCTAGAAACTTTGCTAGAAAGTTCTTGGAGCTTTCTGGAGGAGTCCTTAGGGTTTTCAAGGTAAACGACCATATCATTTTTTAATGACCATTTCAATCTTGCTGCTTGTTCTTGGTTTGTTCAGGGTATCTAATTCCTGATTTAAGTTAGGAGGGTTGTATTTTTCCAGGAATTTATCCATCTCCTCTAGGTTTTCTAGTTCACGTACGTAAAGGTGTGCATAGTAGCCATGAATGATCTTTTATATTTCAGTGGTGTTGGTTGTAATATCTCCTGTTTCATTTCTTAGTGAGGTTATTTGGATTTTCTCTCTTCTTTTCTTGGTTAATCTTACTAATGGTCATCAATTATATTCATCTTTTCAAAGAACCCACTTTTTGTTTCATTTATCTTTTTTTTTTTTTTGAGACAGAGTTTTACTCTTATTGCCCAGGCTGGAGGGCAATGGTGCAATCTCGGCTAACCTCAACCTCCGCCTCCCAGGTTGAAGCAATTCTCCTGCCTCAGCCTCCCAAGTAGCTGAGATTACAGGCATGCGCCAACACACCCGGCTAATTTTGTATTTGTAGTAGAGACAGGGTTTCTCCACCTTGGTCAGGCTGGTCTCAAACTCCCGACCTCAGGTGATCTGCCTGCCTCAGCCTCCCAAAGTGCTGGGATTACAGGCGTGAGCCACTGCGCCTGGCCCATTTAACTTTCGTATTTTGTTGTGTTTTAATTTTATTTAGTTCTGCTCTGATCTTGGTTATTTCCTTTCTTCTGCTGGGTTTGGGTTTGGTTTGTTCTTGTTTCTCTAGTTCCTTGAGGTGTGACCTTAGAATGTCAGTTTGTGCACTTTCAGTCTTTTTGATGTAGGCATTTAGGGCTATGAACTTTCCTCTTAGCACCACCTTGGCAAAATCCCAGAGGTTTTGACAGGTTGTGTCATTATTGTCATTCAGTTCAAAGAATTTTTTAATTTCCACCTTGATTTTGTTTTTGACCCAGTGCTCATTCAGAAGCAGGTTATTTAATTTCCATGTATTTTCATGGTTCTGAAGGTTCCTTTTGGAGTTGGTTTCCAGTTTTATTCCACTGTGGTACTTGATATAATTTCAATTTTCTTAAATTTGTTGATGCTTGTTTTATGGCCTATCATGTGGTCTATCTTGGAAAAAGTTTCATATACTGTTGAATGGAATGTGTATTCTATTATTGTTGGATGAATTGTTCCGTATGTATCTGTTAAGTCCATTTGTTCCAAGGTATAGTTTAAACTCATTGTTGCTTTGTTAACTTTCTGTCTTGATAACCTGTCTAGTGCTCTCAGTAGAGTACTGAGGTCCACCATTATTATTGTATTGCTGTCTATCTCATTTCTTAGGTCTATTAGTAATTGCTTTATAAATTTGGGAGCTCCACTGTTAGGTGCATATATGTTTAGGATTGTGATATTTTCGTGTTGGACAAGGCCTTTTACCATTATGTAATGTCCCTCTTTGTCTCTCTTAACTGCTGTTGCTTTAAAGTTTGTTTTGTCTGACATAAGAATAGCTACCCCTGCTTGTTTTTTTGTGTCCCTTTGCATGAAATGCATTTTTCCATCCCTTTAAGTGTATGTGAGTCCTTATGTCCTAGGTGAGTCTCCTGAAGGCAGCAGATGGTTGGTGAGTTCTTATCCATTCTGAGGTTCTATATATTTTAAGTGGAGCATTTAGGCTATTTACATTCAATGTTAGTATTGAAATGTGAGGTACCATTGCTGGGCATGTTGGCATGCACCTGTGGTCCCAGCTACTCAGGAGGCTGAGGCAGGAGGATCGTTTGAGCTCGGTAGGAGGAGGTTGTAATGAGCCAAGATCATGCCACTCCACTCTAGCCTGGGCAACAGAGTGAGACCCTGTCTCAAATAAATAAATAAATAAATAAAACATACATATATTAACCAAACCAAAGGCATTTGCACATCTTTTAAACCTGTTAATTGAAGGCTACTCTATGATATATCAAATAGTAGCACAGATATATTGAAATCGTGTGCTCAAGTATCCAAAGATTATTAATCAATTAACACAAAATAATATTAATTTAAGATTTTACATTCAAGTTCTTGATAAATCTTATGTTTTGTAGCATTATATAAATTTATCTATTTTCCTAAACACACTGTCTATTATGATACAATTTACTGGAACATACAAATTTCAATTTTATAATATTAAAGGAGGGACTAGCAAAACCAATGGAGGAAATTTAGGAAATTCAAATTAGAATTAGAATTTTTTTAATGAAAATAAAAACTAGCTTAAACTATATATTTTGCTAACGTTTTAAACATGGTAGTAAAGTTGGGGGGAAACATAGAGCAGCTTTTAAACCAAAAATTATTAAATCAGTTTAATTTGTCCAGGGAATCATTTTTATAGTAATATTACATAATTGTTTTTTTAGAAAAATGCAGTCTATAGGGTGAGCACAGTGGCTCATGCCTGTAATCCCAACACTTTGGAAGGCCACTTGAGGCCAGGAGTTCAAGACCAGTTTAGGCAACATAGTGAGACCCCGTCTCAACAAAAATAAAAAAATTAACCAGGCATGGTAGTGTGTGCCTGTAGTCCTAGCTACTAGAGATGCTGAGGCAGGAGGATTACTTGAGCTCAGGAGTTTGAGGCTGCAGTGAGCTACGATTTTGCCACTGTACTTCAGGCTAGGCAACAGAGAAAGACTCCTGTCTTTAAAAAAAAAAAGTAAAAATAAAAATAAAAGTAAAGACCAATGGATAGCTAAGATCCTGTTTCTTTTTCTATTCCTATGAAAAGCCCTCCAAAGGCCACTGTAATTTCGAATTGTCCTTAATGAAATTATGCCATTTTGAAAGATGCATATGAGTTAAAAATATAATTCAAAAAATATCAAGAAATCAGGAGTTTGACCCAGAGACTTAGATTGATACCACCCCATGGGCATTTGGAAGAGTCGGCGAATGATGTTTCTACAACCTCAGGTTTCTGGAATATGAGAAAAAGGCAGCCACCACTAGTGGTGGGACCGACAAACCCATAGCTCTGGGCAGATGAAACTGAACAGACAGCTCTCAGGGGTAACAAAAATAAGACTATACATCCTTCTAACATCTTAAAGGATGGCTCAAAGCAAAGTGTTTGTCCACAGGAAGCTAATTTGGTGAGAACTTCCAAACTCCTCCATTCTTGGGGCAATCTCTAGTGTGGGCCTAGGAAGGCTGCTTGGCTTTTTTGACAGGCCCAGTTCTAATAAATCAAAGACCTTTTTCCTGGTTAGCTAGAAAAGATCCATTCAGGAAAAAGCAGAAACCAAAGATCAAATTTCAGCTCAGACAGGTCGATGTTGGATATTTGCCCCATGGGTTTATACTCTAAAATGTCCAGTATTTGAACTGGATGTGAAAACAGAGGAGAAACCCTTTTGACCAGTGAGTGAATTATATCTGTAAATGGAGAGAAAAGTTAGAGTCTCCAAATTTTGCTTTTTAGGTGACCTGAAATAGTAGTTAATTTTGTCCTTTTGTTTTCAATCTGTTGTTTAGTCACAGGTGGTGTAAGATTCATTGTGGCCAGGAATGGTGGCTTACCCGTCTAATCTCAGCACTTTGGGAGACCAAGGCAGGAGGATCACTTGAGCCCAGGAGTTCAAGACCAGCCTGGACAATATAGTAGGACCCTATCTGTACAAAAAATTTAAAGATCATCCAGGTGTGATGGTGCACACCGGTAGTCCCAGCCACTTGGGAGGCTGAGGCAGGAGGATTGCTTGAGCCTGGGAGGTCAAGGCTGCAGTAAGCCATAATTGCACAACTGTACTCCAGCCTAGGTGACAGAGTAAGACCCTGTCTCAAAAAAAAAAAAAAAAATTCATTGTGCTTGACATAAGGAAGAATTAAAGTGAATCTTAGTATCTCAACCTAAATATTTGTAGAGTAATTACTTTTGGAATCTGAGTGCTGTTGAAATTGACTCTTAGAAGAGCTGTTTTCATGTTTCTGTGATATACTTAGACTCTGGGCCACATGAACTTGCCTCTGACTCATGTGCTGGGACCAGACATCACTGGCTTCCCAGAGTAGGAATGGAAAGGTTAACTAAACTCCTCTTCCAACAATATACCTATAGCAGCCACTGCCTGTGTCATTTGCATGCAATAGGTCTGAGCTGACAGTCTTTGGAGGAAAGTTTTTGGTATCCTTGGCCAGTCTGCTCCAGGTGGCTCAGTCATCAGCACTACCTCCACACTACTGCACTGAGAGCCAGGATGGGAGATTCCAGTTGTTTCTCATTTCCTCTTCATTTCCTATGATTTTGAAGTTACCAAAGGGAAAAGAAAATAATCATCTCTCCTCATCAAGCCTCCACTGAATGACTCTTGGTTTCCTGGTTTCCCATTTTCCCAGCCTGTGTAGACAAATTCTTCACTTCACTTTTTGACATGCTTATATACTAAGAATGAAACCAGCTTTCTAAAGGTCTAGTGCATTTTTGTGAAGGAGGAAACCCCCAGAGACAATTAATTAGGGAGAGTTATTAGCCTATTGTTACAGAAGCTTTTAGGGGCAAAGAGAAAAATAGAGCTGTCAAAATCAAGGATCATACCTTGCTCAGAATCTAGTGGCTCCCCAGAAACTCCCACTTGTGGCTCCTGTCCCATGGATGGAAAGTACAGAGACCTAAGTGGAGGTTAATCATAGCTGCCCTCCTTCACACCATGAAGGAAGGAGCACAGTCTTTCACGGTGGATGGATGGATGATGGGCTCTGAAGTTAGGAGCTTGAACTTGGAGCCATCTCCACCCCCTTGAATTTTTGATCAGATATTTGGTCTTAAATTCTCAATTTCTTCATCTATGAAAAGATGATAAAAATAGTACCAGACTCATAGACTTAGTCTAAGAATTTAATGAAACAATCTATGTTTCCATCTCTTGCATCTAGAGAGTGTTTATCAAGTCTCAACTGTTATTATTTACAAAGTTGAGAAGTTCTCAAGGCCACATCACTTTTGAGACCAACTGCAAGTTCAGGCATCCCCAAGACCACCTGTAGGTTCAATAATTCACCAGGACTCACAGAACTGAGAAAAACTGTTATATTTACAGTTACAGTTTATTATAGCAAAAAGATACAGATCCCAAGGGAAGACACGTATAGGGCAAGATGCAGGGGAGTTCCAGGTGAAACTTCCAGTTGTCTTCTCCCAGTGAAGCTGTGCAACAGTGCCTATTTCTTTCAGCAACTATATGTGGTAATACATGGAGCACTGCCAACTAAGGAAGCCCACCTGAGCTTTGCTGTCCAGTGTTTTTATTAGGACTCAGTCACATTTACCTGGTTGACTGGCTGTATCACTCACCTTAGCCTCAGACCCTCCAGCATTTAAGCTGGTAATGCATGACCAAAGGTCCACCATAAACCACATTGTTAGCATAGACTATCTGGCATGGCCCAAGGCCCTAAGTAAACAAGAACGCTCTTATCAGGCAAAATATTCCAAGTGCTTAGAGATTGACCCCCAGAAGTCAGGGACAAAGGCCAAACCTCTGAAGGCAAAGTTAATCCTTTGTTGCATATTATTTTGTAATCTACCTCTTTTCTATTATCCATAAACCACTAAAATAATTTCAAACCTCAAATTAATTGTTAACTTTTTGTTAAAAATCATGTTTTGAGCACTTTCCATGCACTGTGTTGACCAGTGGAGATAAAAATCTCAATAAGCCAGTGTCCCCCACAGTGCACCAGTGGAAGAGACAAATGTTTAGACAAATAACTATAGTACTATCGCCAAAATGTTCTAGGAGTCTGGTGGAGGAAATATTTGATTTTGGCTGCAATTGTGGGGAAAAGCTAAATTCTTTTCCTTTGGTTGAATTTTATTTTGATGTTATTATCCTAAAATTTAGGTCTTTACCACCTTGAAAAATGGCTTGACTCTGGGTTACATTACTAACCTGTAAATGAGGACTATAAAAATTGGCCGGGTGTGGTGGCTTACTCCTGTAATCCCAGCAAAATGCTGGGAGGCCGAGGTGGGTGGATCACCTGAGGTCAGGAGTTTGAGACCAGCTGGCCAACATGGTGAAACCCCGTCTCTACTAAAAATGCAAAAATTAGCTGGGCATGGTGGCGCACCAGTAATCCCAGCTACTCATGAGGCTGAGGCAGGAGAATCACTTGAACCCGGGAGGCGTAGGTTGCAGTGAGTCAAGATTGTGCCACTGCACTCCAGCCTGGGCAACACAAGAACGAAACTCCATCTCCAAAACAAACAAACAAACAAACAAACAAACCTTGTAATTGATATAGATAGTTCCAACTTTTCAAAGCTTCTCACTTTATTATGTCACCCATTCAAGACTACCTGACAAATTAATCCCTGTGCTTTACTTCTCATTACTTTTGTCAACTCCTTCAAAGATTTCTGCACCAGAGTCCTTTGCTTCTGTTGCTGGACAGTTAGGTCCAGGTATAAAACAGAAAGAGAAAGTATAAAGGTATAAAATAGAAAGTATTTGTCACATGTTTAGAAGGAAGTGATGCTCACACAATACCAAACTTGCTCATTTTAATTTATTGATTGTCTAGATAAGGATCAACAAACTTTTTCTATATAAGGCCATAGAGTAAGTATTTTTGGTCTTATAGGCTAGATGGTCTCTGTCACAACTACCCAATTCTGCCTTTGTACTGTGAAAGCAGCCATCACTGTACATAAAGGAATAGGTGTAGCCATATTCTAAGAAAATTTTATTTGCAAAAATTCATCTGGACAGATTTGGCTCTAGTTTGCAAACCCTAATCTAGGTCATTTATTCTCACATCAAGTATTGTGGGCTTACCTGATATAAAAACAGTGAGGAATGAAGAAGTGCTTTCTAATTTAATGCAGAAACATAATTAGGCCAGAAATTGGGAGTGTGTGATCATCAGCTTTTAAATTTTTGTGCCTAAGAAAGGAACAACAGATGCTGGAGCCTACTTGAGGGTGGAAGGTGGCAGGAGGGACAGGAACAGAAAAAAATAACTATTGGGCACTAGGCTTAGTACCTTGGTGATGAAATAATCTGTACAACAAACCCCCATGATATGAGTTTACCTATGTAACAAAACCATACGTGTACCCCTGAACTTGAAATAAAAGTTAATAAAATAAAATTATGTAATAGCTATTCTAGTGGGTTAAAAAAAAAACCAGCAATAAGGAACACACACACACAAAACTTTGTACCCAAATGAGATGGGACTCAGATCATATGAGTGAAAAATATGACTATGACACATCTGCCAAAACCATCCTTTTGACCTATTCTTTTTGTTGTTGTTGTTGTTGTTGTTTGTTTTTTGAGATGGAGTCTCACTCTGTCACCCAGGCTGAAGTGCAGTGGCGCAATCTCAGCTCACTGGAACCTCCACCTTCCAGTTTCCAGTGATTCTCCTGCCTCTGCCTCCCGAGTAGCTGGAATTACAGGCATGTGCCACCACACCTGGCTAATTTGTTTTTGTATTTTTAGTAGATGGGATTTTGCCATGTTGGCCAGGCTGGTCTTGAACTCCTGACCTCAGGTTATCCACCCGCCTCAACCTCCCAAAGTATTGGGATTACAGGTGTGAGCCACTGAGCCTGGCCTCTTTTGTCCCATTCTTCCCACTCTCTGCCTTATTGCAAACACCATGGGAAACACCTGGGAAGTCAGTGAGGCTCTGGAGAGGTCTGTGGGAAAGAATGGGGGATTTGACAGCTAAAGTTTGCTATTGTGGTATAAAATGGTTTTAGATCTGATTATCAGAGGGTATAATCGAGGCCGTATCTATACAATATGAAGTAAAAAAGAATGCAGATAATATGTTTGGTCACCATAACCAGTGGTTGTTCATGTATGACAACAGCTCCTACTTACCTACTCAGCGTCCTCTATTTCCTCCCTTCTTCCTTATCAAAGGAGACCTGATTTTATTGGGGTAATCCAAGTGGCAAAACAGAACAGGATTCAATTTCTCAGGAAACTCTTTTAACTAAAGGTGGCCCATGTTAGAAATTTCTGGCCAGTGCGCTATAAGCAGAAGTCTCCTGGCAGGAAAGTTATTTTTTCTTGTTAAAAAGGAATAGTTTCAGCTGCCATGCACATTGGTGCTGTGCACTTTCTTCTTCCAGACGATAATATAGATATGATGCCTAGAAGTGGAGCAGCCATCTTGTAATAATGAAAATCAAACACCATGGAAGATGGAGCAGAAAACTAGAAGGAACCTCAATCCCTGATGATTTTCTTAATGACTGTAATGCTTCCTTCTGGACTTACTTATTTGAGAAACATAAAACTTTACTGCTTAAGCCACTGTTGGCAGGTTTCTGTTAAATGAAGCCAAACACAACCCTAATTGAATGAACTAACTTAAAAATTTTCAAAGCCATGAAAATCAGTCCATTGTCAGTGTTGAGATGCTACCGAGGACAGTATATAAAATCTTGACTTGGCTTTGTGTATTGTAGACAGTAGAGATAAAAGCGAGGCAGTACAGGGTTGACGAGTGCTGTGATTCCTGCCCTGCTACTCTTCATCATCTCATTAGCAGAAAAGTTCCAGGTGCCTGAGTGGCTACCAAGAAAGGCATTTATGATGATGGAGTGTGGGCCCATTAAGAAGTCTGGCTGGCAGAACACAATCTCCCTTCAGGCTCTACACGTTTACTCTAAGCAGTTTCACAAAAACTCGGCAAAATAGTAGAAAATCTCAGTGCTTGTTAATTAGTTCATAGCCCCCAAAAGTGCTCCCGCATTTTTTGCTGTTATCTATGAAGTTCTTCAAGTTAACTATTTTATTTTAGAGGAAAAAAATTAAGTTTTAATGATCCTTTCCTGGTTCTCTACCCAGCTTTATAAATAAATTCTATTGAAACCATGTTTATGATGAGTAATTCTTTAAACATTTTCTCTTGAAAGCCTTTTGCCATTAATATTTCAGTTAATTAAAAATGCATTATGCCTTAATCCTTTGTTAAATGCACAACAGAATAAAACAGCCTATAATATTGAAGTTGGACTTTTTTTGGAATTGGATGGTTGAGCTTACAATTGATGGTTTATTAATGTAAACCTGGTGGGGGGTAAACCAAAGAACATTTCATGTTCTTATGTTTGCAAAAGAGATCAAATTTACAAGGGCATTATTTTTTTCCTACTGAATTCCTAAATGTTACTATTAAAAGACATAGAATATGTGTAATACAAACATGTGTATCCCAAGGGACAGTTCAAAAAGATTTCTAAACATGGAAAGTTTATGGAAGAATCCAAAGTCAAATTAATATCCCAGAGCTTGGATACAAACTTGGATTTTGGAAATGTTTTCCCAGATTAAAAAGGAGTTTTGGTGTGGGGCCCCATATGGAAAACATGCATAATTTATTTAAAAGACCAAAGCAAAAGTGAATTCACAGTTTGAAATCTGGATAATTATGCTATAATTAAAGGACTAGTTTGTTTTTGTTTTTAAATTATTGTCTTCAGAGTTTCCACCCATCCCCATTACTATTCAGGGATTCAGAAGTTTAGTTTATTTTTTTTATAGTCCTGGAAGTTTTTATCTTCCTTTTAAATGCAGCTCAACTTAATAAAATATTTTATACTTTTTTTTCACTACAACACAACAATGGGAATTTTTCTATCCCTTCCCTCATTATGACTTTCTGTTTAAAGATTATATCTAAATAAGGTCACAAAATCAATGAAATTGGCTGAGTAAACTGGTTTGATTGGCCACTTAAGTAAATGAATTAGTTCTATGGCACAATTTAAATTCATTCATTCAATAAGTATTTACTGAACCACTTTTGTATGATGGGTCCACAGGCCATGCGTTGAGGATTCAGTCCCTGACCCCAGAAGCTTTAAAACCATTGTACTGTAAAGATTCCAAAACATTTTATCACTAATGCTCAACATCATAAGAAGCACAGTAGGTCTTCAGCAGAGACTGAACCCCCAACTCATCTTCCCCTCACATTTTATTAAATGAAAAGCAAACAAAAATCTTAAGGCTGCTTTATGAAGGAGAAATAGAAATTTTTTTCACAATATCTAAAAATTCTGTATAATAGATTCCGATGAATAAATATATATTTTAAATTCTTCCAAGACCATAAAGAAATGGAAGTAATTACATATTCAAATATAAAAACTAGTTTTGAGGATAAAATACTCAAGATGCATGAAAGTTTAGAACATATACAGTTGTGGTAGCAACTAAATTTTGGTTTCCACACTCCTTTCTCTCTTCTATATATATACACATTGTATAATTTTATATACTCAAGTCATACAGTGATTCTTTATCTCCGAGACTAGTTATTCTATTAGCTGCTTACTCAAGCAAATTGTGCCTAGAAGGGATAGTGCATATATTTATTCTTTTGACCTAAGTCCTGAAGAGTTTCTTGTCAGAGAAACAAACCAAGAGTATAAAATATATTCTCCTGTGGTTACTGTTCTTGAATCTGTATGACCCAGCATCTCCTCTAATTGTTCAAACTTGAGTGCATGAACACACTACATATGCAAAAACTCCAATGACCACATGTAGAAGAATATAGTTGAGAGATATAATCCAATACAACTTAACAGTGTTAGTCTGACACATATTTAATGTTGTGAATAATCATCCTTGTACTGCATCCTTGTTAGATTTAAATGAAAAAGTGGTTCATGTAAGGGATGGTAACTAGTATGACTTGAGAAGCCAAGCCTGGCATTTTCAGGAGTCAGCCAAAAGTAGAGAGGAAGAGGAATAACTAAGTGGTGCTGGAACTGTCCTAAGGTTTCTCTGAAGACTTCTAGATCCCACCCTTATGAAGTCAGCATTCTCTCTTCTCTGATTGAAAGCATTCAGGGAGATGGATATCCACTGTTGCTAGTTGAAAGGCTCCATTCTATTCACCAAGCTAATTACTTTGAGTTTAGGGGAGAGGCAGGCCCGTTCAATTTATTAAACAGAAAAAGCCTGAGACCTGCTCAAGGGACTGTGTTGTCATGCTGTAATACCCCTAAGGACTTGTGTTCAGTTCATAGCAGGCAGTCAAAACAGTTTTGATAAAAGTTTGAATGAATGCAGTCAGAGTTGTCTCTTTTCATGGAAAAGCAGATCATACTGGGCAACCTAGTCTCAAGTTCCAGACAGGAATATAAGGAGATAAAGAGAATGCAGCAATAAACAGTCTTTCCTCAGCCACAAGAGAGAGGACTGGGTGCTGAAACCTCTGTTTCCTTCTTCATTCCCATTCACAAATACGCGTGTGAATATTGCAAGGGTCATCTGCCAAACTGATTTGTCCTAAAGTGCTAAAAAGTCCTCTCATCAAGGCAACAAACCACACATCTTTAAATCCTAACAAGAAAAGTGGATTTCCAGGTAGTGGGGCTCAGGACTCTGAGATAGGAACCCAGAGCTAGGCTGGGGTTGTGTTAGGGATCAGGACATGGGCCCTGTCTGCCAAGAAAAACCAAGGTAAGAGGCAGCCCAGAGGTAGGTGAGGGACACAGCAAGTGAAGATGGAGAAGAGAGTGAGGGGAAGAGGAGGAAAACAAGAAAGTCAAGAGGGAAACCAAAGAAATAAGAAAAAAAGTGCAAAAGGAGACAAAGCAAGGAGTAAAGGAATGATGGGAAAGCACCGAATCAAAGGACATGAGATGAGAGCAAGAAAAGCAAGGAAGCTAGGAGAGAAGCTAAACAATGCAAGTCCTGGATTATGAGTAGCAAGAGAAAGTGTCCTCAGAGAGAGTCTACACAGTATGTATCTGCTTGAATGAAATTATTATTATGTGACTATTACTGCATTTGACTTTATACTTTTTATATGACTACTATTTGCTCCCATTATATTACTTTAATAACATAAAAAATCAAAACTTAAATCATTTTTAAAGTTGATTTTTATACTCATTAGTGTAGTGGTGAGTAAAAAAGAAAAAAAAAAAAAGGCTGGGCATGATGGCTTCACCTGTAATCTTAGTGGTTTGGGAGCCCAATGCCGGTGGATCATTTGAGGCCAGGAGTTCAAGACCAGCCTGCCCAACATAGTGAAACACTGTCTTTACTAACAAGTACAAAAAATTAGCCAGGTAGAGTGGCGCACGCCTATAGTGCCAGCTACTTGAGAGGCTGAGGCACGAGAATTGCTGGAACCTAGGAAGCAGAGGTTGTAGTGAGTTGAGATCCCACCATTGCACTCCAGTCTGGGTGACAGAGCAAGACTCTGTCTCAAAAAATAACATAAAATAAATGAAGTTGATTTTTAAACTTTCCTACAATGCTTTCTCAATGGTGTTTCTTTCCTATCAGTTGAAATTAATTTTTTTTTTTTGAGACGGAGTCTCACTCTTATCACCCAGGCTGGAATGCAATGGCATCATCTTGGCTCACTGCAACCTCTGCCCCCCAGGTTCAAGCAATTCTTCTCCCTCAGCCTCCCAAGTAGCTGGGATTAGAGGTGTGCGCCACCATGCCTGGCTAATTTTTGTATTTTTTAGTAGAGGCAGGGTTTTGCCATGTTGATCAGGCTGGCCTTGAACCCCTGGCCTCAGGCATTCTGCCTGCCTCGGCCTCCCAAAGTGGCAAATTAAATTTTAAAAGCTATGAAAACTAGCCTTTTATGTCCTGCTAAAATTTTTTAAAAATTAAACCATAAAACCCAGCTCAAATATTTCACATTTTATGCTGATGGGTCTAATTACGCTTCTGGGATCAGAAATAGAAGTGTTTAATAAACATTTAGTGTTGATAGAATGATACAACCATTGGCATTCATCAAGCTTTGTCTGTTCACAAACAACACTGGTGATATTACACAGTATCTGAAAGGAATTTTACTATATCCTGAAGACAGTGGGAGCTATTAGAGAGTAATTCAAGAAAAAATTTGACCACTTTATGTTTGGGGTAGATCCATCTGGAGAAAAGATTAAAGGAGAGCAAAGAGACTGCTCAGATCATGCACCGGAGTCCTGGATGGTCTGGACTGGGACAGTAGGGGTGAGGATGGAGAGAGGGAGAGCCCACTTAAAGTTGGACTTCAATATCTAGAGGTGCAAGTCTGTACCGCTGCATAATTTCCTCCAGCAATAAACAGTAGGCGATGTGTAAGGCAGAGAAGGCAGAATGGTTGATCTGCACTTGGGAGGTTGATCAATTAAGTGTGATGGAATGGCACTGAAGCTTGGGACTATTAAGAGAGCGATGGAAGTGTTAGACTGTGAGATCTAATTTAGATGTAAAAGGAAATGAAATTCAGAACATGACTTAAACAAAAAATAAAATGAGAACAAGATACCCACCTGAATGGCTAAAATTCAAAAGAGTAGGATTTCCCGTGTTGGTGAGGATGTAGAAACTGAAGCTCTCATTCTCTGCTGGTGGAAGTAAAAATTGGTACAGTTACTTTGGAAAACTGTCAGTATTTTCTGAACTCCTGGCCTCAAGTGATCCACCTGCCTCAGCCTCCCAAGGTGCTAGGATTACAGGCGTGAGCCACCGTGCCCAGCCCCTGTTTGTCAGTATTTTCTAAAGCTGATCAACTACAATCTTATGACCTAACTGTTCTTTTCCTAGATATTCTTCTTCTCTTTTCCAAAAGGAAAAGCAAACATTTGTTCCGAAGGACATGGACAAGAATGTTCATACATATATAGCCTTATTCATAATAATAAAAAATTGAGATCAGCTTAAATGTTTATCAACTGTAGTATGGATAAATTGTGACATATTTATGCATTGAAATATTGTAGCATCTCTTTTAGAACATGAGTTGATCCTTACAAACATAATAGAGAATGAAAGAGGCACAGAAGAGTACACATTGCAGAACTCCTTTTACTGGAAGGTCAGAAATAGACAAAGCTAGCCAGGCACAGTGGCTCACGCCTGTAATCCCAGCATTTTGGGGGGCTGAGGTGGGCGGATCACTTGAGGTCAGGAGTTCGAGACCAGCCTGGCCAATATGGTGAAACCCCATCTCTACCAAAAATACAAAAATTAGTCAGGCATGGTGGTGCATGCCTGTAATCCCAGCTACTCGGGAGGTTGAGGCATGAGAATCGCCTGAACATGGGAGGTGGAGGTTACAGTGACCTAAGATAGAGATCATGCCACTGCCTTCCAGCCTGGGAGATGCAGCGAGACCTGGCTTAAATTAAAAAAAAAAAAAAATAGACACAGCTAATCTATGGTGTGGGAAATCAGCATAGTGTTTGCTTTTGATGAGGGCCAATATGGCTTGGTGGGGGCTCATAGGATTATAGGCGTTTAACGTGTTCTATTTCTCAATATGGGAGGCAGTTACATGAGTGTGTCCACTGTGTAACAAGTCATCAGACTTTGCATTTAGGATTTATAATTGCAAAATGTATTACACTTCAGTCTCTTTTATTAAAAGTAAAAAGTCTGTGGAGATTCTTTAGTTATTGTGTTACACAGATTCTAGCTAAAGCACAATTGCTGGTGTTACAGACAGGTACCTTAGCTGTCCAAAGTTGCGTTTCTCATACACTTCAGTTCATGGTTCAGTAGCCCAGGCAAAACTTCTCTTATATTTTATTTTGTGTTATTTTTGCTCCCTTTATTCCCCATCTTTCTCCCTCCTAGATACCCACCCTAATGTATTTAATATACAGCCTTTCAATTCATTGTCCATCCTTCTTTGCAGCAATCTGTATATCTTTGAAAAATGCATGGTGGTATTTTTTAAAAATTTAATTTTATTCTATTTAAATTCCAGGATACATGTGCAGGACATGCAAGTTTGTTAATAGGTAAATGTGTACCATGGTGGTTTGCTGCACCTATGAACCCATCACCTAGGTATTAAGCCCCACATGCATTAGCTATTTATCCTGATGCTCTTCTTCTCCCCATCCCCCAACAGGCCCCAGTGTGTGTTGTTCCCCTCCCTGTACCCATGTGTTCTCATTCTTCAGCTCCCACTTACGAGTGAGAACATGTGGTGTTTTGTTTTCTGTTCCTGTATTAGTTTGCTGAGGATAATGGATTCCAGCTCCATGCATGTCACTGCAAAGGACATGATCTCATTCCTATTTATGGCTGCATAGTATTCCATGATGTATATATACCACATTTTCTTTATCCAGACTATCACTGATGGGTATTTGGGTTGATTCCATGTCTTTGCTATTGTGAGTAGTGCTGCAATGAACATATGTGTGCATGTATCTTTATAATAGAATGATTTATATTCTATTTATTACTGCATAGTATTTCATGGTGTATATGTACCACATTTTCTTCATCCAGTCTGTCATTGATGGGCATTTGGGTTGATTTCATGTCTTTGCTGTTGTGAATAGTGCTGCAATGAACATACGTTTGCATGTATCTTTGTAATAGAATGATTTATATTCCTTTGAGTGTATACCCAGTAATGGGATTGCTGGGTCAGATGGTATTTCTGGTTCTAGGTCTTTGAGGAATCGCCATACTGTCTTCCACAATGGTTGAACTAATTTACCTCCCACCAATAGTATAAAAGCATTCTTATTTCTTCACAGCCTCACCAGCATCTGTTGTTTCTTGACTTTTTTTATAATTGCCATTCAGGCATGAGATGGTATCTCACTGTGGTTTTGATTTGCATTTCTCTATCAGTGATGTTGAGGTTTTTTTCTTTTTTCTTTTCTTTTCTTTTTTCTTTTTTTCTTTTTTTTTTTTGAGGTGGAGTCTTGCTCTTGTTGCCCAGGCTGGAGTGCAATGGCTTGAACTTGGCTCACTGCGACCTCTGCCTCCTCCTGGGTTCAAGCAATTCTCCTGCCTCAGTCTCCCAAGTAGCTGGGATTATAGGCGCCCACCACCACACCTGGCTAGTTTTTGTATTTTTTAGTAGAGACAGGGTTTCACCATGTTGGCTAGCCTGGTCTCAAATTCCTGATCTCAGGTGATCCACCTGCCTCAGCCTCCCAAAGTGTGGGATTATAGGCATGAGCCACCGCTCTGGGCCGTTGAGCTTTTTTTCACATTTTTTTTGTGTGTATGTGTCTTTAACATACATAAGTGATACAACCATTGGCATTCACCAAGCTTTGTCTGTTCAAAAATAACACTGGTGATCTATGCAAATGATGCTCTTCCTAAAAATCTCATTTTGTTTCTTACATATCAGACTTAAACGTTGATTTTGATATTTATTCATGTTATATGAAAATGTAGTTTATTTATTATAATTACTGCATGGCATTCCACTGTATGCCTGCATTTGACTTATCCATTACTTTAATAACAAACATCCAAGTTTCCTCACACTCCTTGCTATCACAAACTATACAGGTTTCCTTATGGTTCTGTGTGAAAGTTAGTTAAGCACGTCTTAAAAGCTTTTTATCTTTACCATCAGTTTTCCTTCCAGGAAGATTTGGTCACATTCCCATCAGGCTTTATAATTATTTTTCATATTTTCCCCATCTAATAAGCAAAAAAAAAAATCAATATATGGCTGGTGCAGTGGCTTATGTTTATAATCCCAGTGCTTTGGGAGGCTGAGGCAGGAGGATTGCTTGAGGCCAGGAATTTGAGACTAGCCTGAGCAACATAGTGAAATTCACTGTCTACAAAAATAAAAATAAAAGTAAAAATAAAAATAGCCAGGCATGGTGGCCCATGCCTGTAGTCCTTTCTGTTTGGGAGGCTGAGGCGGGAGGATCACTTGAGCCCAGGAACTCAGAGTTGCAGTGAACTATGATGGCTCTACTGCACTCCAGCCTGGGCAATAAAGCAAGACCCTGTCTCTAAACAAACAAACAAACAAACAAAATCACGATATAGTATTAACTAGCATTTTTAAATAAGTTGTAAAATTAAACTGTTTTTTCATGTTTTTTGGCCATTTGTATTTCTGCTTAGTTAACTACTTGTTTATGCCTTTAGTTTTATTCTGGGATTTTTTTTTCTGCTTGACTTTTAAGAGATATTCGTATATTAACAAAATTGACCTGTGATCATATATTGCAATTATTTTCATTTTATTTTTCTTTTAATTTTGTTTATTATGCTGCTAGGTGGTGATGAGAGGGTAGTTGGGTTTGGGTTTTGCTTGTTTATTGTTTTATTTTGGCCTTACAGCTGTCGTCTTTCTGGTTTTGGCTTTGGAGGTAATACTTAAGAAGAGTAAAGAATGTTCAAATTTAATTACATGTTAAGAGATAAGGAAAGTGTGGAGAAGGGAAGTACGGTTATGAGGAACCAAACCAAAGGGAATTGTATTTGTAAAACAAATTTTTGATGTTGGAGCTTTTCTAAGAAAAATTCCAAGAATATGTGCTTTATTAACTGACTAATCTCTAATTTACAGTTTTCCCACTTAGTCAAAAAGTAATGTACTATAATCCCCTTCTCCTGCCTTCTAACCTATCTATAATAATTATGATTGATATTTCAATAAATATGGTAATTTGTTTTAATTACCCAAAGCCTTAGAATCTGTAGCTTTAAACACACATAGTACTTTACTTTTAGTGCATATTTTGCTGATGTTCTATCTTAGATTTGCTCTCTTGAGATTTATGATTTTACTTGTTTTGGTTTTTTTGGCAATATTTTATTTTATAGAGACTGTGAAAGGTAATTTCCATTGCTAAGGGAAATGAGTCCTCCTGTCATTTGTTTTCTTCTTAGGTGCCGTAGAAATAAAAAAATATTACCACTTCATCCTTAACAAAATATTAACAAAGTAAATCTAGCAAAATTCAAAAAGGGTAATACACCATGGCCAACTGGATTTTATCTCAGCAATGCAAAGCTGGTTGCATTCAAAAATCAGTCAATAGATTTTACCACATTAGCAGAATTTTTTTAAAGCCATATGGTTATTTCAACAGATTCAGAAAGCTCATTTGACTAAATCCAATGCTATTTCATAATAGAAACTCTCAGAAAACTACAGATGGAGGAAAATATCCAGGCCCAACTAATGCCCTGCTTGTCTTGAAGACTCTGATGGGGGCAGTGAGCAAAATACAAATTTATAGTCCCCCAAAATTAGTATATAGCACATATCTTTATATTTATAAGAGCAGAGAAATATCGTTACTGGCTATCTCAACACCCCTTATAAACAAGCCATTTTGCACCTCATTTATATTAAAGGCCAACTTTATCAATCACTAAATCCTTATGTAATCTGAGTAATACTGGACCTTCCATTTTACCTTATGGTCAGGTTCAGCACATCATCATCAACAAACAAATAAACAAAAACACAACAAATTTTCTCTTCCAAAAGCATTGAAGAGCACCATGGTTTTTAGGTATACTGACAAAGACATTGTACATTTCTGCACACAGTGAAATTTGCTTAAAATTATCTTTAATCATCTTGCCCTCTTCTCAAAGTTTTATCTCAGCACTTCAAACTCTCTGCTCCAAAACTACAAATCTAAGTGGACTCTCACCTCCATCTCATCTTAGGTACAACCACTTCCTAGTCTTCTAAAAGCAAGCACTCCTGACCAGCAATGATGCCAATGGACAGCAGACTCCTTAAATGCATAGCCCAGTTCTTATCTCAGTGGTGCAGCTCCCCAGAATTCAGGCTTTATGTATTTTACCAACCTTTGTACCGTCTATGCACCACTTCTTTTATTATCATGGGTTCCTAGTGCTTTAATATCTCATAGGGCAGGCTCTTTCTCATTATTCTTTTCAACATATTTTCTTGGTCATTCTTGCTCCCAAAAAACTTCCAAATCATTCTTTTTTTTCCAACCTTTCCCACGCCTGTTGTTTTAAATTAAGATTGTAATTGGCATTGCATTAAACATATAGATTATCTGGAAAAACCTCTTTCTTTTCACAAAATAATCTTCCTTTCTAGAAACATAATGCACACATGTTTCATACATGTATTAGTCATTCATACATGATTCATACATGTTTTATTTTGCATACATTGGCAAAATTTTATCTTTTTCTTCATATAGGGCCTTATGCATTGTGATAGCTTTATTTCTAGGTGTTTATTCATTTGTCCCAGTTGTAACTGTTTACATTTTAAACTGGTTATTACTGGTATATAAGAAAGCTACAGATTTTAAGCATAATTTTGTAAATCAGTTGAATTGATTAAACATTATATACAAGTTCTAATAGTTAGAACTTCAGTTAGTTCTTTTGGATTTTCAGGTATACAATCTTATCATCGGCAAAGAGAGATGATCTCATTTTCATTTTCTTATTATATTAGCTAGAACTTATATAATAACACTACATAAAAGAAGTCACTATGGGGACAGGCGTGGTGGCTCATGCCTGTAATCCCAGCACTTTGGGAGGCTGAAGTGAGTGGATTACTTGGGGTCAGGAGTTTGAGACCAGCCTGGCCAACAGAGTGAAACCCTGTCTGTACTAAAAATACAAAAATTAGCCAGGCGTGCTGACACATGCCTGTAATCCCAGCTAATGGGGAGGCTGAGGCAGGAGAATTGCTTGAACCCGGGAGGTGGAGGTTGCAGTGAGCCAAGATCATGCCATTGCACTCCAGCCTGGGTGAAAAAGCGAGACTCTGTCTCAAAAAAAAAAAAAAAAAAAAAGAAGTTACTATGGGTATTTTTGCCATGTTCTTGACCTTAAAGGACTTTTTAATGTTTCACATTCAGTCTAATGCCTGGTATTGGTTATTTTCACTGTTTAGAAAGTATCCTCTTTCTGTTTGCTGATAATTATTATGAAGAATGGGTGTTGATTTCCATCAAATGCTTTTTTGGCACCTATCAAATGTGTTTCTTATGTCCTCTGATGTACATATATGATTAAATATTATTCTATCTTGAAATAAACAAACTAGAGAAGCCTGAACATAGGGGATCTGTGCTACACCATCTATGCTGATGAAGCATTTGTCATTATTTGTTTTTAGACAGAGTCTCGCTCTGTCGTCCAGGCTGGAGTGCAGTGGTGCATAATCTTGGCTCACTGCAACCTCTGCCTCCTGGATTCAAGTGATTCTCCTGTCTCAGCCTCCCAAGTAGCTGGGATTACAGGCACGTGCCAGCACGCCCGGCTAATTTTTGTATTTTTGTAGAGATGGGGTTTTACCATGTTGGCCAGGCTGGTCTCAAGCTCGTGACCTCAAGAGATCCACCTGCCTCAGCCTCCCAAAGTGCTAGGATTACAGGTGTGAGCCACTGCACCTGGCCTGTTATGACTTTTTAAATGTATTTTTCACTGCCATCATTAAGTCATCAATAAAATAGAGATTATGGGTAGAAAGAGCATTATTGCTTGTATGTACTGATAATTTAGTCATTCCAACACATACTAAGCGTCTATTGGATGTAAAGCAGAGAGCTGCCAGATACAATACTAATGTTACAGAGTCCTTTGGGTTTGTTTGTTTGTTTGTTTTTTGAGACAGGGTCTCGCTCTGTCACCCAGGCTAGAGTGCAGTTGTGCGATCATGGCTCACTGTATCCTTGACCTCCTGGGCAGCCTCAAGCAATCTTCCCACCTTAGCCTCCTGAGTAGCTAGGACCATAGACAGATGCCACCACACCTGGCAACTTTTTAAGATTTTTTTTTGTAGAGACAGGGTCTCACTATGTTGCCCAGGCTGGTCTTGAACTCCTGGGCTCAAGTGATCCTCCCGCCTCATCCTCCCGAAGTGCTGGGATTAGAGGTGTGAGCCATCATGTCTGGCCTGGTGTACCTTTTATTAAAATTTTGACATTCTTGAAAGTCTGAGAAATGCCTTAGTCAATGAAATTGGATATGATAGAAGCCAATGGACCTGATTCCCCAGATTCTAGCAAAATGGCTGGCAAATGGTAGTTGCTCAATAAACTTTAATGAATGATGGAGGCAATGTGGATGCTGAGAACCACAGAGGCAAGCCATATCTGAGTCCTTAGGCGACAGTCAAGTGTCAAGCACCAGGGTGAGTGAATCTAATTACCATGTGCAGAAAATGGAAATTAAGGTCATGGGCCAGTACTTCAGAGCATTATGTAGACAAGCTCAAAGTGAAAGCAGTCTGGGAGACTTGAGAACTGAGACTCAGAGAGCACCACTCATCACACCCCAAGGGGCTTCCTTAACTAGGGTTTTCATATTCCTTGGCTAAGTTACAGGATGAACTTTCAGAAATTTTCAATATGAGCTGTCCAGAAACTTTGTTTGGTGGTACAGAAATGAGCCTAACTTTGAAGATCTGTAGACCCTGTAGCCAATCCAGACTACTTACTTTTCCATGGGATCATAAACTACGTTTCTGAGTTACATATTATACAGAGTAGGCTTAAACATAAGGGGAGTTTATCTCTTGCTCACGTAAATAGGCTCAAATGATTCCAACTTGTTGAGGAATTTGGAGGTGGAATGGGGACAGTGTTGTTACATATTGTCATTCAGCAAACCAGCTCACAGAGGTTGTGTCATCTTTAACATGTGGTTTCTGAGGTGCCCATAGATGTTTCCCTAGCCCAGGGAACAAGAAAGAGCAGGTGAATTTTCCATGGGGGGATTTTTATAGACTAGGTCTGGGAGTAAAGTGCATTCCTTTCACTTGTGTTTCATTGGCTAAAATATAAGCACACGACCACATCTAACTGAAAGGGATACTAGGAAATGAAGTCTATCGTGTGCCTAGGAAGGCAAAACCATGTCATGACAAGATGATAAATAGTTTTTGCCACAGGTCACACCAACTTTTCAGGTCCACTAAAGAGTTTTGTTATAGATTCCTTCTCAACAAAGCCTTATGTGCTCCTAATTTTAACTCACATACACACTGCAGTAATCTTAGCTCTGCCCTTGTAGGAACTATCAGACACTACTGTTTCTGACCATGGAATTACCTTTGTCTTTGTGAGATTTAAGCAGTTTGTGGACATGAATCTCATCTGTGAAGTCCTCATCATGCCTCATTCCTGGCAAAGTAAAGATGTCATCACCATCTCTTGCCACCCAGTCCATCACTGTGTTCAGCATGAAACGTGAGGCCCTCAGCATAGGGGTTAAGAGCATGAACAACTGAATCAGATATAGCTGAGTTTGGGTCCTAAGTCCACTAATCCATCACATGATCATGAAAAAGTTTCTTAACTAGTCTTGTCTCACATTCCTTCAACCCTAAATCAGGCATAGTAATAGTATCTACCTATAGGGTTGTGTGAGAGGGTTAAACAAAGTAATGCACACTTAGCACTGTACCTAACATTTCTTAAGCACTGAAGTACTAACAAGCTGGTTAATGATCAGCTAATAATGGTATTAATAACTATCAAGCTGGTAATAGTAGGTGTAAAATCTGGTCTTTCAGTATGATTAATTTATATTTGTTTAATATAAACAGAAATATATCTGGAATGAGCCAGGCGTGGTGGCTCATGCCTGCAATCCTAGCACTTTGGGAAGCTCAGGTGCGTGGATCACCTAAGGTCAGGAGTTCAAGACCAGCTTGGCCAACATGGTGAAACCCCGTCTCTGCTAAAAATAGAAAAGTTAGCTGGGTGTGGTGGCACGTGCCTGTAATCCCAGCTACTCAGGAGGCTGAGGCAGGAGAATTGCTTGAGCCCGGGAGGAGGAGGTTGCAGTGAGCCAAGATTGCACCACTGCACTCCAGACTGGGTGACAAAGCGAAAACTTGTCTCAAAAAAAAAAAAATATATATATATATATATAATATAAATATATATATTATATAAAATATACATATATATATATCTAGATGTTGTTTTGACTATATTTACCCTCCACACATCTATTATCAAAGTATCAAAGGAGCTGAAACTGGGGGGTCTTCCAGCCATTATGACTTAGTTGATGGGGTCTCTGTCATGCACTACGCTGTCAAGAAAGAAGATGTGGCAGTTTATCAGCCATGTGATCTACCTGGCATTGGTGAGCATGTCAGACCAGGCTGATATCTTCTGAAATGTTTTTCATGGTGAAGAAGGAAATAGTTCTTCTCTGGTCAGCATAACTGCTGAAAAGATAGTCACTTCTTTTTCTGGACAGTTTATTTAGGAATTTAAACCATGGCTTACTCCAAAAGGGGATATGAAATTGCTTACATGTAAACATATAGTTCAAGATAAAAGGAGTAAGTGAAGAAATTGTGGGAAAGGGAAAATTAGAGTAGGACAAATAAGATAAAAATCAGGGATAGCATTATTACACAAAATGCATATCAAAAAGTCCAGTACAAGTTGTAAAATATAGGCTAGAATTGACCGAGCTGCCTAGTATCACAAGTGAAAGAATGAAACCTATTCATGAAAGTTGTTCATGAAAATTATAACTATTCCTGATACTGAGTTTTGAGAAAAATGTCTCCATTGAATAACCATAAAGAGCATATTTGGCCATATAACATGTCAGCTAGGCTCTCTGCAACATATATACAGTAAAACTAAGTCCTCCTTGTAGACAGCTAAGGGAAGTACTTAATATTTTTACACCCATTGGTTTGAATACAAAAAGAACTGAAAATGTCTCCCCTTCTGGATTAGCAAGTTCTAGTAGATAAGGGAGGACAGATGTCATGAATGTCCAGATCATGTAGCTCAAAATCCACGTGATGATTTTCAGTTCCTTTGAATTCCTATAGTCAAATGCCTGATGTCTCAGGGAGGGCTTAGATAAGAATTTCTTTGTGAAAAAATGACTTTCACATTGACCTGTATAAATCCTTGCTGGCTACTTCTTCCTACCCAACATAAACTGTCCTTTTTATCACTCTGCATTATAATTCATGAACAATATTTTATTGTAATGGTTTGAACTACACAGTTTATTTGCTACCCACACACCTATTTTCTCCTCTTTCTGTTAAGACTGGTTGGGGGTGTGTTTTCAAATAAGTAGACTGAGCACTAAGGTAGCTCAGAGGAAAAGAGTTAATAGGGACAAAAGAGATGAGGCAGCACACATTTTATGGTATCTTATTTTTGTCCTGGTGCTCTTGTAGACACAGAAGTGGAGCAAATGTACCCTTTATGGCATACAGTCAGCTGTGCAAAGGCTGTCGTGTATTTGGAATTCGTTTTGGAAGCAGGACAGAGGTGTGTTTTTCATTATGCCACATTGGATTTTCGCATTCGAGAGTGTAATTACCAAACCCAGCCCTCAAACCACTGCAAAAACATCACATGCTTCTTACACACATTTTTGTCCCTTCAAAATGGCACTCAAGTGCCCACCAAGAGCCCTGCCCACAGTAGGGTTAGTTTAAAATTCTTTTTAAACACAGTTGTAACATGGCTCTCGTCCACAAGACAAGTATTATCAGCACTGAAATCATAGAATTATTCTTACATTAGAGATCACTAGGTACCTTTAATGTGTAATGACTATTAGATTCAGACCCTGAGTCAGACTGCCCCTGTTATAAAACCCTCTCCAGGAGTCCAGCTCTCAGCAACACTCCAGTATCTCTTTCAGACCTAAAATCAATGTTGTGCTACAAATCTGAAGTTCAAAAGGTCAATTCAGTGTGGAGTTTAACTTCTTTTTTATTTAAAGTTTAGGAACTGTGCTAAGAAGACACAAAGACAGAAAGGCATAGACATTTTATGCTTCTTTGCCTTACAGCCTATTCAAAGTCAGTGAGAAATTCAAAGAGTTGGGCTCTCTCACATTCTCCCTTCCTTGCTGCAAACCTGTGATTCCTCCTCTCACTGCCCGAGGGCTGGTGGACAGAAGTGACAGAGGCTCTCTTAGATCATGAAGGCTTGGCAGAAGCAGTTTCATATTGAGTTGTATTCTAGCAGCTTAAAAGATTTAATACAGCTTTTTGAAAACCCTTGGTAAAGAGGAGCTGCCATGGGGTAAAGGAAGTCACTTATTACCTAGCATCATGTGGCACATACACCACTGATATAATGCAAGCTGATTTTAGGTGATACGTTAACAGACATTTATTCTTGTCATAGTGAAGTGTTTATAATGATAACTTCCCTTTGAATAACATTGACTATGCACTACACATTGTTCTAAGTGCTTACGTATACTAACTCATTTAATCTTCCTAACAACTCTAGGAAGAGGGTAGGTAGTATTATTATCCCCATCATTATTAAAGCACAGAAAGATCGAATGATTTGTCCCTGGTGGTTTAGCAAGCTATAGGTGAAGCCTGGATTTGAAGCTATCCAGTTTAGCTCCAGTGTCTATGCCCTTTAACCCCTCTTCAGCCCTTCTCAACTAGGGTTCTCTGAGAATCAAACCCTTCCCAAATCTCATCTTGAATTGTAGCTCCCATAATTACCACGTGTTGTGGGAGAGACCTGGTGGGAGATAATTGAATCATGTGGGCAGTTTCCCCCGTACTGTTCTCGTGGTAGTGAATAAGTCCCACAGATCTGATGGTTTTATAAGGGGTTTCCCCTTTCACTTGGCTCTCATTCTCTCGTGTGCCACCATGTAAGACAAGACGTGCCTTTACTTCTTTGCCTTCTCCCATGATTGTGAGGCCTCCCCAGCCATGTGGAACTGTGAGTCCATTAAACATCTTTTCCTTATAAATTACCCAGTGTCAGGTATGTCTTTATTAGCAGCATAAGAACAGACTAATATAGTCATACTTTATATGGATTGGAAATTCAGGAGCGGCTTAGCTAGTTGTTCTAGCTCAGGAATAGCCATAAGTTGCAGTCAAAATATTGGCAGAGGCTGCAGTCATCATAAGCTTCACTGGGGCTGAGAACCTGCTTCCAAGATGGTTCAGCCACATGGCTGTTGAGAGGAGCCCTCAGTTCCGCTTGATGTGGACTTCACTGTAAGGCTACTTGAATGTTCTTATGATATGTCGGCTAGTTTCCCCAGAGTTTGTAATCTAAAAGAGGTGACAAAGAGGAAGTCACAGTCCCCTTTATGACCTAGTCTTAGAGGTCACACACTGTTGCTTGCCATATTCTACTCATTACAAGTGAGTTGCTAAGCATAGGCCACACAGGGTGGGATAATTTCTCTAGACCTTTAGAAGGGAGCTATATAATAAATGTGTGAACATTTTAAAACTACTATACCACTCTAGCACATCAAATCTATGATTTCATGGGCATTACTTCCTAGGTAACACTGAGGTAGGCATTACTATTAGGTCTAAATTGATTTAAAGAAAAATGTTAAGTCAATAATGAATGATACAGATAATGTGCTAATATGGCAAAAATTGCAAAGATGGTATATTCCCTTGTCCAGAACTTAGGATTACTGCCCTAGAGGACTTTCCATTTTCAGTGCACTGTGGGAGGAGCTGACGGGTATCTAAAGAGGCCAAACCAAAGAGACTTAAGAGTTTGGAAGCACCAGGCAGAGCTAAAGGAGCACATATTAAGTGTTAACTGGAAAAGAGGGGATGAAGGATCATGCTTTTTTAAAAGCCACTATTATTTCTTTTAATAACAGATTGATTAAGATATCACTCACATACCATAAAGTTTACCTTTTTTTTTTTTTTTGAGTCAGAGTCTCACTCTGTCACCCAGGCTGGGGTGCAGTGGTGCAATCTCGGCTCACTGCAACCTCCGCCTCCCGGGTTCAAGCCATTCTTGAGCCTCAGCCTCCCGAGTAGCTGGGATGACAGGTGCCTTCCATCACACCCAGCTAATTTTTGTACTTTTAGTAGAGATAGAGTTTCACCATGTTGGCCAGGCTGGTCTCAAACTCCTGACCTTGAGTAAACCACCTGCCTCAGCCTCCCAGAGTGCTAGGATTACAGGTGTGAGCCACCATGCCTGGCCAAATGTACCCTTCTATAAAGTATACAATTCAGTGGTCTATCATGTTTTCACAAAGTTGTACAATCATTATCACTCTAATTTCAGAATTTTTTTTTATTACTCCACTCTAGAAAAATCTCCATACACATTAGCAGTCACTCCCCATTTCTCATTCCTTCCAGTCCTTGGAAACCACCAATTGACTTTCTTTCTGTATAGATTTGCCTATTTTGGACATTTCATATAAGTGGAATCACACAATGTGTGGCATTTTGTGTCTGACTTCTTTGATCCAGCAGAGTGTTATTAAGGTTCATTCATGTTGTGGCACCTATTCATACTTCATTGCTGTTTATGACTGACTAGTATTCCATTTTATGAATATAATATATTTTGTTTAATCATTTGTCAATTGATTGACATTGGGTTGTTTCCACTTATTTGCCTATTAGGACAAATATTACTATGAGCATTTGTATACAAATTTTTATGTAAATATATGTCTTCAATTATCTTGGGTACATACCTAAGAGTAGAATTGCTGAGTCATGTTAAAACTCTATGTTTATCTTTTTGAGGAACTGCTGTATTGTTTTCCAAACTGGCTGTATGATTTTCATTCCCCCTACAGTGTATGAAGGTTCTGATTTCTCCACATACTTGGCATTATTTGTCTTTTTGATAATAGCCATTCCAGTGGGTTTGAAGTAGTATTTCATTGTGATTTTGATGTGCATTTCCCTAATTAATGATATTGAACAATTTTTTCATATGCTTTTGGCCATTTGTATATCTTCTTTGAAGACCTATTAAAATTCTTACCAATTTTTAATTAGATTTATTTTTGTTGTTGACTTGATTCCCTCGTAGATTCTGGGTACTAGTCCTTTATCAGATATAAGTTTAAAAAATATTTTCTCCCATTCTATGGGAGAAAGTTTTGAATCCACTTTGAGTTAATTTTTGTATGTGGGGGTGAGAAAGGGGTCTAACTCATTCTTTTACATGTGAATATTAGTTACCCTAGCACCATTTGTTGAAAAAACTATTTCTCCCCATTGAGTTGTCTTGGCACCCCTGTAAACAATGCTTCATCCTAAATAATTGCTTTTCTTTCCCTGCCCAGTTTCGTAACTCCAGCAACCAGGCTTCTCACCCCTAAACAGAAATTTTTGTTACCCCCAACAGTTTCTTCTTCGCAAAAACTGAACTTTTCAGAGTAACCGATGAAGACTGTCAACTTGCCCAGAGGCAATTTGATTGTACCCCAATGAAGATAACCAATTTCTAAGCCCTATCTGGACATTTAAGTTTTTATTCATTTTTTAAAAATTTTTATTTTTATTGACAAATAATAATGATATATATTTATGGGATACAATACAGGTATACATTGTAGACTGAGAAAATTAGGCTAATTAATGTATCCATCACCTCACATTCTTCAGCTTTTTTAGTGTCTCTTCATATGAACAGATAGGTAAATATTGCAGTACATTGACGAAAGACAGAAACCATGCACAAAACAAAAGATATCTTGGAAGAAACAGGCAGTGAGGTGAGAAGACCAAAACAATCATATAATTACCATAATACTAGTAAAAAAAAAAAGAGAAGATATCGTGTCCATGAGAAAGGAGTACAAAGCTATTAGGAAGAAATAATTTTAAAATAATAAAGATACACTAACACTGAGCATATCCAAACCAAAACTAAAAACACAATGCCATTTATAATTGTTTCAAGAAAATAAAATAATTAGGTAGAAATCTAATAAAACATACATAGGATTTATATCCTGAAAAGTACATAAGGCTGGTGAAAGAAATCAAAGAGGATATGCATTAATGGAGGACACACATACTATGTTCATGAATTAGAAGACTTAACAGTACAGATGTCAACTATCTCGAAATTGATCTATACATTTAATAAAATTTCTATCAATATCCCATCAACGTTTTGTGTAGACTAGACAAGCTTATTCTTAAATGTATATGGAAAGGCTCAGGACCTAGAATAGCTAAAATGATTTTTAAGAAGAATAATAAAGTGGAAAGAATCACCTTATCTAGTGTTAAAGCTTATTATATAGCTATGATAATCAAGACAGCATGGGCCTGGCGTGGTGGCTCACACCTGTAATCCCAGCACTTTGGGAGGCTGAGGCGGGCAGATCACCTGAGGTCAGGAGCTCGAGACCAGCTTGGCCAACACAGTGAAACCCCGTTTCTACCAAAAATACAAAAAATTAGCCAGACATGGTGGCACGTACCTGTAATCCCAGCTACTCAGGATGCTGAGGCAGGAGAATTGCTTGAACCCGGGAGGGGGAGGTTGCAGCGAGCTGAGATCACACCATTGCACTCCAGCTTGGGCAACAAGAGCGAAACTCCATCTCAAAAAAAAAAAAAAGAAAAAAAAAAAGACAGCATGGTATTGTAGGGGGGGTAGACACATAGATTAATGGAACAAAAATAGGGAATCCCAAAATATACCCATACTAATGTGCCCAACTGGTTTCTGACAAAGGTACAAAAGTAACTGAATGTAAGAAGGATAGCTTTTCAAAATCCTTGGTACCAGAGCAATTGAACATCCACATGCGAAAAAAGAAAACAGGCATAGTGGCTCATGTCTTCACGTCTATAATTCCCACACTTTGGGAGGTCAAGGCAGAAGGATTGACTAAGGTCAGGAATTCAAGACCAGCCTGGTCAACATAGCAGGGCTCCATCTCTACAAAACGTTTTAAAAAAGAGTGGGAATACACATGATACCATTTAGGAAAGGAGTTTGTCAGTTTCTTATAAGCAATCCCTTGCCACAGGATCCAATAATCTCACTCCAACGTGTTTATGCAAGAGAAACGGGAATTTATGTTCTCACAAAAGCCCATATATGAGCTTTATTTGTAATTATCAAAACTGTAAAGAACCCAAATGTTCTTCAACCGGTGAATGGATACACAAACTGTAGTACATTTATATAATGGAATACTACTCAGCCACTAAAAGCAATAAACTGTTAATATGTGTTAATCTCTTTGTTTTATTTTTGTTAATTTAGTCATTCTGGTAGGTGTGTTCTGGCATCTCATGGTGTTCATTTACATTTCCCTAATGACTGATGGTGATGAACATCTTTTCATTTGCTTATTTGCCATTTATATGTCTTCTTTGAAGGTCTTTTCAAATATTTTGCCCGTTTTTTTAACTGAGTTGTTTATTTATAGTTGAGTTTTAAGAGTTCTTTATATATTCTCTATCAGATGTGATTTGCGAATACATCCTCCCAGTATGGGTGTTGTATTTTTATTCTCTTGTATATAGTGTGAAGTAAGGTTCTAAGTTTTTGTTTGTTTTACATGTGGATATTCAATTGTCTCTGCACTATGTGTTGAAAAAACTGCCCTTTCCCCACTGCATTGTTTTGATACTTCTGTTGAAAATCAACTGATCATAAATGTAAGCTTTTATTTTTGTATATTTTTCGTTCTGTCCCATTGATTTAATATGTTTATCTTTTTGCACTGTCTTAAATATTTATAGTAAGTTTTGAAATCAGATAATGGAAGTCCTCCAACTTCATTCATTTTCAAAATGACTTCGGTTACTTTAAGTCCTTCATATGGCCATATAAATTAGAGGATTCACTTGTTAGTTTCTACAACAGAGAGCTGGTCATGGTGGTGTGCACCTGTGGTCCCAGCTACTTGGGAGGCTGAGGTGAGAGGATCGCTTGAGCTCAGGGGGCAGAGGTTGCAGTGAGCCTAGATCCTACCACTGCACTCCAGCCTGGGTGACAGAATGAGACCCTGTCTTAAAAAAAAAAAAAAATTCTACAAAAGTAAGCCTGCTGATTTTTACAGAAATTATGTTGAATCTATTCATCAGTTTGGGAAAAACTGCCACCTTAACAGTATTTTGTGAACATGGAACATCTCTACAATTTAAATCTTTAATTTCTATCAGAAAAGTTTTGTCATTTTCAGTGTACAGGTATTGTACTTTGTTAAATTTATTACTAAGTATTGAATTTTTAAAAATTCTATTCTGAATGGAATTCTGTTCTTACTTTTATTTTCACATTGTTTATTACCAGCATATAGAAATACAGTTGATTGGCCGGGCGCAGTGGCTCACACCTGTAATCCCAGCACTTTGGGAGGCCAAGGCAGGTGGATCACGAGATCAAGAGTTCAAGAGTAGGGCCGGGAGCGGTGCCTTACACCTGTAATCCCAGCACTTTGGGAGGCCGAGGCTGGTGAATCACATGAGGTCGGGAGTTTGAGACCAGCCTGACCAACATTGTGAAACCCCATCTCTACTAAAAATACAAACAAATTAGCCGGGCGTGGTGGTGCATGCCTGTCATCCCAGCTACTCAGGAGGCTGAGGCAGGAGAATCATTTGAACCTGGGAGGCAGAGGTTGCAGTGAGCCGAGATCGCGCCGTTGCACTCTAGCCTGGGCAACAAGAGCAAAACTTCGTTCAAAAAAAAAGAAAAGAAAGAAAAGAAAAGAAAAAAAAATGAAACTCCGTCTCAGAAAAAAAAAAAAAAGAAAAGAGTTCAAGACCAGTCTGGCCAAGATGGTGAAACCAAGCTGGTGAAATTCCGTCTCTACTAAATCTAAAAAAATTAGCCAGGTGCAGTGGCAGGCGCCTGTAATCCCAGCTACTCAGGAGGCTGAGTCAGCAGAATCACTTGAACCTGGGTGGCAGAGATTGCAGTGAGCCAAGATTGTGCCACTGCACTTCAGCCCAGGTGACAGAGTAAGACTCTATCTCAAAAAAAAAAAAAAAAAGGAAAGAAAAGAAATACAGTTGAGATGGAGTCTTGCACTGTCACCTGGGCTAGAGTGCAATGGCACAATCTCAGCTCACTGCAACCTCCACCTCCCAGGTTCAAGTAATTCTCCTGCCTCAGCCTCCAGAGTAGCTGGGATTACAGGCACCAGCCACCGTGTTCAGCTAATTTTTTGTATTTTTAGTAGAGACAGGGTTTCACTATGTTGGTCAGGCTGGTCTTGAACTCCTAATCTCGTGATCCGCCCCCCTCGGCCTCCCAAAGTGTTGGGATTACAGGTGTGAGCCACTGTGCCCAGCCTACAGTTGATTTTTAATATTAATCTTGTATACAGTGAACTTGCTAATCTTGGTTATTATTTCTAATAGTATTTTTTGTAGATTCCCTAGGATTTTCTACACAAAGGATCACATTGTAAATAAAGACAGATTTGCTTCTTTTTTTCCAATCTATATTCCTTTATCTTCTTTTTCTTACCTTATTACACTGGTTAGACCCTCCAATACAATGTTGAATTAAAACTGTGAGATTGGAAATCCCTACCTTTTTTTTTGCAGTCGGGGAAAGCATTCAGCCTTTCACCACTTGATATAATGTTAACTATAGGTCTTTCATAGATGCCTTTTATCTGGTTGAGGAAGTTTTGTTCCATTCCTTGTTTGTCTATAATTAAGAGATACCATCTGGCCAGTCATGGTGGCTCAAACCTGTAATCCCAGCACTTTGGGAGGCCAAGGCTGGAGGACCACTTGAGCCCAGGAGTTGGAGACCAGCCTGGGCAACGTAGTGAGATTCTGTCTCTACAAAAAATAAAAAGAAATAGTTGGGAATAGTGGTGCATGCCTGTAGTCCCAGAAATTCAGGAGGCTGAGGTGGGAGAACCTCTTGGAGCCAAGGAGGTTGAGGTTGTAGTGAGCTATGATTGTGTCACTGCACTCCAGCCTGGGTGACACAGTGGGACCCTGTCACATGCACACACACAAATAATGGCCATTCTATCTATTGTGAGAAGCCTTCACTCTCTCCTGGACCCAGAAGCTTTTTTTCTGCTTGCTGTTATTTCCCCAGTGCCTCATGGGAATTCAACCTGAAGTACAAAATCCAAAGAATCCATCAAGGCATTTTTATTCTCTACATTGTAGATGACATGGGCTTCTAAAGCAAGTACAGTGTGTTCTTCTACAGCTGGTTTCTAATAAGAATTAGTTCCTAAGTTGTTGGTAATTGGGATAAGAATATCAATATCAAGCAAAAGCTGTGCTCACTTAAATGCGATTTTTTTTTTTTTAGACAGAGTCTCACTCTGTTGCCCAGGCTGGAGTGCAATGGCACAATCTCGGCTTACTGCAACCTCCGCCTCCCAGGTTCAAGCGATTCTCCTGCCTCAGCCTCCCGAGTAGCTGGGATTACAAACACCCACCACCGCGCCAGGCAAATTTTTGTATTTTTAGTAGAGACAGGGTTTCGTCATGTTGGCAAGGCTGGTTTTGGACTCCTGACCTCAGGTGATCCGCCCGCCTTGGCCTCTGAAAGTGCTGGGATTACGGGCGTGAGCCACTGCGCCCAGTCTTAATGTGATTTTTCCTAGCATTTTAACATGTTGTGTCAGCAAGTAACAACAACTAAAGGCAAAACACCTAAAACAGCTGAACACCAAAAGCCATGAGTGTGAATAGAATCCACAGTTGCCCCACAGTCTTCTCCTTGGCTCAGTTTACCTTATTCACTGCTTCTCCCCAATGTGTATTTTTTTTCCCCCATAGTTCAGCAACATCAATTCTTCCTTTTAGCCCTGCTTAATTTATCTATTGCTGCATAACAAGCCACCCTCAAACTTAGTGGTTTAAAAGAACACGTTTAATTTACCCATGTATTGGCTTGTTGGGAGCATCTCCTCTCTGCTTCACAGCATTTGGGGCCTCAGCTTGGATGACTCCAGTGGATGAGAACTGGAACATCTGGGGGCTGGCTAGGTTTCTCTTTTCTCTTCTCTTTTCTCGCTCCTGTCTTCCCCTCCCATCCCCCATCTCCATACCTCTAATTCTCTCCTGCTTTCTACCCTCCATGTAGATAGCTCAGGCTTCCTCACAATATGTTGATCTCAGGGTGATTGAACTTCTTTTACATAGCAGCTGGCTTCTCCCAAGCCAGCATTCTCAGAGTCCATGGTGGAAGCTCCAAACCTTCTTATGATCTAATCTCTAGAAGTCCTAGAATATCACTTTTGCTGCATTCTATTCAAGTAAGTTACAAAGATCAGCTCAGATTAGAAGAAAAGGGTACTAGATTCTACCTCTCAATGCCAAGAATAACGAAGAATTTGTAGCCATCCATTATCCATCTAAAGCCCCTTTCATCAAACAATGTTGCCTTTTTGAAAAAGTTTGTTAAGCAGGGTGTGGTGGCTCACGCCTGTAATCCCAACATTTTGAGAGGCCAAGGCAGGCGGATTGCTTGAGGTCAGGAGTTCGAAACCAGCCTGGCCAACATGGTAAAACCCCATCTCTACTAAAAATACAAAAATTAGCTGGGCCTGGTGGCTCGTGCCTGTAGTTCCAGTTACTCGGGAGTCTGAGGCAGGAGAATCGCTTGAACCCAGGAGGCAGAAGTTGCAGTGAGCCAAGATCACCCCACTGCACTCGAGCTTGGCTGACAAAGCGAGACTCCATCTCAAAAAAGAAATATAAATAAAGTTTGTTTACTTAAGAATCACACAATCTATAAAATTGGAAAAGAGACTTTATTTCTTACAAAAGGTTACAATCTGAAAAGTGGTCATTCCAACAGGTTGAGAAAGTGTAGCCTCCAGCTGAAGCCAAAAGGCAGGCACTTTGAGGGAGACAGGGATGACAGTAATTTAAGCGAACGGATTGGCCAAACATACACATTCAATAGGTTACCAGGGAGCTATGAATATTGATGAGGGTGGTCCTGACACATGCATATTGAACAAACATGCATGTTGCATATGACCCATGTTCACCTTGAGGTGGAGACTTAGCATTTATTTAATTTAATTAATTAATTAATTTATTTATTTGAGACAGAGTCTTGCTCTGTCACCCAGGTTGAAGTGCATTGGAGCAATCTTGGCTCACTGCAACCTCCACCTCCTGGGTTCAAGCAACCTCCACCTCTGGGTTCAAGCAGTTCTCCTGCCTCAGCCTCCTGAGCAGCTGGGACTGCAGGTGTGAGCCACCATACCCAGCTAATTTTTGTATTTTTAGTAGAGATGGGGTTTCACTGTGTTGGCCAGGCTGGTCTCGAACTCCTGACCTCAGGTGATCCACCTGCCTCGGCCTCCCAAAGTGCTGGGATTACAGGTGTGAACCACTGTGCCCAGCTGAGTCTTAGCATTTAAATGTGTTACAATTAGGTCCTATAAATCAAAAGGCCTTTTCAGGACATAAAAGCGTTCAAGTGTACAGCCTCCGTAAACCAGCCAGAACCAGTCTATGGTTGGTGGTCTTCCTATCAGGAGAAAGTTACTGAAATTTGTCTCTTGTCCAATCAAAGCTATAGTTATGGCTTGAGGAGCAGAGGGGTGGGGTCAGCATCTGGTGGTGGATGAGGGGCAAATTGTTTTCATATTACTTATCTTGAGGCCAGTGCTTGTTTGGCTGCTAAAGAAAGAGAAAAAACTTTGTGTCAGTTAAAACACAAGTTTATTCTTTACGTGCAGAGTGGTTGACTTCACCCTTGCCTGGCATGGCCTTAGGTCCTGTTTAGAATTTGGCATTTGGCCAGGAATGATGGCTCATGCCTGTAATCCCAGCGGTTTGGGAGGCTGAGGTGGGGGATTGCAGGAGCCCGGGAGTTTGAGATCAGCCTGGGCAACGTGGTAAAACCCTGTCTCTACAAAAAATTTTAAAATCAGCTGGGCATGGTGGTGCATTCCTGTAGTCTCAGCTACTTGGGAGGCTGAGACAGGAGGATCACTTGAGCCCAGGAGATGGAGGTTGTAGTGACTGAAGATCACACCATTGCACTCTAGCCTGGGTGACAGAGCGAGACCCTGTCTCAAAAATAAAAACAAAAAATAATAATTTGGTATCTTATTGCCACAAAGAGCCCATTTTGTCACTCTTATAACCTCTGGTTTAACAATAATGCTGGTCGGTTGTGTCTAAACCACAAAAGGGAAGGGTTATAATAAGGTGTGTCTGACCTCCCATTCATCATGGCTTGGAATTCAGTTTTTAAGGTTTCTGTGGAGTCCTCTTGGCCAATAGGTGGTCCATTTAGTGAGTTTCGGGGCGTCAGATTTCATTTTTAGTTTATAAGTTTAAATACTGTATTAATTATAATACTTTTATTTATTAGTAACTTAGCACATCTTTTTAAATTGTGCTGGTATATTCATCTTAAATTGTGATAGCTGTTAGCAATTTAGCTATTTCTCTAATGATTAAGTTCCACAGATTTTGAGTGGCTTGCTTCAACTATATATTCTCCACAAACTTGTGGTTTGGCGTGCAAGATTTCACAAATCTCATCATTTTCAGGAATATATATGTCATGTATACACCATTTCAGCAGTAACACTTGTAAATACACATGTTTACAGTTCTAGTATCTTCGCTGAGTGTGTTTCAGGCCTCTGCTTACATCCAGCGTTGTTTAAGAAGCCCCAGTCTTTTCTTTTACTCCTTGATCTCGATACAGAAGTAATGGTTATCTCAAATAACACTCATTCATTAAGCAGAAGCTGCCAGAAAGAGGCAGTAATAAAATCAATCTGCTGTGATGAAGATGGAGGTTGACTTCAAGGTAAAATTGAGAAAATTATTCAGATTATTGTTGTTCCTGTTCTTTTTTTAATTTGGCACATTGTTACATGGGTGTCATGAAACATAATTGGATATAAGGTTAGCTGGAGACATGTAAGGCATTTCAGCTGGCATAATGCTGGAGGAGTGCATGTGTGTATATGTATGTGTGTCTGGCTCATCTGTCATTCAGAAGCTCTGCTGATTTTTTTCCATGCCTTCTTGTGTCCTTACTACCCGTTTGTTAAGTACTTTCCAAAACACAGGGACACTGGAAAGAAACCAAACACCATGTATAACTAAAGCTAAGACACTGACTTTTCTTCTGGTCACATTTTCTGTGGACATAAAAACATGTGCCTGCACATGTGTGTACAGGTGTGCCCACACACAGATGCAGCTTAACACTTGGAACTTGAGCCCCACTACTGAGGGGAGGATCCTAGCACCAGATTTCTGACCTAAAATTTTATGTCAACATAAACACATTTATAAAAAAATACAATACTGGAAAAATTAGTAGCACCATTGAAATGAAAGTTATGAAACCTTATAGTCACAGGTCAAATTTCAATAAAAATTTCTCGACAGGCTGCTGTATATGAGGAGGTTGTATGAAAAGAAGTAATTCATTTCCTATCACTCAGTTGCTTGGACCAAAAATCTAAACTATACTCTGGCTTCTCTCTTTTCCAAGCCCTCAGTAACTGCTCTAGAATCTGCTGTCCCAAATAATGTTTAATCCAGACTCTGCTCACCACTTCCCTGCCACCCTCCTAGTCCAAGCCATCATCTCTTCCATGGACAATGGCAGGAGCCTCCTGACTGTTCTCTGTTTTTCTGCCTCCACCCCAGCTCCATACTGTCTATTCTCCACACAGCAGCCAGGATGACCTTCTTAAAAATTAAATCATGGCTGGGAATGGTGGCTCACATCTGTAATCCTAGCGCTTTGGGAGGCTGAGGCAGGTGGATCACTTGAGGTCAGGAGTTCGAGACCAGCCTGGCCAACATGGTGAAACCCTGTCTCTACTAAAAATACAAAAATTAGCTGGGTGTGATGGCTTGCACTTGTAATCCCAGCTACTTGGGAGGCTGAGGTGGGAGAATTGCTTGAACCCAGGAGGTGGAGGTTGTGGTGAGCCGAGATCATGCCATTGCACTCCAGCCCAGGTGATGGAGTGAGACCCTGTCTCAAAAAAAAAAAAAAAAAAAAATCAAATCAGATCATCCAATATCTCTCCAGCATGGCTCACAATAAAATCCAAACTCCTTACCATGCCTTCAGGCCCCTGCCCCTCTCTCCTACTTCATTGTCCACACTCTCCTCCCTGCTCATGCTACTCCAGGCATGCTGACCTGCTCATGTTACTTGGATCAGAACTAGTTCATGTCCAGATCAGGTCCTTTGCACTTGCTGTTTCTTCTGCTTGGATTCCTCCTCCTCCCACAACCCTCAATTTTGTCGTCAGAAATTCACTTGATTCGGGTCTCTACTCAAATGTCACTTCCTCAGAGAGGCCTTCCCTGACCTAAAATGTCATAGCTAGAATAGCAGAGATTCCCAACTCCTCACTTTGTTCCCTTGCCTATTTTTTGTGTGTGTGTTTACAGCCCTTTTCAGTAACCAACATTATGTTATTTATTTATTTATTTTTTAGAGACAGGGTCTTGCTCTGTTACCCAGGCTGGAGTGCAGAGGCATGATCATAGCTCACTGTAATCCCAAACTCCTTGGCTCAAGTGGTTGGAACTACAGGCACGCACTGCCATGCCTGGCTAATTTTTTAAATTATTTTGTAGAAACAGGGCCATGTTGCACTGGCTGGTCTTGAACTCCTGTGCTCAAGCTATTCTCCCACCTTGACTTCCCTAAGTGCTGGGATTACAGGTATGAGCCACCACACTGGCCTATGTATCTTGTTAATTGCTATTACCCTGATGCCAAGAACAGTGCCTGTCACATAGTAAATACTGAATAAAAACTTATGCTGGAAGAGCTCATGATCTATACTGAGAGGCAAGCTTGGAAACTATCATGATCATACAATATGATGTGTATACAAGGCGTTTGAGGAGCACAAGAGGATAGAGTCACTGGTGGAGTGTTTTCAGCTGGGTCTTGAAGGATGAGTAAGAATTTACCAGATAGAGGAGTCTACAGAGGACATTTCAAGCAGAAGAAATAGTGAATGCAAAGGCCCAGATATAAAAATTAAAATTGGGGAAAAGCACGTCATTTTATTGTTCCTGGATAGCGGGATGTGCTCAGCTCAGGCCCAGTAGTGACTTTCCAAGGAATTTGGAAGAGCCATTGGATTTTAATAAGGTAAAATAATCTTCAGTGTTTCAGAAAGATTCTGCTGGCAGCTGTATGGTGGTTAGTTTGAGGCAGAGAGGCTTTGCTGTCCTTCTGGACAGAAAGAAGCGGGAATGGTGAGAAGATAATGGATGGGAGGTGGATTTTGAGAGCAGATTGAGAAGGCTCAGTGACCTATCTGTGAGGGACAACAGAAAGGGAGGCAGAGGCCTGAAGATTTTTAAACTTGTGTGACTTGATGGCATTTATCCTGATACAAATGCAGAAAAAAAAAAAAAGCACACATTGAGACAGTAAGGAAGAGGAACAGTGGTCCTTCACATCTGCCAGTTTCCTTCTTCTCTGTGTCCTTGCGTAGCTGTTTCCTAATTTCTAGCCATTAGTTAAAAAATCACATGGTGCTGGGTTCACACCTGTTCTTCTTCCACCCACTGAGGCTTGGTTAGTAGGCCACACATGTGTGCCTGCTTCTCTCTTCCCTTGGGACTAAACCTCTCCCAGGCGACTCTTTATCCGTCTTGAAACTAGATTCCTAGCAATTCTACCCCATAAGGCGTGCTCAGACTCGCCAAGTCCCAAAAGGAGACAAGACTTAAGATCAAACCTGGACCTACCCCAACCACGTGTATAACGTGATCAGGCTTCTGGTCTGATTTGCATGTAATTTTTAAATTACTCAACTAAATACTTTCCAATTATTTTTAAAAAACTCAGAGAATACAGAAAGACACAAAGTAGACTTGAAAGACTCCTTGAAAAATAAAGGAAAGGCACAAAGTGGCCTTTCAAGTCTACTTGGTATCCTTCTGTATTGTCTTTTTCAAGCCCCCTCCTTGAAAAATTAAAAAATCCACTCTTTCTATCTTTTTGGCCAGGTACAGTGGCTCAAACCTGTAATCCTAGCACTCTGGGAGGCCGAGGCGGATGGATCACCTGAGGTCAGGAGTTCGAGACCAGCCTGGCCAACATGGTGAAACCCCATCTCTTCTAAAAATATAAAAATTAGCTGGGCGTGGTGGTGGGTGCCTATAATCCTAGCTAGTCGGGAGGCTGAGGCAGGAGAATTGCTTGAACCCGGGAGGTGGAGGTTGCAGTGAGCTGAGATTGCACCACTGCACTCCAGCCTGGGGGATAGAGCAAGACTCAGTCTCAAAAAAAAAAAAAAAAAAAAAGAAAAGTATCTTTTTCTTTTTTCGGTCTTTATTCTATGTAGTTACAAATAAATATATTATAAAATATTATATATATTCATATAGAAACAAGATATGGTTTTATAGGTTATCTTTGGGCTCAGGGTATTTTGAAACATTTTTTCCACTTAAAAATCTGTCTTTAGGCTGGGCTAGATGGTTCACAACTGTAATCCCAGCACTTTGGGAGGCTGAGGCAGGCAGATCACTTGAGGTCAGGAGTTTGAGACCAGCCTGGCCAACATGGTGAAACCGTGTCTCTACTAAAAATACAAAAATTAGCCGGGTGTGATGGTGCATGCCTGTAGTCCTAGATTCTCAGGAGGCTGAGGCACAAGGATCGCTTGAACCCAGGAGGCAGAAGTTGCAGTGAGCTGAGATCACGCCACTATACTCCAGCCTAGGCAACAGAGTGAGACTTGGTCTCAAAAAAAAAAAAAGAAAAAAAAATCTGTCTTCAAAGGTTTTCACATTAGTAAATATAAATCCACTTCTTTTCAAACTTCTGAATGCTATTCCATGGCAGAGAGACATGTTTGTCATTTAATCATTCCCCTCCTGACGGATACTTGGGTTGCTTCCAAGTTTTCAAGATTATAAACAGTGCTGCAGTGAATATCCTTGCACACCTTTTTTGGTATACATTTATTGAGACAGATCCCTGAAAGTAGAACTGGTGGACAGGCCTAAAGTTTAATTTTGCTATAAGACGCCAGTTTTCGAGTCTATTTTATTCGGTGCTTCCAGATAACAAGATTTGTAAAATTGTAAAGTAAGTTATTTCTTGACAGGATCCATCCTAAGGCTAACATTAATCCAGAAACAAACCCACCAGTGCCTCTGATAATTATGCTGTATCTCAGAAAGCTAGGAATACTTGGCCACAGGCACAGTTCTTTAAGCTTTTAAAGCTTTTCTGAGCCAGTTGTGGTGGCTCACGCCAGTAACACCAGCATTTTGGGAGGCTGAGGCAGGAGAATCGCTTGAGCCCAGGAGTTGGAGATCAGCCTGGGCAACATAGGGAGACCTCATCTCTACAAAAAATTAAAAAATTAGCCAAGTGTGGTGGTGCCTGCCTGTGGTCCCAACTACTTGGGGAACTGAGGTGGAGGGATCACTTGAGCCTGGAATGTCAAGACTGCAGTGAGCCATAATTGTGTCACTGCATTCCAGCCTGGGTGACAGAGTGAGACCCAGTCTCAAGAAAGAAAGAAAGAGAGAGAGAGAGAGAGAGAGAGAGAGAGAGAGAGAGAGCAAGCTCTTTGGGAAGCTGGGCAACCTAGCAAGACCCCACCTCTCCAAAAAAATTAAAAATTAGCCAGCACACCACTGCACTCCAGCCTGGGTGACAGAGCAAGACCCTGTCTCAAAATAAAAACAAACAAACAAACAAAAAAAGTAAGTAAAGCTTTTCTGGGGCCTGCTAAAAAGTTCGAGATCTGGAAAAATTGTTCCCTTCAATATATAAAACCTAGAGAACGCTAAAGTTAACACAGATTTATTAAATCCCTACAAAATTTATCATTGTGTCAATTTCATTAATATTACATTTAGTATTCATAAATGTTTCATTGTTGGAATTCTCTTTAATTCTTTCCCCAATCTGCTTTCCTCCCTAAGTGAGGGACCAACACCAACCCTCTTGGTTTCTCCTTACTGTATTCAGAGAAAAGATTCACCTAAAAAATAACTTAAGGTCTTTCTTTTTCTCCTCTTTATTTTGGGTGTCTTTCTAAGGAGGATTGCCTTCTGCTCCTCGTTTAGGAAGAAGGCAGCTTTAACCAGGACAACAGTTTGGGGACGGAGCTCCCTTCCCCAGGAGGGGGCAGTATTGAGGAGAGAACTGCATGTGGCCAGTGGCAAAAACTAGGGGAGAAATTCTTTCTTCAGTCTTCTGAGAGAGCCCATGGAAGACAGCGAGAACTTAGAGGGCAACAGACCCAATTCATTTGGTGGGTTGATAGGGCAGGGGCTGTGGGTCACAGGCTCCCTGTTGTGGGGATGAGGCGGCAGGCAATGTAAAGGATCTCCCTCTTGATGCAGCTTTCATTCTGAGTATCAAGCTCTTTTTTAATGTACTTGTTTTCCTCTAGTGCTTAATTCTTAGCAATGACATAGCATCCTGCTACATTTCATCATGAAAGTACTGTATTTCAGCAGCACTTTGGGTTAATCAGTACTGTCAGGATAGGCTGGGAGCCTAATCAACAATAGTGTTTCTATGAAGGATGACAGAATTAGTGAATGTAATCACCTCAAGTGTTTCTTGGCTCTGAATTTAATTCAACAAGCTCGTGTTGAGTACTTACCAAGTATCCTGCTAGACAGAGAAAACCCTGAAAATAGGGACCAGCTATTTATTTATTTATAAAATTTATTTGTTTATAAAATGCATTCAGGGTTTCCAACAATGGACTTACACAGGAACCTTTGGAACACCATCCATCCCTGACTGGGCACTCTTCACACGGGCCATGTATGGGACAACCAGACGTTTCTGTTTTCCAAAGAAGTTTGTGATTCCCTGGGAAATGTCCCAGGCCAGGGAGTTTTTTGTTCAAGGTTTCTCTGTAATAAGTACTGTGTGGGATACTTTATGGATTGACCTGGCTAAATTATGTTGTTTTTTTAAGCTGGTGATTTTGTAGTTTACAAAATGATCCACAGAGTTTGGCAGTTTGCAAGCCTTAAAAGCTTGAGATGCATTTCTAAGAGTACAAATATTCCCTTTGGCCATTTGGGCCACAAAACCCTGAAGGTTCCCTTGCTTGGAGATTGTTGGTGGTCTTCCTTTTCTGCAGCCTGGAGCTCTGCCTGGAGCCTTTAAAAGTGAAGTGGACTAAACTCTGTTAAAATTATATGAATTGCCTGACTACTCCTTACCCTTATCCCCATGAAAAGTACCTGATTGTTAACATCTCTTTATAGATATATCCAAGATGTAGTGACTTCAGTTTCTCCCTTTGCCAGACAATGGAGGTTGACTTGTGTTCTTCATTCTATAGTTCTCACCCACACATCCAGGAGAGTTCCAAGGGAGCCATAAAGGTACACCAGTGGATTTCAGCATTTGAGAAAGTCTCTCAAATGTCATATGTTTACTTCTCTGAAATAAAACTGCACAGAAAAAGAAAACATCAACTGTCTTTTGCTTTTGGCTGAAATTGTATAAACTCACCAGTTGAGACATTGGCCATACGGAGATGAGGAAGAGCTGGTCCCTATTTTCAGGGTTTTCTCTGTCTAGCAGGATACTTGGTAAGTACTCAACACATGCTTGTTGAATTAAATTCAGAGCCAAGAAACACTTGAGGTGATTACATTCACTAACTCTGTCATCCTTAAATGGCCAGATCCTGCAGTTATCCCTTGTCTTGGCCACTGCACTGTCCCTACTCAAGAAGATGCAGGCCAGGCATGGTGGCTCATGCCTGTAATCCCAGCACTTTGGGAGGCTGAGGCAGGCAGATCACCTGAGGTCAGGAGTTTGAGACCAGCCTGGCCAACATGGTGAAACCCCGTCTCTACTAAAAAATACAAAAATTAGCTGGGCATGGTTGCACATGCCTGTAGTCACAGATACTCGGGAGGCTGAGGCAAGAAAATCACTTGAACCTGGGAGGAGGTGGAGGTTGCAGTGAGCCAAGATTATGCCACCGCCTGCACTCCAGCCTGGGTGACAGAGCAAGGCTCTGTCAAAAAAAAAAAAAAAAAGTTTAAGTTCCTATTGAAATACAAAAGTTTCTAGGAGAAGAGGGAGGAACTTGTATATTTCAAACATATTGTGTGTGGGGTGTGTGTGGTGCTTGGCAGTTAATAAAGGGAAGAGTAGAGAGGCTTAACTCTTCTAATTCCCTCTTATTACCATGGAGCCTCAGGTTATCTTGTTAGCAGTTTGGAAACCTTGGAAACTTGGCTTTGAGGATCTAGGAAACAAAATGGCACTGGGCAAAGACTGTTATGCATGGCAGTGACTTACTTTAGTGCTATGCTGTCCAATCCAGTAGCCCCCAGCCACATGTGGCTCTGGAGCCCTTGGAATTCAGCTAGTCCAAAACTGAAATGTATTATAAATATAAAACACATACTGATTTTCAGAGTTAGTGTGGGGAAAAAAAGAACATGAAATATCTGAACAATGTTTTGTATTGATTACATGTTGAAAATATTTTAGAGGCCGGGCACGGTGGCTCATGCCTGTAATCCCAGCACTTTGGGAGGCCGAGGCGGGCGGATCACGAGGTCAGGAGATCGAGACCGTCCTGGCTAACATAGTGAAACCCCATCTCTACTAAAATTACAAAAAATTAGCCGGGCGTGGTTGCAGGCGCCTGTAGTCCCAGCAACTCGGGAGGCTGAGGCAGGAGAATGGCGTGAACCCGGGAGGCGGAGCTTGCAGTGAGCTGAGATCGTGCCACTGCACTCCAGCCTGGGCGGCAGAGCGAGACTCCGTCTCAAAAAAAAAAAAAAAAAAAAAAAAAAAAGAAAAGAAAATATTTTAGATATGTTGGGCTAAATAAAATACATTATTAAAATTAATTCTACTATTTTATTTTTAAAAGATGGCTACTAGAGCATTTAAAATTACATAAGTTGCATTATATTTGTATTGGACAGCATGGCTCTAGTGGCTAGGAGGACAGACCCCCACCTAGAGGGCGCTAAAGTCCAGTGCATGGGCAGAGGTGCTACCGAATGAGACTGCAAAGGCAGGAATGTCACTATGAGAAAAGGGTGGCCTCAAAGCAGGGGGAGTAACAAAAACTCCCCAACGTGTCTGGTTTGCAGCCTGGCTAAACACACAGGAATTTCCAGCTTGTCTTCCCATCCCAAGCACTTTGATTTCGTTTGTGTGGACTCCTGTCCTAGAGAATGGTGTGGGGATGAGGTGCAGCTCTCTATGACTCTAACTAGATTTGACTTGGGGTTAGCTTCTGAGATGATACCAGGTTCTACATGTGGAATCTACGTTGTAGATTACTGAGATGTTGGATATGAGCTTGTTACCACATCAAGCTTAGGAAAGCTGATAATTCTGTTTATTTGGTTGATATAAAAATTTCAGATAATACATTTTATGTGTAAGAACTTGCTTTATTGTTTTTCTAAACTGACATTGTGGTTTGACTCATAGACATTGATATCAAAGCAGGAATAGCTGAATTTTGCATAGTACTTTACAGTTTTCAAAGTCCTTTTCAGCAAATTATCACTTTTTATTGTCACAACATCTTGTGAGGCAGACAAGGCATGTATAGATTTTTATCCATATGTTATAGCTAAGAAACCAAAAAAAAGGTTGCCTTGACCAGCATTTAAAAGCTGTTAAGTGACAGAACTAGTGATGGATCATGGAAGATCTGATTGGATACCTTGGCTTCTGGTCTCTGGTGGCTTCTACTGGTGCATAGAGGGTGACTGAGGTGGGGCAGGGAATGAGTGGTCCATAGTTGCCTGAATTCAAGCAATTATGTCCCCTTAAGGGTGAGGAAAATAATTTATAGGGTTTGGATGTCAAGATTTGGAAAGCTGCCTTTAGGAAATGGAGGGAAGGAGCCTAATTGGAGTACTGCCTTCACTCAGCATGAATGGCTTTGAAGTCCCTGTCTCTGTTTGATTCCTTCAGCAACCTCCCTGCTCTGAAAGGCCCTGCTGGTTCCTCTGCTTTAGGCAGAGCCCAGCAGAGGGTGCTGGGAGCCTACTTCAGGATAGGATGGGTGCCAGACCTGTCCACTTTGCAGAGATGGTTCACTGGAAGAGGAAGAAACCTAAGAAAGGAATGGTTGTTAGAGCTTTCCCATCAGCAGAGTGATGATGATGGTGACCATGATAGAAGCAGAAGCCTGGATACACCTGGGGGGTGTAGTGCGATCTGGAAATGTTAGATGGTCCGGAGCAAATTTCCTCAGTTTCCATTATTTGTTTAAGTCTTGAAATGGCAGCCATGAACAAGCAGGGAATGTGAGACAGAGAAGTTAGGAAATCAAAGGCCTGGGGAAAATGGTAGCAATGATCTCTACATCAATGCCACAGATGCCAATTGTTCTTGGCCACACTTTTGTGTTGTATTTAGAGATTACCATGATTCTGACATGAATATGTTGTAAAAATAGGTTCAGCAACTTGCCTAGCTCCCAGCAAATCATTGCACAGACAAACTTAGAACCATTCGACAGAGTGACAGAGTCAAAGTGGACCCAAGGGATGTTTCCATCAAATGCTTTCACTTCCTAAGAAGGAAAATGAGAACCAGGGAAGGGAGAATACTTACCAAAGGTCACACAGCTAGTAGGGACGTGTCAATATCATGGTCAAGAATACAGGTGATGGGGCTGGGCAAGGCGACTCACGCCTATAATCCCAGCACTTTGGGAGGCTGAGATGGGCAGATTGCCTGAGGTCAGGTGTTCGAGACCAGCCTGGCCAACATTATGAAACCCCATGCCTACTAAAAATACGAAAATTAGCTGGGTGTGGTGGTGAGCACCTGTAATTCCAGACACTCAGGAGGCTGAGGCAGGAGAATTGCTTGAACCTGGGAGGTGGAAGATGCAGTGAGCTGAGATTATGCCACTGCACTCTAGCCTGGGTGAAAAAGTGAGACTCTGTCTCAAGAAAAAAACAAAAAACAAAAAACAAAAAACAGGAGATGGCTGGGCCTGGTGGCTCACACCTGGAATCCCAGCACTTTGGGGGGCTGAGGTGGGCAGATCACCTGAGGTCGGGAGTTCAAGACAAGCCTGGCCAACATGATGAAACCCCATCTCTACTAAAAATAAAAAAACTAGCCAGGTCTGGTGGCACATGCCTGTAGTCACAGCTACTCAGCAGGCTGTGACTACAGGCTGAGAATCACTTGAGATCAGAAGGTGGAGGCTGCAGTAAGCTGACATACTACCACACCCCAGCTTGGGTGACAGAGCAAGACTGTCTCAAAAAAAAATTTTTTTAAAGTCCAGGCGCGGTGGCTCATGCCTGTAATTCCAGCACTTTGGGAGGCCAAGGCGGGCAGATCATGAGGTCAGGAGATCGAGACCATCCTGGCTAACACAGTGAAACCCCATCTCTACTAAAAATACAAAAAATTAGCCGGGTGTGGGGGTGGCGGGTGACTGTAGTCCAAGCTACTTGGGAGGCTGAGGCAGGAGAATGGCATGAACCCGGGGGGCAGAGGTTGCAGTGAGCAGAGATCATACCACTTGCACTCCAGCCTGGGTGACAGAATGAGACCCCGTCTCAAAAAAAAAAAAAAAAAAAAGAATACAAGTGATGAAATCAGATCTGGCTTCAAATTTGGGTTCTGACAATTATTTGTCCTGTGACTTTGAGTAAGTTATTTAACTTTTCTGATCTCATTTTCCTCATCTGTAAAATGGGAAAAGAAAGTATATCCCTCTAAAGGTTGCTGTGAGGATTTGGTGAGATAATAAATGTGAAACATTTACAAATTACCTACTAATAGTAAACATTCAATAAATGATAACTACTATTATAATTAGAACTCAGCTTTTCTGATTTCCAGATCACAATTCAATTTTTAGACCGTGCGGCCTCCCTCAATCCCACTCAAGTCTCTGCATACCTATTATTAGTTCTGCTATAATATCTTCATGAAAGACTGTATGAATTATACAATGATGGAATGAATGACAGTAGGTTTATTTGACTTCACAATTTCCCTACATATAAAATATGATTAAACTAGTTGGGCTACAGAAGGACTCCTAAGCCGAGTGGCTTAAGCAGGATAGGAGCTTGTTTTTCTGGTGGGACAGTCTGCCTTCTTCAATGATTGAGTCTTGGCCGGGCGCGGTGGCTCACGCCTCTAACCCCAGCACTTTGGGAGGCCGAGGAGGGTGGATCACCTGAGGTCAGGAGTTCGAGACCAGCTTGGCCAACATGGTGAAACCCCATCTCTACTAAAAATACAAAAATTAGCCAGGCGTGTTGGTGGGCACCTGTAGTCCCGGCTACACGGGAGGCTGAGGCAGGAGAATCGCTTGAACCTGGAGGCAGAGGTTGCAGTGAGCTGAGGTCGGTCTCACTGCAACCTCTCATTTGTGGACACACAACTAGCCTGGGTGACACAGCAAGACTCCATCTCAAAAAAAAACCAAAAAAAAAAAACCAACAAAAACAACAGTTGAGTCTCTTCGCACGTTCAAAGTGGCTTCTTAAATTGTTATTTTTTTTCAGGCAGACAAATAGTTCAAGAAGGTGCATGCTTGATTTTTTTTTTCTAATTTTATTTTAATGTTTTAGATGGAGTCTTGCTCTGTTGCCAGGCTGGAGTGCAGTGGCGCAATCTTGGCTCACTGCAACCTCTGTCTCCTGGGTTCAAGCGATTCTCCTGCCTCGACCTCCTGAGTAGCTGGGATTACAGTTGCCCGCCACCATGCCCAGCTAATTTTTGTATTTTTAGTACAGACGGGTTTTCACTATGTTGGCCAGGATGGTCTCGATCTCCTGACCTCATGATCCACCGACCTCAGCCTCCCAAAGTACTGGCCTTATTTTAAAATTAAGACTAAGAGTAGCACCCATCACTTATATCATTTAATTGGCCAAAACTTGTCACTTAGCTGCAAGGGGAGCTGGGAAATATAGTCTTCCTCCACTGGGAAGTCATGTGACCTGATGAAGACCTGAGAACAATATTGAGAACCTGAAGTTGGTCACAAGCTTCTTACTATTATAGCAATGAGAGCTACTCTTAATATAAGTGGTGTTATGTATTTCTGAAGATCCATCCACCTCACTTTTCACCACACCAAAAAATACATTGCCTGGAAAAGTATCTTCTCTTTAAACAGTTTCATTATTTGTTGTGATTCAAAAGTAATGTAGAGGCTGGGCACAGTGGCTCACACCTGTAATCCCAGCACTTTGGGAGGCCGAGGCAGGAGGATCACCTGAGGTCAGGAGTTCGAGACCAGCTCGGCCAACATGGTGAAACCCTGTCTCTACTAAAAATACAAAAATTAGCCGGGTGTGGTGGTACATGCCTGTAATCCCCAGCTAGTCGGGGAGGCTGAGGCAGGAGAATTGCTTGAACCCACGAGGCAGAAGTTGTAGTGAGCTGAGATCGCGCCACTGCACTCCAGCCTGGGTGACAGAGCGAGACTCCATCTCAAAAAAAAAAAAAAAAGAAAAAAAAAAGATAATTTTAGAGACTGAGAAGTTGCTGGTGGTTATAGACAGCCATCCCCTTTTTCTGCTCCTTTTCCCTTTCCTAGGACTGAAAATATCCACAGAAGTGATAAAAACACCAAGCATTCTCTTCCGATAACTGCATTGCACAGAGTCCTCCCAGCCTATTGGAGTCCTTGCCATAGCTATTTTGCGGGAGGGGAGGGAAAGAGCAAGAAAGTTGCTACCTCAGGCTCCTTGGTTCTGCTTTAGTTTATAATAGCCCAGTTGGCTGAAGTGGGACAAGGGTTTCCAGCATGGTATCTCCCCTTAAGCTGCCAAAGAGTATGATAAAGAATTGCTACTGCAAAACAGAGCTGGAAAATGAGTGTGAGAACCATGAAGCAACTGAGAAAAGTGATTTGCCAGTGGAGACGGAGAGAGCAAACATTGAAGTGCTGTGGTGAATTACGAAATGTGGATCCTGTTTTGACCATTTGGGGGCTACATTCTCTTCCCTGAAGGAGATGCTCATCCAGCACATAGCTAACCCAGGAGCACCCTCTACACCTGCTCAGTTTGAAAGACTTCAGGAAGTCAGTCCAAGAGTCTGAATCCATGAAAGTGTTTCTGAAAAGCTGAAAAACAGTTTCCAGTATCTCTTATGCAGATAGTAATTTCTAGAACTTTAGTACTCTCTGGACATACTTTGGGGATATTTTACTGGGATCAGAACAGTTTCTGAGACACTAGGTAATTCAGGCTCTGAAAGAAAACAAATGGGAGAGGTAAACCCAGGCAAAGATTCTGATTCCTATGCCCAGGGGTAAGGACTCCAATAGGCTGGGAGGACTCTGTGCAATGCAGTTATCAGAAGAGAATGCCTGGTGTTGCCGTCCTCTTGAAGATCTCTCAGATCCAGCCTTTCCTCCCTGTTCCCACTGCTACTGGGCCTGGCTCTCAGGATTCTCACAGGCTTATCTTGCTGCCTATCTTGCTGGTAACTTGTCTCCTTGCCACTCACCTTTTGTTCCTCGAAGCTGCATATTATTGCCACAATAATTCCCCAAATCCTTTTCATTGTGAGCCTTCTTTACTTCAGAATGCACCAAGTAGTTATTAGAGTTGTATTATATTTCTTTTTTTATTTTTTGTTGGAGCTGATGTTTTCATTTTTCTTACTGTATTTTTAAATGCTTGTACAATAAGTATGTATGACTTTTGGAAGAATGAACAAATGAAGTCAGTTTTCAATGCCTCAAAAGTTGGGGGATGGGAGACACAGTCAGGAGCTACTTTGGCTCTAGGTTCTTTTCTGACAAGTCTAAATGTTTTGGGTAGCATTTGAAGCCTCCATAAACAGTCCTACTCTAACTCTCAAATGTGCTCTTCCCCAGCCCTTCATCCTGGACTCTGAAGGAAAGCCTGGATAGTTTGCTTACAGCACCCAGCTTCTGCTCTTGTCAATCCTGGCCCTCACAGCTTACTTAAGTCACAGCCGTTTTTCCGGATCTCACCTTCCTGGACCATATTAATTATTATTTTTTCTTTTTTTTTTTTTTTTTTGAGACAGAGTCTTGTTCTGTTGCCCAGGCTAGAGTGCACTGGCACGATCTCGGCTCCCTGCAACCTCCACCTCGCAGGTTCAAAAAATTCTCCTGTCTCAGCCTCCTGAGTGGCTGGGATTACAGGTGTCTGTCACAATACCCGGCTCATTTTTGTAGTTTTAGTAGAGATGGGGTTTCACCATGTTGGCCAGGCTGGTGTTGAACTCCTGACCTCAAGTGATCTGCCTGCATGAGCCTCCCAAATTGCTGGGATTACAGGTGTGAGCCACTGTGCCCAGTCTGGAGCATATTAATTCTTAAGCTTATCTGTCACATCTATGACATTTTATTTATGTCTGTACCACATCCCTTGGAAAATTGATTATGTCATTTTAGTTGTTGCCAACTATTTTATTGGTGTGAATCTTGTATCCTAAATAAATTCCAAGTTATTTGAGGACAAGGGTGAGATCTTGTAAATTCCTTGCTTTCCTCACACCATCTGGCATAGTTCTAAACATATAATAGATATTCCATTGATAATTATATTTTGAGAACTTTATTTACATCTTTGCTAGATGACTTAACATGTGTCAGACCACTGTGTCATCCTTCTCACAAATATTTGTAGGGAGACTTTATAGGGATGGTGATCATAAATACAAAGGAATAGAAAACTAATGGGGGGACTTGGGTGTCAGTAACAAGCTGACTGTGTAGCCTTGAGAAACATCAACTTTGCCCTAACTTGCCAACCAACCACTCTCCGTGTGACTCTTGTTGACTGTTCTCATCACTGCTCCATCTTCTGTCCTTAGCAAACTGTGAACCTCATTGTCTATACCAGGTTTCTTCCCCTATTATTTGTGGACAGCTCTGTTCATTTGTCTTATTTTCATCAGCATTGGAGGTACCTTTTTCTCCATGGAACAGGCCTCACATTTCTTTTTCTTTTTCTTTTTTGTTTTTTTTTTGAGGCAGAGTTTCACTCTTGTTTCCCAGGCTGGAGTGCAATGGTGCAATCTTGGCTCACCACAACCTCTGCCTCCTGGGTTCAAGCGATTCTCCTGTCTCAGCCTCCCGAGTAGCTAGGATGACAGGCGCATGCCACCACACCCAACTAATTTGTATTTTTAGTAGAGACGGGGTTTCATCATATTGGTCAGGCTGGTCTTGAACTCCCGACTTCAGGTAACCCACCCACCGTAGTCTCCCAAAGTGCTGGGATTACTGGCTTGAGCTGTGGTGCCCGGCCTCCCAAATTTCATCAGTGGGTTAGAAAGCCCACCTCCTCTATGGCCTGGACTTTTAAATATGCTAATCCTCTGCAATAGTCACAAAAAATATGAACTTTTGTCATTGTACATATGGCTATAAAACCTCTGTTTAGTTTACTCATGTATTTTGTCCATTATCTGTGTGATCTAGCAGGATGTGATCCAAATAATAGTTGACCATAGATTGTAAACCCTGAGAGGGTGCAATGTTGTATTTTTTAATGTGCCTGGGGCAGCTCCTGGCTGGCAAAGGTATTTCAAAATGATTGCTAAATTGTGCCTTTAGAAAAGGCCATGAACTTAAAAACCCTTCTTTGACTTCTCACTGTTATACTAATGACAGAACCAGATAGAAGGAAACTATGAGTAGCTCCGATCTTAGTTAAGTCCCATTCCTGATTAGCAGTGTGACCTTGTGCTAATTATCTAACCTCTCTAAACTCACTTTTAGAAGGAAAATGTAGATGATAATAGTACCTAACTCATAGTATTGTTGTGAGGATTAAGTGAGATAACACATGTAAAGTGCCTAGGAAAATTCATAGCTATCAATTTTGTAGTTGTTTTCATTATTTCTTAAGATAAAAGACAAGCTGGGCGCAGTGGTTCACGCCTGTTATCCCAAAAGTTTGGGAGGCTGAGGCAGGCAGATCATTTGAGGTCAGGAGTTCGAGACCAGCCTGGCCAACATGGTGAAACCCCGTCTCTACTAAAAATACAAAAATTAGCCGGGTGTGGTGGTGGGTGCCTGTAATCCCAGCTACGTGGGAGGCTGAGGCAGGAGAATCACTTGAACCCGGGAGGCAGAGGTTGCAGTGAGCTGAGATCGTGCTATTGCACTCCAGCCTGGGCGACAAAGCGAGACTCTGTCTCAGAAAAAAAAAAAAAAAAAGATAAAAGACAGCTGAGTAATAAATGAATAAACCAGTAGCTTCTCAGTATAGCTGTTGAATTAAATTGGATCTGTGAAGTCTCTAATATCAGCAGAAGCCTGCACCTTTCAGTCAATTAAGTTGGGTGGCTATTATCCAGAGCCATCCCCTTTTTCTGTCCTGTCTCCCTTTCCTAGGACTGAAAATATCCACAGAAGTGATAAAAATGAATGGCTGTTTTGTAGGATGGGGAGGGAAAGAGCAAGAAAGTTGCTACCTCAGGCTCCTTGGTTCTGCTTAGGTTATAACAGCCCAGCTGACTGAAGTGGGACAAGGGTTCCCAGCACAGCATCTCCTCTTAAGCTGCCAAAGAGTATTGATTGCTAAAAGGCAATCAATTTTTGTTTGGTTTGTGGGAGGGAACATAGTCTGCAAGGTCACTGAAATTTTATTGTTGGAATGTTTTAAACCAATGTAAATGTGGAGGCAGAGTTCACAAAGAACACAACATTGAATCAAAGAGAAAACCAGACAGAGCAGCATCTTGGGTGCTTTTCTTCTGACATTCTCTTTTTGGGCCTGACAACTCTTTGCATTTTGATAATTTACCTCTCAAGTCAAAGGCACTAGTAGGCCTGCCGACAGAGGACTTGACTTAGTGTGTGGACTTTGAGAAATCATCTGAAAAGAGACACAAAGCCACAGGACGGAGGCAGTGGGCCTTTAGCTGTTACTTCCTACAATCTGTTCTGCTTTTGTGAAAAGCTGGAGGGGCAGCTCTTTTGAGTCTTCATGCAGAACCCCCTGGATTTTCATTTGGTCTTGCAGGTAAGTGGGCAGAATGACTTGGTATTCTCATTCCTGGACATCTCAGCTTTGTCACTGCCCCCTCCTGGGGCTACTTGGGCTCTCAGTGTAGCAAAAAGAGCACAGCCCAGAGAAAAAGCTGACTACAGTAAGAACAGCATAGGAATTTATAAACTGGATGGAGAATATTGCCCAACTCAACAAGGTGTAACCATTTTCTTTCATAAAACCACATCATCGTAGAGAAAGAGAAACGGTAACGTTTTATTACTTTGTCAACACCAAACAAAACACTGTTAGCCACTGTGCAAGTTTAATTCAGAAGAGAGAGATGTTTCTCAGAGTAAGCCTGGGATCTTTTCAGCCATTTGGTACGACACCATTTGTTCCCGAATGAAAGACTAGAGAACACAGTTTCTCTGAGTCTCTTTTCCTCTTCTCTGACCTTGATAACTTCACATCTCTGGGACTGTATGATGAAAAGTTCTACTTGCCCAAGCACAGCCTTCTATGAAAGACTTTGAAATGGCCTCTCAGCATATACTCCTGGTAACGTTGGCTCACCTTACCCAGCTGAGGAGCCTCTGGTGTACAGGAAGACAGGGTGCCATACAGCTGAAGAAAAGGAACTAGTGAGATGCTTAATAAAATCCAGAGACAGTTCATTGCTACTGAAGTAATAGGGTTGTTTGAGTGATGTTGTCTAAAAGAAAATGGATCAAAGAGAACAATGTGACTCAATCTTCATCTCCTTATTCAAATCCAGTAATTTGCAGTGTGAATTGAGTCAACTGGATCAGCAATTCCCACATCACAATAATATACTCAACATTTTACTGAACACTTTCTGAGTTTTTACTATGTTCCAAGAACTGTTCTAAACAACTTACAGGTAATATTTCATTTAATCCTCACAATTTTCTGAGACCCATTTGACAGATTAAAAAAATGAGGCTCAGAGAGTCTCAAGCTGATCTCTCCAAGTTTACACAGCTAGTAAATGGCAAAGACAGAATTAACTTACTCTGTAGGTTTAAAATCTTAAAGCATAATTCGTTTCCTTCAATATTTCCAGAAATTTTAAGAATCTTTAATAGTAATTGTGGGAAGATGGATACTATTGTTTAAATAATTTTTTTTTTTGAGACAGAGTCTTGCTCTGTCACCCAGGCTGGAGTGCAGTGGCATGATCTTGGCTCACTGCAACCTCCGCCTCCCCGGTAAAGTGATTCTCATGCCTCAGCCTCCCAAGTAGCTGGGATTACAGGCATGTGCCACTATGCCCGGCTAATTTTTGTATTTTTAGTGGAGATGGGGTCTCACCATGTTGGCCAGGCTGGTCTGAAAATTCTGGCCTCAAGTGATCCTCCCACCTTGGCCTCCCAAAGTGCTGGGATTATAGGTATAAGCCACTGCACCTGGCCTAAATGAAAGCAGTCTTTTAAAAAGAGAGTCATTTCTTTCATCAGCTCCACATAACCTTCTTAAAGGTGGGCACAGTTCTTCTTTCTCCATCACACTTCCCTATCCAACATTTTCAACACCAGCCTGGGAAGGGAGGATTGGGCAGTGGAGAGGGGCTGGGGAGGGATGTATTGGGGGTAGGTAGGCAGTGTTCCAGATCATTCTTCCAGGGCATTCCCCGTCTAGTTTCTCCTCGGATAGCAAGAGCCTACAATCCAGGCTCAAGAGTGGGCAAAATGAACCATATGCTCTGAGGAGGGGAGAACCTCTCTTCACCATACCCTTCCCCCTACTCCAGCACACACAAGCATAGAAAAGTCAAGCATCATTGGTAAGCAGGGATTTTCTTTTTTTCTTTTTTTTTAATTGAGACAGAGTTTCACTCTTGTTGCCCAGGCTGGAGTGCAATGGCGCAATCTTGGCTCACTGCAACCTCTGCCTCCTCGGTTCAAGAGATTCTCCCGAGTAGCTGGGATTACAGTTGCCCACCACCACGCCCGGCTAATTTTTTGTATTTTTAGTAGAGACTGGGTTGCACTAGGTTGACCAGACTGGTCTCGAATTCCTGACCTTAGGTGATCCACCCGCCTCAGCTTCCCAAAATGCTAGAATTACAGGCATGAGCCACCACACCTGGCTGAGCAGGGATTTTCTAAATGATGGTGCTAAGCCTAGAGAATTGATATAAATGGATAGAAAGCTTGGAAGACAAAAATATTCCATTCTTCTTGAAGCGGGGAAAGGAAGCAGGAAAAACAAAGTAGCTAGCATGCAATTGTGCATTACAGTAAATCTTCCCTGTTACTCAAGGCAGCTCACCCATACAAGGGAGAGGAAGTCCGAGGTTTGTTTTTATTCATATATTTTCTGCTTCGCTGTAGATACTGTTGTGTGTGGTAATTCCTAGGCAGATGTTACAATGTGGAGTTTCTCCAGGCAGTTTAGTTGGCATTTTTAACAGGACTTGGATTAAAAGCCTTTCTTCTCAAAAACCGGTTCAGTGATTGAGGCTGAAAGGAGCCCTGCTTTGAAACCCTCTCCTAAAAAACCTAAGACAATCAGAGCAGCCTTACTTTCTTTATTGTCATGGGTCTGCTGTGAACCATCACAGGTTTAGCCCACAGGACACTCTCAGAGACTCCCTGCCCCACCCAAGGTGAGAAGTCATACCAGTCCATGGACCACAGAAGACCCCTTGTGAGATTCCCAGCAAGCGTCAGTCTTAGAGATACTACTGTGCTTATAGGACCCCAGAGCAGAGTTTATGGGGTCCTGTGTTTGAAAGCAACAGTACATACACCACTTACTTTCCTGTGATGTTCCTCTTTTCCTCACGCTCCCCTTGTAGGCTAACTGAAAACCTGCTGCTCTTTGACTTCTAAAAGGCTTAAATTGGAAGAGTAAATAAAATGATAAGGAGAAGAAAAGGCAGGTTGATCAACTGAGTGGCCTCAAAGTCATCTCATTATGAATTTCTGTAAGCAATGCTTCTGAATTGTCAATTTTATCAGCCAAATGTAATTTTTGTGTGTCTGCGTGTGATAGAATAAGTATTGCACATCTCAGCCAGCCTATGCCTTTCATTCTTCTCCTCAATTCCCAAACGACTTTGAAGAAGGGAAATCAATAAATCAATTGGTACTTTGTCCAATACCCATTTCAATGACATCACAGCACCATTTGCTAAAGATTGGACATTAGTTACGGAAAAAGACTGAGACACTTTCATTTGTTAATGTATCTCTGCCTTTGTGAACAAGAATACAAAAAGGAATAGTGAATTGACCTTGTAAATAGTAATTTTTGTTTTGATCCTATCAAAAAACAAAAAGGGGATAATTATAGAAAGGATGATAAAATATCATTTATATCCCAGGATTTATGATAAAGTCAGTGGGTGGTATATTTTGGGCTTATCCTATAATATTCCATTCAAAAAAATTTCCCTACTTTTGCTAAATCAATTTTTTATTAGATTTTTTTTTCAAATCTTATTTTAGAAATTCCTTCCTGTTGGTTCTTAAAAATGACACCAAAATGTGATATTTAAAAATCTATAAACAAACACTTAAATTAAGGACTAAGTTAGGTCTGGTTTTTGGAGAAAAAATACACAACTTGGGAGAATGCTTTTATAATACCAACAATCCCACCTTTTTCATTGTTTTGTTTGTATATTCATTCATTTAATCACATATTTGCATATATCCAATATTTTTTGTTTTGCTTTGAGACAGGATCTTGCTCTATTGCCTAGACTGGAGTGCAGTGGCACAATCTAATTGCAACCTCCCCCTTCAAGCAATTCTTCTGCCACAACCTCCTGAGTAGCTGGGATTGCAGGTGCCCCCCACCACGCCTGGCTAATTTTTGTATTTTTGGCAGAGACAGAGACGGGGTTTCACCATGTTGGCCAGCTTGTCTTAAACTCCTGGCCTCAAGTGATCCACCTGCCTTGGCCTCCCAAAGTGCAGGGATTATAGACGTGAGCCACTGTGCCTGGCCTCATATATCCAACATTATTAAACAGGGATAAAACAATAAAACTGGCCAGGCATGGTGGCTCACGCCTCTAATCCCACACTTTCAGAGGTCGAGGCAGGTGGATCACCTGAGGTCAGGAGTTCGAGACCAGCCTGGCCAATATGGTGAAACTCCATCTCTACTAAAAATACAAAAATTAGCTGGGCATGGTGGCAGGCGTCTGTAGTCCCAGCTACTTAGGAGGCTGAGGCAGGAGAATCGCTTGAACCCAGGAGGCAGAGGTTGCAGTGAGCCAAGATAGCACAACTGCACTCCAGCCTGGGTGACAGAGTGACACTCCGTCTCAAACAAGAACAAAAACACACAAAAAAGCAATGAAACTATATTTTTCTAGTCTTTCCCCCAGATATGTCAATGTTATATGTAACTTCATTCCTAAAATTCAGCCTCCCTTGGAAGCAACTGCTACACTCTTAAAGATCTTCCAGATTTTGCTTTTATTACAATAGTGTTAAAGGAGTATGCCTAACTAAGAACGACAAAATATGCGGGAACATAATAATCACAATGATAATGAGTGCTCTGTAGTCAAACTTACTGGACTGAGAGTAAGAAGAGGAGAGTTCCAGTCTCAGCTCAGTGCATGGGGCGTTTCTCATCTGGAGTATGATTCTTTGCTTCTACTCAGTTCAAGCTCCTCACCAGTAAACTTTAGGTTTCCTTCCAAGTTTGAAATTCTTTGTTTTTTATGATTCTCTTTCAAGAGGCCTTGATGACTTGGCATTAGGAGAGTTGTTATGAGTTGTGGGTTCCCAGCGAAAGATGGATTTGTGTATAAGCAGATCCTGCAGTCTTTTATCTGTGGGAGTATTGACCAGGAAGTCTCTGGCCGTTCAGCACAGGTGTACGGCCACACTGGGTGCAGTGGAGTGGTCTGCAGGTTCACAGTCTAACTGTTTTCCCCTTGACCTTGGTTTAGTCTTGTTCTCTAAATATCAGTCATACCTTAAAATGAAAGCCTGTAAACCCTTACTTAAGTCTATAGAGTCAGAAAGAGAGAGACTCTTTTGCTGACATTACTGCAGCAAAACTGGCAAGTCTCATCTGAGCTCCTATGCTCAGCTCCTATGCTGGGATCACCTAAAACTCTTGGAAATAAGTGACTTGGAAAATACAGTGAGAAGGTATTAGGTCACCTAAAATATTAAAAGGGCTCAAAATTTGTGGAACTGAGACTAATTCTAAACCACTGCTATACACATACATACACACTCGTACATATTTACATATGGCATACGTATATATATGGGCAAACACATGTAATGGATATATTATATATGGATATGGGCAAAGGAGGTGATCTCACCTACAAATTTTTCAACAATATTTAGACCTAGAGAATATAATTAGTTCTCCCCCATCTTCTTTGCTCTGCAACAACGGGGAATTAGGAGGGAGCTTGGCCGTCTGTTCCCTTCTCTGCTCATGGCGCCTTATCTGGAGAGCAGGTGGAGTCCTCCCGAGCTCTGTGCTGAGAGTCCCGGCCGCTGGCAGCAGGGCCGCCCCGAGGCCAGAACACAATCCGGCCTGGCGCCCGCGGCGGCTCCCCCTACCGGGAGTCCGGAGCAGCGCCGATGGCTTGGTCCCGGGTGGCACAACCTCTCCCAGCCGCCCGCTCCTTGGAGGCTTCGCCGGAGGGATCAGCGAGCTACCGCCCGCCGGGCCGGACCGCGCAGAGCGGAAGCGCTCCGCCCGGGTAACAAGCATTTTCCAGCACAAGAAATTAGTTGCAAATAAACATCTGAAACGCCGGTTCTGTAAACCAAGTGCCCACCGCACGCCTCTAAACGGGCGGGGCCGTGGGGGTGGTGGGGGTGAGAATGGTGGGAAAGATGCTGGGCCTGGGAAGGAGCCAGGGGTAGGGGTGGATGCAGGGAGGCGCCCCACCAAGCGCTCCCCGAGTTCAGAGGCGCTTAAGTTACCAAGGGATTAGGGCTGATCTCAGGAGAGGTAAACGACCATCCTTGGAACACGGAGCCCTTCTTCCCTGCCCGGTATCTGCGCGTGCCTTGGGTAGTCCGCACAACCCTCCCCAGCTCCGGATGCCCTGGGATACCCGGACCCAGGAGAGAGCGCGTCAGCGGGGCGCAGCTACTTTGCACTCGCCGATTCTGACACAACAGATAGTTAATTGGGGCCTTCGAAATCAAGGACTAAGGTGAGCAGAGGAGTCCCCCAGCCCCTGGCTGTAGCCTTTGGGACTTCTCTCCCGCGTCTTGGGTCAGAGCAGCGTCCGCAGCAAAGTCCTTTGGGGTGAAAGACCCGGGTGCGAATTAGTTTCAAAGTGGGAGGTTGCTTACACGTGAGCGGGGTCGCCAGCTCTTTGAAGGGCGCACGGTGCGGAGGCTCCGGCAAGGGTGCAATTCCCGTGCGCGTGTTAGCGCAATGCGCACTCCGCTGGGCCCAAGCAGTCATCAGTTCTGCCAAGTGGGTGCTGCTCCGGGTACCCACTGGTGTGGTGGGTAAGTCGGGAGCAGAATAATGAAGCGCATTACCTGGGAAGCCAAATTTGCAAAGCTTAACCCAATCCTCCTCGGGGGCACTTCTTGTAGAATAAGCTGTTGGTGTATAGCAGCCATACATTTAACAAATATATGGGCATAAAAAATGATAGAAAATAATAGGGTGAAGGTTTGACCCGCCACCAGGCTTCTTGCCCTCGCCTCTTCCGCAGGCCGAGGGCAGTTTTGAGTCAAGTGCAATACGCAGTGGGTGTCACCCAACCTCTCCTGGCTCTGCTGAGGTCGTGATCCCTCTGACCCAAGCAGAAACCCTCCAGCTTCGGAGCAGCCCGTCGCCTCCGTGCCCCAAGTTGGCATCCCGAGACCAAGCTCCAGGGAGTCGGGGGTAAAGAAAGGCCGATGCTCAGAGCGTCCCCAGCATCTTCCTGGGGATCCTCCGCGGCAGGGGCTGCGACCTGTGTGTGGAAGAGTCGTCTTAGCCCTTTCCGTTATGGGGCTCTCAGGCAACAAGATTCCACGGGAGACTGTGACGACCTTCTCCAGCTGCCCAGACTTTCTTGCCCGACTGGGCTGAACCCGAGCACAGAGACTGGTGTCTTCCCAGCCACACAATCTTGATTCCCAGCCGGGTGACCAGCTTGGTCTAGGGAGTGAAGGAAGGGGGTAAAGGGGAGAGGAGGAAGGGATTCGTTTCCTGTCTGCTTTCTTCTCTCTGCCTTCTCAGAAGCTGTGCTGTTACAGAGAAAAACTTTCTAAACTACCTCCCCATTTTTCTGGAAGGTGTTGCACACATCTCCCCTTCCCTCAATACACACAGCTTTCTCTACCCCCTGCTCCTCCCACTTTCCGGAAAAATGTAATAGGTGTGAACATCGACTAAGCCCAGTGTCAGTAGCACAGCAACAAGCTAATGTGGGAAGGGGTTTCGCTGGTGTTTATTTCTGAAGTTGCTGATATACTCGTGGCAAGGGAGCTTGGCTTGTTGCAGAGTACGAAGCCAAGCCCGGGGCGCCTAGGCTGTGAACACCTCGCGCGAACTTGGTCCGGCCTCTAGGTCCCTGGCCTCGGGCCCTTATGCTCTGCCGGGGGCCAGGATCAGGTTCCTAAGAAAACAGAAGAGTCAAATAAGTGATCTCGCTACTTTACGCTCCCTGCCCACCCCCACCCCCACCACCACTTTTCTTTTCTTCTTTTCTTTTTTGGTTGATGGTCTGTCTGTACTGAGCGGGTATCCCAGAGCTGAGGTGCAGGAGTAGTGAGCGATGCCGGGGCTGGCTTTCCTAGATTTAGGAACCGCCGGGGGGCGGAGGAGAGTCGAAGGGGCATCCACTTCTTTGGAGGGAGGACGCCGTTTACTTCCCGCAGACGACGGGCGGGAAGACCTCGGAGCTGAGGGCTTCTTGGGGTGGCTCTTTGAGCAGGTAATTCTGCGGCGAAATCGAGAGCGGGTGACTGACACGCTCGGTGACGACGGCCAGGCGGGGCAGCACCCTTTCCGGTTAACAAAATGATTAACCTTCCTGCCTTGCCTGTAGTGGGCTCTCCCCTCCTCCTTCACCCTCCCTTCCTCCGGGATTAGGGGGTGCTCTTTTCAAGGAGAGACTGGAGACTCGAGATGTGGGCCCTTTCTCGCCTCCGCGCGGCCTTTCCTCGGAGCCAGGCTGGGGAACCCGGTGAGGCACGCAGACCAGTCCCTTCGAGACGCCCGCCTCGCGGAATCGGGTTCACCGGCCCTGTCCCGCACGGTCCCCTGGGTCATCTCCCCCTGCAACCACTTGTCTGAAACTTACCAGATTCCAACCTTAAGGCAGGAAAAAAAGTGTTTCATATACAAACTGATCAGGGTATTTGCAGATAATTGCGAATGTCAAATACTCGGGCGTGATGACAAAGTGCAGAGATTGCCAGGGCCAGAGCTTGGCCTGAGGGGCGGGGGCTGCTGGCGGGGCTCCAGGGCCACCTCAGGCCTGCCCAGAGGCGGGCCTGCGAGGGGTAGAGCAGTCAGCCGCAACTGCCAACAGCCCATTTAACGAAGACGGCTGCTTCTTCTACCCCTCGGCTATGGAGCTGATTCATGGATTCATTCACTTAGTCTATACTGGAGCTCCGCTCAGGGAGGAGGTGCGAGAGTGGATACTGCACCAGCCCAGCTCTCTCTCCCTCACTCCCCACTCCTGATGCACAAATACCTCACTGCAAGATTCCCCACAGGTGGAATTGCTGGGCCTCAGTTGGATGCTTAGGCCCAAAGCGAAGGCCCTGCCAGGCGGTGCTCCCAGAGCTAATGTCCTGTGGCAGAGTAGGAAAGAGCTACAAGCCATTTAGGACAAACAAGTGCACCCTTTGATACTGAGGTTAGTCTTCAATAGAAATAAAGAGGGACATTAAAAAAAAAAAAAGGAAGAGGAAGAAACGAAATACTGGACCCACCCACCCCAGTCCTCCTACCGGGTTGCAGGAAGCCATCCTGGTGCCATCAGAGCCTGGGTGCAAACGGCCCACCAGAGCTGACCCTGCCAAGCTCTCAGTGACAGCAAAGGTGGCTGCTCTCAACAGCTTTCAGAGCAACTCCTCTGAGACCCTACTGCAGGCACACTCAGAATGTTTCAAGTGCCTTGGATTCTTAAAAAAAAAAAAGAGAGAGAGAGAGAGAAAGAAAAAGAAAGAAAGAAAGAAAGAAAAAAGAGTGGGGCGTGGAGGGTGGTGTTACTCTTGTTGGATTCCACATCTACTGAAAACTGAGTGGATCAATTATGGGTGATACCATGATGTTGGTGGCAAGTCTGGCTTCCCAGGCCAGAATCGCAGGGGTTTCAGGACCTGGATGCTGAGACCGAGAGGAGCAGTGGAGGCAGGGACACCCCATTCTGCATTAGGTGGCATAAGCTGCAGTCACTGAGGCCCTGGCCCCGGGGTCCTGTGTCCTAGGCCAACGTGGTGGTGGTGAGGGGGCTGGGAGGGGTATATTGCGGTAGGGATGCTGAAAGACCTTGACCTGACTGCCCTCTCCTTTCTGAGAGCTAAAGAATGTGGTGGGGATTCTTCCAAAGCCGGGAGAAGGCAAGACTAGTGTGTGCTAGTGGGTGCAGCTGGGCTGCAGAGGGAGGGAATTCCTGCCGACTACAGGGAGCCCTCTGTGCTTGTCTCTCTCCCCCGCCCTCAGCCCTCTTCCCCTTTCATTGAATGCCTGAAGTCAGAGCCTACCTGGAAACCCTCAAAATTTTACACTCCACTTGTCCGAGGTTTCCAATGATGACAAATTTGAAAAACGCTTCGGCTGAAGCCCGGCACCTAAGGCTGAGAGTTGGGGGGAGGGGAGGCTGTTGGATAAAAGCTCCTTGGAAAAGACACACTTGCCTCCCCCTTTTTCGCCACGCGGAAACTGGCCGGTCTGGACAAGGGATTGCGCTGGGCTAAGGCCTCGGGCTGGGGAGAGCTCCAGCAGCCTGAAAGCCGAATCCGCAGAAGTTATCCACCTGGCTCCTTAGCCACCGGCCAACAAGAGGGCTCTGGGCGTCCCGCCCTTCACGCCTGTATTAGAAAGGCCTGAGTCTGGCCGGGAGACCTGACTTGAGGTCTCTTGGGAGGAGCAGGGGGTGCCAGTTCTGCAGGGGACTTGCCCAGTTCCAGTGAGGCTGATGTAGAAAACAATAGCTCTGTCCTCAGCCTGGGCGGCCAGCCGGGGCCGCACGTGTAAGATGTGATTCTATCTGAGTTTCCAAATCTAAGTGCATTGATTGAGGCCCAAAGAGTTCACGGCGCATAACTGTCTTAATTAAACCTGCTATAAACAGACAAATCACTTCTTGTTCTTGTAAATAGAGCTTGGGGAGATGGCACAGGGTCTGGCAAAAGCCAGGCTTGGGGAACATTCTTAAAAAAGGAAAAGAGTACTGAGACACAGACAGAAAAAGAATAAAACTGGAGTATCCACATCTTCAGAAAATAGCTCAACTGAAACCAAAATATGCCATAGCAGGGAAGTAATGTGAGACACCCTAAGTTCCCAGAGCAGCTCAGTGGAGGCTGGTAGCCCAGGATGGGACCAATGGTGGAAAAGCAGGGAGCCGGAGAGACCACAGGTTGTTTGGGGGAGGACAGGTGCCCATTGCTGAGGCTCTGAGCTACTCTACTTGGCCCTGCACTTTCCTTGCCAATCCTTCCATCTTTCCCTGCCACTGATCTCAACTTCCTGATACTGAGAGACAGTGCTGGGAGGACAAGTACTCTCTCAACTTGGTCAGCTTGGGGGACAAGGGCTGGTCACCAAGAGCTCAGAGATAGCAACAACTGGGGATGATGGGTGATCATAGGAGTCCAGCGGGAGCAGATGGGAAGAAAAGTTGTCTGTGATCCTCTGGGAAAGCAGAAAATGGGGAGTATGTACACCCACAGCTCAGATTCTGCTGTCCCTAAGTGCCGGCAAGGGCTGGGGGATGATCTTGAGTAGGGTCAGGTGCTCCAGTGCCCCAGCTGTTGGGTGTCCAGAAGAGGTTAGGTGTGTGGTAGCTCTGGGAAGAATGCGCGAGACGTCCTTCACTTGGAATGTGCAAAGGGCCGGGTCTGTCTCCAAGTAACTCCGGGTCTCCGGAAGTTACCTGGCAGGGGCAGCCCTCAGCAGACTTTGGGTCTTACAGCATAAAACGAGACGAACTAAGGGGAGCCCACCACTTTTCTAGCTAAAAGTGGAAAGGAAAAGTTGTCTATAATATGTAAATACAGGAGATATGAGTGCACAGGTTTGGGTGGGTTCCTGGTAACTTCTGGAGCCGACTTTTCCCTGGTCTTGGTTTGCAAACTTTAATTCCCATTTCTTTTCCTTTACTATTTAGCATATGACTCTAACAATAATCTGATTCAGAAATACTCTTCATTTCGTTAGGCTAACATTGATAAGGAATTTAAGTTCAGGTAAATTTTAGCACAACACTTTTCTAAAAAGTAACTTTAAAAGTGTTTTTAACTTCCACACAACAAAAACGAAAAAAGTATATATCACTATGGTTGGAGAGAAACATTCTTAGATTGCCTTTATATTTCAGAGACTTTGTATAGGTGCCAGCAACTCCGCAGACACTAACAAATGGGTTATTTGCAGTTATTGTTCATGAAAGGTCTTTTATATTTTTAAATTACGGCATGGTTCCCAGGTGGAAAAATTCCTTACAATTAAGAACTGGTTTTCAAGAAGATTGGAAAACCAGAACAAAAATTACAACGTTTTATCATATAGAAGTCTTTACTGAAAACAACGGATATTGAGTGGAAGTCAGAATGTAATGAAAGTTAATTAAAATGCAAACTATTAGGGAAACACTGCAGATGTCTTTCTGTCATATCCAACGGGACAGTCTTTAGATATTCCACCCTCCCTTATATTATACTTGTATTGTGAGACTTGAATGGTTGTCAACAGTTTTCTGTTGACAGAAATAACAACAGTTCACCTTTGAAAACTCTTCACTCAAAGCTACAATGATGATTGCTCTCGAGACAAGGACTGCTGAAACAAATAACTTTCACACATCTACACTCACACTTGCACACCCCAAACGCACACGCAATTGCCGGTTTTTGAAAACGTTGCCTCTGAATGAGAAAGAGAGAGAGAGAGAGAGACTGAGAAAGTCGAACTCGAGCTTAGGTAACCAACAAACCCAATTACTAGGCTTTATTGATACTAAAAGGAAAAGTTCCCCTCGTAAAATTTCTCTGAGCTTATTAGTTATTTAAATCAGCCCCAGGGTTGGACGCGTGACGCCGAAGGCACCTTCTGTCGGCTCCTGGAGGTGAGCAGCCAGCGTCCCTGCGCCGACCCACAGCCCCTCGCTCCGTCCTGGGCACTTGGGGCGAAGGCGGGCGCAGCGAGCCGAGGTGAGCCACTGGGCAGGGGCGCAGGGCCCGACACGCCGGGAGAGAGCTCCGCGTGGCCTAGGGTAGGACACCGGGCATCACACTTTGGAAAGGAACAGGTCCCAGCCAATAATAAGGGAGTAGGCGAGTAGGCCACGCGACCGCGGGGCGCAGGAGCTCAGCCGGCCCGCTGCCTGGCTCGCCAGACCCCGGCCCGCTGGGCACCGGCCCCTGCGACCCGGCCGGAGCGCTGGTGTTCGCGCCGTGAGTCGGGCGCGGGGCGTCTCAGACCTCCAGGGCTCGCTAGTGTTTTGTGTGGGTCTGGGAGCTTTGCAATTGGGTGGGCACCAGGTGAATTTACACCTTTCTGGGTCGCTGTCTCAATAGTTGACAAGTCCCTCTGTGTGTGTGTGTGTGTGTGTGCGCGCGCGCGCGTGGAAATGGTGGTGGGGGTGTATGTGAACAGCTGAATTTATTGAAAATAAACCCCAACCCGCCCAGTGAAGTCCTCTAAGCCCGACACGGGGTTCCCAAGTCCGGATGTGGCTCCGGGACCGCGCGAGGCGATGCCCTGTTCCTCTGGGCTTGGCTGTAGGGCGGGGAGGGAAGGCACCACGGGGTGGGGGAGAACTGAGCCCGAGTCGCCGCCGTCACAGTCACTTGGGCCTTTCCCGGAGGCCAAGGTCTTGACGGACTGAAACGGTGTCCGAGGGGATTCGTGATACCGAGAAAACAGGCGAGGCGCCAGCTCGGGAAGCCCTCTAAGTTGGCCCCCACTCCTTACGAGTTTGGGCCGCCGGATACACTGCCCCCCTCGTCCCTGGCTCCAGTAGGTGTCTGGGACCGTGGGTCCCGCAGCGGGCTTTTTCGCCCTCTCCGCTTGGTTCAAGACCGGCGTGGGCCCATAGCCTCAAAGCGTTCGGGAGGCAACTGCGGTTTGGGCCCCCTTGCACCCGGCTGCCTGAGCTTGCCTGCCCCTACGAGGGGTGGGAGCGGATTTCTGGACGCCTGCTGGCCTGCCTGAAATTTGGGGTGCGGACCGGGTGCTATCTTGGGCTTTCCAGGTGTACTTTTCATTTCAAGGGGTTGGGACAAACTGTGGGCGTTCGTATTTTGCACGCGCCAGGGCGTTTTTGTGTTGAGTGGCCCGGTGGTACCCTGGGCCAGGGACCTGCCCATCCCCCGCCACATCCTTAACCCGTGGACTGCAGGCGACGCGGAAGGGTTGGCTCCGGGACGCGACCGGCAGAGCCGGCGCCGAAGGTTTCGGCCTCAGCCCACGCGGTGGCGCTGTCGGGAGAGGACGCTGGGGCTCCGGGCCGGGACCCGGGCAGTGACCCGGGCTCGAGGGTGGCGGGACATTGACGCCAAGCCGAGGCCTCGGGGCTCTTCGCAGCCACCTTGGGCCTGAGATCCTCTGCCTCACTCGGTGTTTCCCTAAGGAAAACGCGGCGGGTCGGGAGCGCCACCCGGGGCCCCAACCCCGGCAGCTCCGAGCTGGGGGCGGGGACGCAGCGGCGGCTCCTTCGGCGCTTCCTTTTCTTCCCCCACCCTTGCCTTGTTGTCCCGGTTTACAGTCGATTTCTACAAGTAAACTAGATTAGCAGGGCAGTCATTCTCTCGCAGCGTGGTTGCAGAAGGGGACCCACCTATTAAGTTCTGGGCTCTGCAAAAGAATGAAGGGCGCCCCGGGGGGCGTTGCCTGGTGTGGTAGGGTGGTGCTCCAGGCCGCAGGACCCTCCGTCTTCCCCGGTCCCCCGGCCCGCGGCCGCCGAAGGGACACCAGATCTCCCACCAACGACTCCCCCAGCTCTGAAACCTATCTCCTCGCTTTCTTCCCCCAGGGCAGGCAGTGCCCACACCCGACGCCCATCTCCTACCCCGGGAAGCCCAGTGCAGAAAGCTCCCCGTCCTCGCCTGAGGCAGCTCCTGGGCCGACCTTGGCAATTCCCTTCCCGCCCACCCGGCTCCTGAACGGTCGGCCCCACTAGCCCCAGACCCTCGGGCCTCTGGGGTGCTAGGCTCACCGCCTAGCGCAGACTCGTTGCCCACCATCCTTCCCCATCAGTCGTCCCTCTGAGGCGTATCTCTCTGCTCGGGCCGCAGGGGCTCATTCGCTTGGGGCCGGGAGGAGGACCTCCACAGTCTCTACCTCCGGCGGCCGACGGCTTCCTTCCCTCTCCGCCCCCGCCCAGACCCCCTGAGCTGCCGGGGGAGCCAGGAGTCATTTATCTTTGCCTGGCGCGGGTTGGGATTTGTCCGGCTCTGATGCCAACGAGGAAGGCGTGCGGATAACGAAGTAAGTGTCCCCCGCCCTGCGCTCCGGTCAGTCCCCAGACGCCCGGAGCACTCTGGGAAAGGGCTGAAGCCCACCCTGGGCGAACCGTCCTCCAAGGCGCGTCCCCCACTGGGGTATTCTGGCCCCTGGCTCTTGTCCTCTTGGCGCATCTGATTTCCAGTCTAAGCCCCTCGCGGTTATGCCGTCCGAGAAAGTGTTGGTCGCCAACTCTCCACGGACAGTCCGCGGCGGAAATTGGCTTCAGAGCTGGCGTGGGCTTCATTTGAAAGAAATGATTCCCTCCCGCCCTCCTCCCGCCCCCAGGAGGGCAAGCTCCAGGGGAAGAGGCAGGCCCGCTTGGGTTCCTAGAAGCCGTCGAAAGCTTTTGACGCGGGCGATTCCCATAGTTTTCCCTGCGTGTTCCAGGGTTGAGGGAAAACGCGGCGCAACTTTCCAGGGCTCTTTAAAAGGCAGGGTCTCTCTGCCTGGGTGACCGAACTTGAAAGCCATGGACCTTGGGGATGGATGCCGGGCCCTCAGAGCCCGGGATGGCCCAGGCGAGAGCCGAAGTCCCGCGCCCGGCACCCTGCACCCTCCACCCAGGCGCCCAGGCCTACGCTGTCCGGAGCGGGCCTCTAGGAAGGAAGGTTGACCAGGGTCGAAAGCACGCACAACAAAAACTTGGTGTCGACAAAGAGAAATCAAGAAACGTCATTAGAGTGCAGGCCATAAAAGAAGGCCTGACAGAGAGAAAAGGAGAGAAGATGGAAATAAGAAAAACCATACACCTTTAACACTAGCATATAAAGATCTATTGATTTTTAAAATAACAAATCCGTGTTTGTGAAAAACAGGCGGCCTTTTACTAAATTACATAAGGAAAACTTGGGAGGTGGGTGAAGAAAAGGGGAAAAGTCTGAGCAGATTCCCGACAAAAACGTCAGTTAGAAGGAAACTGAGGGATAAAAATGTCCCCCAGATGTGAACTCCATGTTTTGAGCATGGAAGCAAACTATCTCCTAATGCACAAAATGGGTTTTAGATAAAAGTATTTTTAAAAATCAAACGTAATTAAAACAACTCTTTTCTCGTGATTTTGTTTTAAAAAGTTTGGAAATAAACCTTTTGAGGGATACAAAACGAAACCAAACAAATATTCTTGAATCATCAGCAAATTTATTCATTTACTGTTTTAAACAATACAAAATTCTAGCGAAAGGTAAAACTATTAAAATATATCTTATTGTCGAAATTAAACCTGCTGGAAATAATCGCTTCAGTTGAAATAAGGTCAATACAAAAATTGTGCAGTAAAAAGCGTATGTAATTTGAAACAAAAAAGGCCTTTATTAGAGACAAAACTCGAGAGGACAAAAACCCACACCGGACATAGATCACAAAACTTCCTAGAACTCTCCTTTAAATCGGAAGAAATTTGTAAAATGTGATATGAAATACAACTCTACAAACATCCAAAATACATTTCTGGTCATAATTAATCGTATTTGACATTTTCCTCTAAGTTTAATGCAACTTTAAATAATTTAGGCTTTTTCCTAACATGATAGATTTTTTTCAGTATCAGAAATGGACAAGAGGAAACTCCAGTAAAGAGAAAAGCAATGAATTTAAAAGGGTGCAGAATCTGAAAACAAACTAACCACAATGTACATTTAATTGTACTTAATTGTATATTTCATTTAAATAGTCCTTCTCAGGGGTTTAATAATTTAGAATCAATAGTTCCCTTCAAAACATAATAAAATATTTACACTTTATAAAATATTAACCGATTAACAATACAGCCGTGTTGTTTATAAGAGTGTAACTGAAGTCCTGCAAATCATGCTGTTGACACAAGCCTGTGAGGTTAGCGAAGTGATCCTTAGCAAAATGTAAATGAAGATCTTCAGACAGTGGTGTTTATAAAATAGCTCATTAATGACTTAGGATTGAATCGCTCCAACCATTCGCATCATCAGATATAATAATAGTGACGAATCAGACAGGAAAGATCCTGGCTAAACCATTTGCATTTTTTTCCAGAAGTACTGAACTCCTAATATCACCAATTCTTCTAAGTTCCTGGACATTGATCCGGAGGAGGATTCGCAGTTCAACATCAAGGTAAGGAAGGATACAGCATTGTTATCGTTGTTGAGATATTAGTAAGAAATACGCCTTTCCCCATGTTGTAAACGGGCTAAGTTTGACAGTGGTAGTTGGCTTTTGCAACACCCCCTTCCCATTTCGACATATTACAGATTGAAGAAAAAGTTTGTTGCTCAAAACTTACAGTTTGTTTCTTTGCAGCCCCAAACCTTTTAGCTACCACCACGGGTTGATTTACTAGACCCATTTTTGCTCTCACCGACTTCGAACTGTGCATTTTCTCCCACTCTTTTGACTGGGGGTGGTATGCGGGGGGAGGATGGGGCTTGGTGAAGAAAACCAGGGAAAGGCAAACGCTGCCTAAAACTCCCAGGGTGGCTCCCCTAAGAATTGCTATCCTGCTTGTTTCTTTTCTCGGCTGGGATCCGACCGACTCCCAGGTCGCCTCGGACTTCTTTGGAACTTGGTGGGCGGCGCCTAGGTGCGGGGTTCGTGGTGATCTGGGCGCCGACACTTAGGCCGGGGGCAGGTTTCCTTCCTGGGACCCTTTCTCTTCCAGAGGCTCTCAAGCCTCTAAGCCCGTGCGCATGCCGCCTACCAGGTAGATGCGGCGAGGGCGAGTGGAAGGCAGCCTTGTCCCGGGCACGATCGGCGGACTCAGCTTTTCGCAGTCTCTGCTCCCAGCAGGGATTTACAGAACTGCTCCCGAGAGCGTTTCCCGAAACCGAACTTAGTTTGGCCCTCTGGCGCCGCCGTACAGTCAACGCTTCTTAAGGGGGATCGGTGGCTCTTGCTGCGGGAGATGTGGGAGAGCCCTCGGGGTCCTGGGGATTAGGAGGGAGAGTCAACGTGTGCGGGAGGGACATGAGGTGCAACCAGTTGAGGGGGGATTCTCTGGCCTCAGGGCCGGCGGGGATGCGTCCACATTTTCTCGCCTAAGGTCCTAGCGGCTAATGTCCGCCGACGCCCCGGGTATCTCGCGGGGGCTGCGGCCCCTGCCCACGTGCTTTTCCTTAAGGAGGCAGCGCGCCCAAGCGGAATCGCAGGGACAAAAGCGCGGCCAGAGGCCAGCCTGCTCGGCTAGTGCCCGCGCCACCTTAAATGAGCACCGCGGCCGGAGTCGGGCTGCCGGCGGCCGCGGCCGCGGGAGTCGGCAAAAGTTTGTGGCTCTGTTACGCCTTCGCGGGACCTGCTGGGGACGCTCCTGTGCGGCCTCCCCCCGGGCGGGGAGGCCGGGTCCTCAGGGCACAGCTCTGTTGGCGCCAGCAGCCCTGGGCTCGAGCAGCTTGGGGTCCCCAGGAGCCCCAGTCCTGTAGCCCGAGGACAGGCAGCCCCACCGCCCTCGCCGCCACCGCGTCACGGGCTCCAGGCGGCCCGGTTTGCACCGCTCGCGATGTCGCCGGAGCGGCGAGCGCTCCAGCGATGCCATCCAGGGATGCACCCCGCTCTGCATCCACCACGCAACCCCCATTCCTGTGCCACCCACAGCCCGGCGGGCAGTGGCCGTGCTCCTGGCATTCGGGACACCCCGACTATTGTTCCGGACTCGCGGCCGTGCCAGCTTTGAAGGAGAAGCGGCCTTCCCTGCGCGCGCGGCGGCACGAAGCGCGGCGGGCCGGGACGTTCGGCTCGGCGCGGAGGGGGAGCTCGCAGGCACCGGGAAAAGTTGCTCGGAGGGGCGGAGGCGGTGGGTGGTGGGCGGAGGCGGTGGGTGGGGGAGGCGATCGCCCTCCTATCTCCAAAGTCGAAAGTACTCCGCGCAGTTAACAGAGCTGGGAGCCGAGGCAGCCGCGGTCGCCTCTTGCGCGTCGGTCTGCGTCTCCGCCGGCAGACGCGGCACCCAGCGACTGCCTTGTCGCCGCCGCCTCCGCGCCGGGACGAGTGCGCCTAGGGGCTGGGCGAGGCGGCCGCGCCCTGGACCCGCCACAAGGAGGAGGACCAGACCCTGGGCCCCGGTGCCCGCCTGCGCCCAGACGCACCCACCCGCTGGCCGCGGCCACCGCCTCGCGCCGCACTCGGTTCTCTGCCATCGGTCCTTCGCCGCCTCGTGCATGAGGTCCTCGTCACCCCGCTCCGACCGCCGACTCTCCCCTTCCTCTTCCCTCCTCCCTGCCTCCCACCCGCCCCTCGCCTGTCCCTCTGCCTCCTTCGCAGCCCCGCCGCCGTTGGGTCGCCGTGCTCACAGCGATTGATTGATTGATGTTTAATTTCCTGCCAGGCGGGGCCCCCCTCCCCCCGCAACCTCCCCAGCCCTCCTCCCCGCCCCCCACTCCCCTCTTTTCTTGCGGTGGACCAGTCTGGCTTGGGTTTAGATCCATCCCCCCCACCCCCATCCCGAAATAATCCAGAGACTTCCCCTACCCCCACCCCAAATTATTATTTTGAAGGCGCTAGATCTGGGGACCGAAAGGGGGAGGGGGAGAAATCGGAAACCGAGGACAACCCAAAAGGACTCACTTTGCCTGATGACTCAACGCAACTAATAATCATCTCCCTCTCAGTGTGTCTCTCTCTGCGGCTTGTCAGTGAGTCCGGCTCTGGCTGCTGGCAGAGGCGGCCGAGAGGGGAGAGGCTGGAGGTGACAGCTTGGGCGGCCGCCGCGTTTCCTCCCGCGCGCGGTCCCGGGTCCCTGCGTCTTCTCGGCTCTTGGTGTTACCGGTCCCACCGCTCTGGCCGCGCCTCCTCGCGAGCTAGCCGCCCTGCGAACCAGCAGCCCCGGCTCGCCGCCGCCGCCGCCGCCTCCGGGTTCTCAGCCCTTTCTCTCCAGAACGGGTCTCCTTCCCGAAGGTGTGAAAAGGCTCTTTCAGCCTCCTTCTCTTCCCCCCTCCTCCGCCGTCCCCTCCCCCGCTCGCTCGGGTGTCCCTTTGGAGGAGTCCTTTCCCTCTCCTCCTCCTCCCCCTCCTCCCTCCCCCCATCATCATCATAACAACCATCTCCGCACCAGAAGAAGACACCCTGACCCAGGACCTTAAACATTAGGACCTGGGGAAGAGGGAAGGGGAAGGAGTAAAGAGGAAGACTAGGAGAACACTGCAAAGCCAAGCACCAGAAACTTTCCACCCTGGATTCTCTACTTTTGCTCCATGGACAGAGCCCCAGTCAGCCAAGTTTCAGACAGACCGTGAGCAGTAAGTACGCAGGGCGAGGGCTCCCGCGCCGCGCTCGGGAGTTCGGGGAAGCCCAGGGCCAACGAAGTCCCCTCCCCGCCGCTCTCGGCCTCTCGGACCGCGAAGTCGGGGAATGCAGGCGGAAGCCTCGCCCTCAGCCCTCCTGCTCCGTGTCTTCATCTCGCATCCTTCCTTTCACCTCCCCCTGCCACCCCCACCTTGTCTCCTTGACCCGTGGCGCCGACACTGCTCGCGCGGCCAGAGCGCCCACGAGGATTCCCAGCGCGCACGCAGTACGGTGCCGGGGTCTTGCTTCTTGCGGGTGTCAGTGACAACGCGAGCGCCGTTTCATCAGGTGTTTCCCCTCCTTCCCCGCCCCCCCCCACCCCCCCAATCCAGGGGTGTCGAGACCTGCGGCTTCCGTGGGGAGCGCACTGCCAACCTAGTGACCCAGAGGAAAACTTTCTGGAGCGATGTTAAAATTGGGGCGGATGAAGGCTGCTCTTGCACTAAGAATTCAAATGCTTTTTGCTTTTGTGTTTTATATTGAAGAGCTTTAAAAAAGCACTGGGGATCAGATGAAGATAAGAACGCTCCAAAATAATAACGATTGTAGCGCCCGCCTTTGTGATGGAGGTTATTCTGATAAATACCTCCAAGTGTTTTCGGATGCTTATTAATGTGGAATTAGGGTTGATTTTATGCAGGTGTGTGCTTATCTCAGGACTTGCTCCGTATAGGTAAAAAGCGGGTATTCAAGGGGTTCTTTCGCCCGGCCTTTGGCTCCTGCCTGGCCATTCACAGCGCATTTACCGGGTGGTTAATTCGGTTATGGACTTGCGCACACCCCCAACTCCCTTCCCATGTGGGTGGAACGTCTTTTTCTGAAGTTCACTTATTCCGCAACCCTGACCCCGGGACGGGCTAGGCTGTAGCACCCAGGAACGGTTTATGCCAACCCCGTCCCAATGAATGGACCACTTCTAGGCGCCCCTGGGTGCCAACCCCGGCCGCGACCCCGAGGGCTGACTTCTGGGGAGCTGCGACTGGGCAGAGTCGCCGAACCGAGGCGCTGGGCTTCCTGGGGGCCGCCCAGTGTAAGGTTGGGACCGGCTTCCCGGCTCGGGCCCCTCGGGCAGCGTGGGAGGAAGTTTGTGTGGCTGTGGTGCAGCGCTCTGCCACTGGCCTGAACGTCTATCACGTGTATGAGCGGTTTTCCCTCTTTTTTCTCCCTCCCCCTTCCTCCCCCCACCCCCTCCCTAGGTCCCTGTGCGTTTTATTGCGACCTGCCGGTGGGAACTTTGTCTCCGAGTCGGAGCAGCATGGAGCGGCGGAGCGAGAGCCCGTGTCTGCGGGACAGCCCCGACCGGCGGAGCGGCAGCCCGGACGTCAAGGGGCCTCCCCCAGTGAAGGTGGCCCGGCTGGAGCAGAACGGCAGCCCCATGGGAGCCCGCGGGAGGCCCAACGGCGCCGTGGCCAAGGCCGTGGGAGGTAACAGCCCGGAGCAGGGAGGCGCGCAGCCCGCGGCCCAGTGATAATGGCCCGGGTGTCAGGGTTCAGGTTGATTAGGCGCTGTCGCGGTGTAGGATTACAGGAAGTGAATTCCAGGTTGCCAAATAATGCCCCCGTCGCCTCTCATCTGCAACTGGTAGCTTCATCTCCAGTTAAAACAAGAAAGTGGTTTTACCCAGAGGGTGGCATTTTTTGGGCATTTTGCCACTGTGTGCTGAGGTGTTGGCAGGTTTATGTCACAGCCAGCTAACTGTTTCTAGATTTTCCTAGAGAGCTTTTTAGTGATTTAACTCTTTTGCCTTGCCTCGGAGTGTCTGTTGTAGGGATGAAGTTCACGTGCGTTCGCTTTTAGGGAATAAAATAGTCATTAATGCTCAGGCGAGTACAGGAACAAGGAGAGTTGATGTTACTTTGTAGTGAGGACAGTGCTTCAAGACAGATGAATGACAACTGGGAATATTTCCTGCCACGTGAAATGTGGGAAATAAAGAATCACCATGAATCCATCAGGCCCTTAGAAGCTTAAATGCTGCTGTTGTCTATAAAGTTTAGTCATATGCATTCGTAACTTTATTATGAATTATAGGAGAACAGATAAAAATAGCAAAGTAGCCTTATCAACTAGATGTAGTTTCCCCTCCAAAGAATTTATTAATAATTTTATTTAAAGAAAATCTTTTGTAGTTTTTACTACTTAAGCAACTACTTTCTTTTAAAGTGGTCAGGAAAAGCAATCATACAAAATAAAGATATGGGAGAAATTTAAACATTGAAATATTTTGGAGTTTGTATGCCATTTGCTTAGTTGTCTTTTACATGTAAAATCCACAATTCCACATGGCATGCAGGTTTTCTGTGTGTTTGGCATAAATCACTAGTTTAATTTTTTTTGCCTCTAACGTTTTTTCTCTAATAATTTCAACAGTAGCCCATTTAATATTCAATATATTAACTTGTCTTAAATGATATAAAACCTTGGCAAACCTTAATGATAAGCTCCCACCCCCTTGTTGTAAGTGTCTATTGTGTGTATTTCAAAATAGTTACTTACATCTAAAAATGTTCATTCCTCCTTAAAGAGTTGAACACATACGTTTTATAAAATCGTATTTTTTTCTTTTTACTTATTTTGCTATTTCTATTTCTTCATGGTAAATACTTAGGATGGTTTGTCTCAGTCTTTCATATTAATCGTCTCACTTGAGAAGTATTCATCCTTTCAATGTTGTGAGTTAAAAAGTTTGGTGATGGATTCTGGCTTGTTTATCTCCCCTTTTTGGGACTTGAAAATATACTTTATTGAAGCAAAAGAAAACAGTTCTGTGACCCACTTTTTAAAAGAGAGGTTTATTAATTTGTTGTCCTGATACTGGAGCAAATAATGTCAGACTTTTGGCATAATCAGTTAGTATATGCATATAAGAAATAAAAATTCATAGAGTATGATGGTACCAATTATGAGATATGCTAAGTGCTGAAAATGTTTGAAAAAGTTCTGAAACTCCTTGGAGACAGTGTGTTCCAAAGTGGCCTTTGTGGACAGAAAAGGCTTGGACTTAAAATTTTGGTATCTTTCTGAAGATCTAATAAAATTCACTAAATTGAAAGGAGCTGTAAACATTTTAGAATGTAATTGTTAACAACGTGCTTCCCTAAAACAAGTTTTTTCCCCTCCTCTATATCATGTTGAACTATGAAAGAAAGTGCCTTGTTCTGTTGACCAGGGATAACTTTAGTGTTAAATAGTGGTTGGTTTTCAAATTTTCTGAGACTATAGTTCACATTTGAGCCCTTATGTGTTTAATATAAACTAAAATTATTATCTTGGTGAAGAATAATAGATTTGTTTCAACCAGCTGCCTTAGACACTTTCTCTTGATTAACTTAATTTAGTAATAGCAGAGGTCTTATTAGCTGCTTCCCAAATTGAAAATAAAGATGACATTATTTTGTCTCAATACATATCGTTTATAATACACGATAGTAAACTGGTTAAAATTGTTTAGTGGAATTTAAATTTTTTTAAAAAAGACAGCATAATAGTGTGTAAAGAGATTAATTTAGACAACTTTAGAATATAACAACTTAGAAGATAAGATTTTGATAGTACAAAGGTTTCTAATTGAATGTTAACAAAATTATGAGTTTAAGTTTATATAATTTCCAAATGTATGTTAAGATGTTAATAGTTTCTTTGTAACTGTTAACCATGTATACAGTTTGGAGCAAAGCCAGGCCTTTTGAAAAATGCACATTCTAAATTTTAAAAAATGTTTAAAATACATTTCTAGTTAGTTTTTTTATAATTAAAGGATTTTTTTGAACATAGAGTAAATATAAAGTAGATTATATTTCTACCATTCTATGTTCTTTTGTTTAAATTTTCTTTATAAAGCAATATAATAAGCATAGATAACTACACAAGTATTTATAGCTCTGTATCATTTATTACCGTTTTCAGATATATTGCAGTCTTTTCAATGGTGTAATGATGGATACAATAAAATTTGTCTTAAAAGTGGAGCCAAAAATTTGGGAGTACATATTTGTTAATCTTTAGTGTTCCTCTTTCTTAAAAGCTGTTCTTTTAAAAATAAGGGAGATCAAGTTAATTGGTTGTCAAATCAAATAGCAATTTATCTTACTGTTTTTGATAAGCAGTGAGGTAAATATAGTTTAAATATACTTCTGAATGCATTGGTTGCAGTAATAAATTCTGCTGTTACTCTACTTATTTAGGTAGAGGGAATTTACTGTGTTTTTTGATGAGAACTAAGTATTCATAAAAGAAGGGGCATTACTTTAGTGTCTCAATTTAAATAGAAGAGAGGGTAGATACACTGTCACTGTCTTTAAGGTTGTGTTTTAACAGGGGACTTAAAAGTGGATTGTTTACTATGTGGTTAGCTTTAGAAGACTGTTAGAAACTAGATGTTTTGCTTTGTCTTTCCAACACTTTCTGGGATGTTTTTACTCTTATCTGAGCAGTGTGTTTTAAAGCATGTATGTAATAAAATGTAAGTGCTCAGATGTGTATGTCAGTCAGCTTTTACAGACGGTCCTTAGGAAAAAAAAAAGGCTAATATCTCTTTAAAAAACATATGAAGGCTAGGAGAGAGTTTAGAGCTAGCAAGAGCACCATGGTGTTGACAGCTTTATATCCCTGCTGGGTAACATTCACTTACTAGAATTGGCGTCCCCTCTCAGCTAGTAATTCACTCCATAAGGATTTTGAAAAAGGATGATTAATGGTGGGGAAATTTATATTTGTGAAATTGTTGATTAAAACTTACAGATCTATTTGAAGATTTAGGAAAAGAAGGGATTATTAAGGATGATGAAAATAAGAATCAGATGATCCTTTTTACCACTATTAGCATAAGTACCTAAAATGTTCTGCTGTATGGAATGCTTCAGCCATGCAACTTACAGCATAAAATGAAAGTGATGCCAATCAAGTTTCCAGAGGAAGCAAGGCATTCTGCTTTTCTCCTGGACTGCTGAAAGGTGCTGGCCAGTTGTGCTTTAATAGCAATAAATTATTGTGCTTCATTCATTGTTAACACAAGCATTTTCATTTTTTAATGTTTGGCTTAAAGAAGAACTTTCAGACAGCTTTATTTAAACTGAATGAACAGCGCTTGAATATACCAGATGGTGTATTTGCTGATAGGAGACATTAAACATCAGAAATCTTTTTGATATTTTTCATTTTCCTATGAATTTTTATGATTTTTTGGTGTTAAATGTTCTACATTTTAGGGAAAAATATTTAAACATTGAAAATATCTTTTAGAGAGATTTGCTTTTTTTATTAAAAAAACTTGCTTATTTCTGAAAAATAATTTATGTTTTATAAATAACAATTTAATTTTGTTGGCATACTGTCTGTTAAAGTTATCTTATAACTAGTCTACCTGAAGTAGACCTATTCGTGCTACCAGGCAGCCCTTTCAAGAACATAACTGTCTTGTTGCAAGGGGGAAAAAAATCATTATGCAGTACACACTGATGTATTCAAATAGGGAAGCAAATGTGATCAAGATTGTTAGTCAGGGCCTCATTTAAAGCTGAACATTGTCTACAACAACAGTTAGTTTAATTGTCTACATGTGGAACACTTCCTTTTAGATGAAAAGAAATGCAGTTCGGGTCAGGTGTAGTCACCATATCAGCAACAGTAGAGAGACATTTAACTTTTTGAAAGGAATGCAGATATGAAAGTATAGATAGGTATATATTGAGATTATAAAATACTTAGAAATATATTGTTAACATGGGCAAAATGGAGAAAACTCCATTCCCAAGGATGAATATCATAATATTTGTAGGAAGTACACATTACTTCAAAAGAGAAAAGATTGTATTTCTCCCTCCTCACTTTTTTTTTTTTTTTTTAAGGTTTTAAGATCTTTTAAATAGAATGAACTTAGGCTTTGGGGTCATCCAACAATCTAGCCTGTCCTCTGTAGTTTTGCTGAGGTAGAAAAATAACTCTTCTCTAAAGTGTTTTTAGTTCTTGGCCTGTTATTAAAATAAAGATATACTTGGTTAAAAAAATATATGCAGTGGAACATACACATTAAACAGAACATAGGGTATCCGCCCCTCAAAGTCCTGAGCATAATTTGATGTTTCAAGTAATTTTGGAAGCCTTATGTTCCATCAGAAGAAACCCACTGACCATTGTATACTCAAGATCATCTGTAGTGCAGTGTGTGTGTGTGTGTGTGTGTGTGTGTGTGTGTGTGTGTGTTGGAACTACATAGATGTCCCTTAAGGCATCTGTTTTTTAACCCCTGCAGAAAATAAGCAATATCATCCTTTCCCAGAGGGTTGTAACCAGCAAAGTCTGTACATATGAGATATCCTGTTTGAATTCTTCTTTTCTTTCTTGAATTTTGTTTTAACCAATCTATCTCTGTAGAGAAGGGAAAACAGACTAATCATCATTTATTAGATAGCTAAGAATATGAATTTGAGTCATTTTAAGTATACGGAAATCAGTTTTATTCCAGGAAAGACTACAGTAATTATTTGGTATATCTGACAAAGTAGTAAGCAGTGAAGTTTGATGGTTATAATTTAAAACCCCTATTTTTCTTTCTTTTTAAAAAGTATTTATTATAGAATCAGCATATGTGTATATATTTAAAAAGACATGTTAAATTTACAGGGCTAGATGAATTCCAAATAGTATTATTTTCTTGGGTTATACTTATCTTTTAAAGCTTTTTAGGTTTCTGTTGGAATAAAATTTCTCACCATTAAAATGTTTCTTATGACTAAGAACCCACATTAGGTGTGTAAAATATGTACATTGTTTTATTTCAGAAAGCCAAACTTTATCCTATATAGCATGTAAATTAATAAAGAATTCTTTATATTGTTTAATCAGTAGGCTTTTAAAAAACCTATATAACTAATATATGGTAACATAGTAATTTTTACTATCTTCCTTACATGAATACTGAGATACAATGGCATTTTGGAACATATTTAAAGATGGAGCATTTGACAAAAGTTGTATGTGTAACAGTTTGTCAGTGAAAAGTGACAAGTGGGAAATGACAAATGAAATGTTGGCATCATCACTCTTTATTTTGATAAAAATGTCTCAATTTGCAGTGATATAATACTGTTTCATATTATTTCATGAGTTGTGTGAGAATGCATAAGGGGAATTTAGATTTTGTGAACGGAAAATTAGCAGCCCAAAGTCTCTTTTCAGAAGCTTTGGCAGCAAGTTCCCCGTCTCCCCCACTCCCCAAGAATAAGAACAGCAGTGAAATGTTGGATCTAACCCATACATTTTAACTCATTATTTTTTGGAAAAAACAGAGAAATAACCTAAAATGGTTTCGAGTAGGAGACCTTTATGCTTAACTCAAAAAAATGAAGAAAAGAGTTTGCCTTTTAGTTTCTATTCTTTTCTTTGTAGCAATTTTTAAATGAATGATTTGCCTCTACTGACTTTGATTGTATGGTCTTTTTTCACTTCCAATCAACACTGCTCTCCAGCATTAATTTAGGGTGCCAGTAAGGAGAGCTGTGAATTCCTGTTATTTTAAAATGCAATAGAGGTTTTGAAAATGTCTGTGGTGAAAATGGATTTTTATATACAAAAGATTCATCATCCTACTACTTAAATGTAATGTGATAAATATTTCAAAGTCAAAGTAGATGCCCTGAGTGGAACTGAGGTATGACTAAAACAAAAACCAGTTGAGGACTTACAGAGTTTGAAAAAAGCACAGTTGTAGTCATTATAGTATGCTATTTTCCGTTGCTCTTTATTGTTAGCAATTAACCAAACATTATTTTTCTTCTTTTATGTAGAAACAAGCCCTGTAAGCATAACATGCTACAGTGTTTTTGTAAAAATGTTCCATGGTGGAGTTTTCAAAATTATGGAACTCTAGCTATATATATTTGTTTCAATTAACAGAATTATTTTGCTTTTTAGTAGCAAGTGATTTAAGAATTGTGGTAAAATCAGTATAATTAAGTGGCACTGAAAGGCTACATCAGAAATTGCATTCTACAACTTCTGTATCTTTGCTGCTCAATTAAAAAGTTTTACTTATTTCAGATTTTTAAAAAACTAGATAAAAAGACATAATATGGAACAAGTGTGCTTTAGATATATAATTATGACAATAGAGTTTATGGCATGCATTTTTTTTCCCCTTTTTAATTGATGTCCTTTAACTTAAACAAGTGGATGTTATGGTTATTAGTTTGACAAATGCCTAAAATGCAGATAAAAGCATGAATAGAAATTTTAAGAATTTGAAACTTGCAATAAAGTTATCAGCAAACTATGTCAGTTTTATAGTAAGCATATTCTTTATTAATGATTATGACACATAGGACAGGAAAACCTTCTGGGGAAATATATTTCAATTTTAGTTGCTCCTGGTACTGTTACTCACTAATAGTGTGTGGGCAGATTCAGTTCTGCTCTTACCTAGTAGCCGTATCATTGGAATGGAGTTCTATCGTAGTACAGTTGGTTATTAAACTGTAAAATAACAAAAAAGATCAAAAAATTAAGGGGAGGCACTGCAAGCTACTATTTATCAAAAGGGATCCATTTCAAACCAGGGTAACTGGTGCCCACTGATGGTTGCACAGTTACTGAAATGTGCACAGCAGCTCAGTGTCTTTCTTTTGTTTATTTGACTGAAGACTTACACAGATATTTATGTATATAATATATAAAATAAGAGACTCTAGTTAGAGCAAATGTTTTCCAAAGTGCTAAGATCTGACAGAGGTGATTTGCAGGGGTTTGTCGTAGAAACAGCGTGAATTTCATCACGTTAACCACATATATCTTTTTCTTTCTTTAAAAAATACTTTTTACTTGTTTTTGCATTTGGCTGGAAAGCAAGTGTATCAGTTCTTTCATAACTGATTGTGATTGATTTTTTTTTTAACACAAGAAAATATTTTCTTTGCAAAGAGAGCAAATTTGATTGGATGCCATGCCCAAGACTCCTGGGAAAGGACCAAAGGACCAAAGGCATAAAGTAAAAATAACTGTATTTTTAGATTTCCCAATTATGTCCTATATTAAAATTGAGTACTTTTATTGCATTTGTTTCAATTATTATTACATATAAGGAAAGGCAAAATTGATATATTTAATAGCTTACTGACGATGCATTCATATCAAAACACTTGAAATAGCAATAGCATTTTTGAAATATTATTTTTTGGGGGTTAACAGAACAAGAACTTTCTTTTGTCATAATCCAAAGATGCTAACAGAGCAGCATGATAAATGTCTCTTTAAGTGTCGTAGTAAAAGAAAATGACTTGTCTTCTGAGGCAGTGGAGAGTTTATGTTGTTTTGGACCCATTTCCCAAGCAGTGATCGAAAACAGATTACAATAACAATTATACAGTCAGAAGATGCAATATCCATTTCTGCTTTAATTGAGTGAAAGAATAATAAAAACATCATTAAGAAAAATGAGGTGGACCTGTCACACAATGTACAAATTTTTAGTCTTGGAGAAGATGCAGAAAAACTGAAGTGCTTTTCGCATACTTTGTTGTGTTTATTAGCTAAAATCTGTTTTAGGGAGAGACCATTTGGCTCTCATTCTTCCCTGGGAAGTTCAAAGAGGAGCCCATGGAAAGTGGTTGCCCAGGAGACATTACAAATGACCATTGACTTTGTCTTCATACACAGTTTGACCAGGAAAATCCCATTTTCTTAAATTCTACCTGAGGTGGAACTACTCTCTCCCCCTCCTTTTTTTTTGTCTCTGTAAATGGAAGTCAGAAGTAATGAATGTTCCTCTTGTTACAAAGCCCAGCCAAGTAAGGGTTAGATGGGGTTCCTAGGCCTGCTGTTCTTCCTCTTCCCAAAGTCCAAACTAGGCTGAAGGGGAGAGAGTTGAGGCTGAATAATGAGCACCCTCATTTCTTCTCAGCACACACCGGGGTAACCTGAGTTGCTCTGTGGGCACATCACCTGAGGTGTACTCACCTGACTGTCACCTGAAATGCAGAGGCTCTTGCTTCGACCTGCAATCCTCTGAATTATGAAATCGATGTCCTTAACATTGCTGAGACTCTGGCTCTCATTCCACAGAGCTATGCTTTCAGCAACTCCGAATGAACCGCCAGGCAGCAGGGGCTGCCTGGGGCTCGTTTTGCCTCACTCTGGGCTGTATTTGTTACTCTATTAATAGAAACTGTGAGCTCCTGAAGAAACCTAGGTGGTGACGGTGGAGTTCACCCGGGAACCTTGACTTAGGGTGGGGATACCTGAGGTGGGGATAACTCGGGTTACCCCCATGTGTGGTGGGGATACTAAAACTGCAGATAATGTCGGCCATCAGAGTAGTCAGAGCTCCAGGTTTTACTCAGTTGACAGACTTAGGGGGGAATATTTCTTTCATCTGTCGCTGAGTTTCTTGGATTTAATATTTAAAAACCTTCCTGAGGTGACAAAATGAAAGAAACAAGATAGGCAGTACATCCTCCTGGTGGAGGTCTCATAATTTCAGAACTCTCCCGAGCATTTATCATCCCTTTTAGAGTGGGATGTATATCAAACAGCCCCAAAAAAGCTTTTTTAAAAAAGTTATTTAATCCATAGAGCCTAGTTAATAGTGCCTTCATTAAAATGCTTTTGTCAGCAAAGGGTTTTCAGTTTTAACATTTGCGTAACCTAACAGTGTTGATGAAGGCCATGAGCTTTAAGGGTCTATTAGTGGTTCCGTTTCTTCTGGACTTTATAATTTAAACCTAAACATTAATTCTGGGTGGAACTTGGCATAATGTCTTTTTGCCTTGGAAGGAATTTTTGTTGTACAATTAAAAGAAAGTGTTTTGGTTTTTTTTTCATACGATCACCTTCTCCATGTCCCTCTTCCCCAAGTAAACAGCAATTAAATAGTCAAGGTTTTAAAAGGGTTTCTTTAGTTTAAAAAAAGGAGTAGTTATTTTAGGTGAATTTAACAATTTTCCATTAGTTCACATTGCAAAATAGTGCTTTGGTATTAACAAGGAAGTTCTGTGAGGCTGATAATGTAGTGAAAATATTTTTCTTTTCTGTCCCTCTCCCCTGTATACAAGAAAACCCTGTGGTAAAATTTTTTAATAAAACCATTTTGCATGACAGTTGAAACTTATAAATCAGTTGCTATTCTTCTTTATTAGAAGCTGAGAGACAAACATGTTTTAAGTTTTTTGTCACCTGTAATTGTAACATTGACTAGAAAGGAAGAAATTGGAATCTTAATATTAAGTCATTACGTGACTGAATTTTTCAGTATTGTTTATTTTGGAAAATAAACTGTGATCCTTAATATGATCTTTTTGATGTATTAATACTATGTTAAAGTTGAGTTATTATAGGAATCTAATTACATGTTAAGTGGGAAATTAGAAAGCACTAAAGAAACCTTGCAATGATAAATTGTCTTCATCCGAAAACCAGAAGGTATTCAGAGTGAAGGTGCCTGTCAGGAGAGAAGCATTCCTAGAGTCTCCATTCAGACATCTCCATTCAGATGTTGCCCTTTAGATTTGGGAAATGTGGTATTAGAACACCCCAAACCCTTTAGTATCGACGGAGTATAAGAAGAGCAAATTGTTCCCTGAATAGGAAGTTATTACACCTTTAATAACCAGGTAAAGTCACTTTACAAGGGTAAATAAGGTGATCCTGACTTTTTTCCTTCTCAAATGAATCTCTAGGTAATATGCAGCAAAACTACCTCTATTTACAGCCTCTTTCATATGGCAAGTTTGAGCCTTAAGCACGTTTTTACAGCTAACTTATAAACTCCCCCAAAACTGGGGCTTACCATTGAAAGTCTGCCAACACTGTTACAAATGGTCATTAGTTCCCAAGAAACTTTGAGGAGGAAAAGAACTGTATGAAAATGCCGTGACTTTAGTAAGAACCATTTTGTTTCATGTGTATTTTTTGCTGCCATGGCAGAACTGGGGACTGACCTGCATGTTCAGGATTGATACTGAACATTCTCCTGTGGAAATGTATAGGATTCCAATTAGCGCAGGGTCAGAGCATAAATGTACCTCTTTTTTCACACTGTTCCAGGTGGTTAGTGGGAAACAAGCTGCAAAGTAATTCCCTTGGCCCCCCAATAAAAAGATTTATAGCAAAATAATTCTCAGCTCCATAACGGGACTGTTGTAGGTTTGTGTTTGATATTTGTAGGACTGAAATACAGTCCATGTACCCAAACTAAGCATTTATTGTAAACAAGTTAACTGCCAAGAGCTTATATTCTGTCAAACATAATTATATTGAAGATTGATGTATAGCTTGAAAGTGAGTTTGTGGGAGACAGTTCTTTTTAACCAAGGCAGGCTTCTGAGATGCAGCTCTCTTCTTCCTTTGCTAGAATGACTCAGTAAAGCCATCTTTCTCGCCGCCAGCCTCTCATATATAGAATAAACACAGGCTTGCTCTTTGAAAACATAGCTGTTTGTCGATCCTATTTGTGTTAACAAAATAAATGAACTTATAGAAACTGTCATGTATAGTTTCTTCTATCATCTCCATCTAGATGTAGCGTGATGGTGCCAAGATAAAATAGTAGCTCTTACCTCTTGGGTGATACTCGAGTTCACCCACAAACTTTAAACGTATACTATTAAGTTAACCCCAGATGAAATTCTTTCCTCCTTCAATATGGAGTTTGAAATAATGTTTGACTTGTGTTTCTGTTATTTTGTATTGGGCTTGTCAGAATAGAACTGTTTTGAAACTGGCTTTCTAGGGGGAGGGGGACAACACCAATACCTTTATTTTGTGGCTCAGAAATTATTAATATTTTATCCTTAAATAATTTATGAACCAAGGACTCTAGGGAAAATGAAATCTTTTTGAGATTAAGGTGTTAATACTTGGAATTACTCCCAATTTAAAATGCTGCAGTAGTCTTCCAGGGTTTTTGCTTTGAGGAAGGTAGACTCTTACATTTTATTTAGGGTAAAAGATTTCTCACTTTTTTGTCCAGGAGACAAATCACTTTAGGCTTTGATAACACTTCTCAAAGGCAGTAAAAAGTGGAATAACTCTTTCATTGGCTGGGTGATAGCCTTTGGATAAACATATTCAGGATGAACATAAGGTTTCCAAGAGATTTATATGCAGAGACTTAAATAGTCTCTTTCATTTTTAAAATATTTATTTTAATATTTTATTTTGGAAATTATATAAATTATAAAGAGGATGTATTAGAACCATAAAGTGAAAAAAATGCTAGTTTTCTCTGTTCTGTTTTTCTGATTAATTTCTATAAATTACACAGGCACTACATATATACTTAAAATATTTTGTCTGGGAAGTATTCCATCAGACCCTGGTTTCCCTGGTCTGTAGGCTGGGTTTTATTAACTTGATCTGAGTCACAATAATAATATCCTATGTATTGCAAACCAGAGATCTCAGTCAGATCCCCTAAGGGGACTGGAGAATACACACTATGATTTTGACTTTCTTGCTCTTTCTCCCTCTTGCTTTTTTTTCTCTTTCTCCTTTCAGCGTTAGCCCTTTCACCAGCTTGGTTGTTATTGAGTCTTGATGGATGCATTTGTTGAATATAAGAATGAGAGTGGCTTTTAATGGCTGAGAAATGGTGGTGGTAGTTGCCTGTCTGCTTAAGCTCGGCTTTGTGAAATCTGCATTCATTGCACAGTGTTGCTTTCTACACATCTATTAAGTATCCGTAAATGTTTTGCTGTTTGAACTCTAAACATAGACAGTAGGATTTTCTTTTTGTGAGGGAGAAAGCCTTTTTTTTTTTTTTTTTGCTATAACTTTACTTTTCAGTTTTTATTTGATAAAAATCTCTCCATTCTAGTATGATTTCCTTTGAGGCTCTGCACCAGTGTTTGATCTCAATTTTTAATAATTTTTGTGAGTTAAACTCCCCAAAGAAAACATGCTTGTGCTATGAAATATTCCCACTAGAAATCTGGGTAGTCTTGTCTTATTGAGAGCTGAGCACTTGATTCCTTTATTAATTCCTTTCAAGAGGACCTCAGTACTGTTAACCTTTCCTTAACACTACACTGGAGAAATTAATCAAGCTGTTTTTTTTTAATTGTTTGAATTAGATAAAATAACATTTAGGCAGAGCTCAAAACCTGAAGTAAATGTTAGTATAAGGACAATTTTCATTGACTCCTTTTTTGATGCATGGGACTCTGAGTTGCAAATAGCTTTTCCAGAGAGGATGATGAGAATAAGGTGGGGAGGTGAATCGATCTCTGCTTAAATACTATTTTCGACAGAGTGAGACTCTGTCTCAAAAAAAAAAAAAAAAAATTCTCAGAAACCTCCAGAATGAAATTTTACTTAACAAAGGACAGAAACCCTAGCATTCATAAATTATGGTAGAGTCATTTTTAACATGTGGTCGAGTCTCAGGACTTATACATATATGCATTTTTAACCTATCGTAAAAAGAACCTGAAGAATTTAGGCTTGAACTAAGGATACTTCAACAATATGCCATACCCTTGAACTTTTCTGTTATATTCAAACTTGTATATCCTGTTTTTTTCCTTTCTATTTTTAAAAGTTATTTAATTATTTATTTTAGAGATGGATCTGGCTCTGTAACTCTGGCTGGAGTGCAGTGGTGAGATCATTGCTCACTGTAGCCTCGAACTCCTAAGCTCAACTGATCCTTCCACTTCAGCCTTCCAAGTAGCTGGGTTTAACAGGCTCTGGCCACTGTGCCCGGCTCTTTTGTCCTTATAACATTTTTTGTTGTTGTTTTTTAAATTCTAGGATCATTAAACATTTTGTCTTTCTGTAGTTACTAAATTTAGAAAAGATACTGTAGTCTTTCAGTGCAGGACATGGGTAGGACTGCCGACAAGACCCCCGTGGCTCTAGGGTGTATACAGAGCATGGTGCAGCATGCCACTTTGTTACGCACCCATCCATGCGATGCCCGTGGTGATACCCTGACAAGTTCTGTCAATAGTGGTCACGCACAGCGCTGTGATCTGGCCAACATCCCCTGGACAACATGGAGCAAGCTCCTGAATCCACTTATGTGGATCATTTCCTAGAAAGCTTTCCTTGTTTGCTGATGCTGAGTGCAGTGCAATGGGGCCAGAGTGATATGGACAAGTTTGACAGCTAGGCAGACACTGCCTATTAATGGTGGTGATTAATATCTAACTGGAATTGGCATTTTGTTAGATTAACCAACATTTATTTTGGGCCTACTATATAGGTCAGGCTCAGGGTTGGGAGGGGCATGAGGCAGCTAAGTCCAGCCCATGTTTGAGGAGGAAAACGGTGGGCCTCTCCTCTACACCCACTAGAGCCTTGGCATTCCTGACATCAGAGAATTTAGTTCCGTAGGTCAGGCTTGCTGTGGCAGAGTTCCCAGGTGTGGCTCAGGCTTCTTTTGTTTAGATAAGCTGCCACAAATTGCCTCCTATGTGCCCATGAAATACTGTTTTGCAAACTGCCTGGCCAATTTGATCTTGCCACTAAATTTCTATAACCGAAGGATGTTTAGAGACCTGGAGTTTCTCCTTCAGCCTTCGGACCTGACTTCAGGTTGAATTGTGATTGCTTTGCCTGGAGTCAGGCCTGGAATCAGAGATGTGGAAGGCCAGAACTCATCTCCCTTCCCTACCACTTTAGGCCCAGTTTGATCCTTCGGGGTGGTCAGTGAGCGAGGACTAGCGTCCACTCTCCCATCCTCATCCCTGCCTATTTTTGTTCTTATTGTCCAAAGTTAAGATTGGCCTCAGGGGTTGCAAAGTAGTATCTGGTTTTACTAGAGAGAATTCTGAGAATAAGCTATTTCTTGATATCATTCTCAACCCCATTGCCCCCACAAATAGTGGGAGAGCCATCAAGGAGTTTATTATCAAATAAATCAATATTAAATGTTATTGAATATTATTTCATAATAAATAATAAAATTGAGAAATAATATTCAATATATTGTAAAGTACACATTCTCTGAAAAATTCACTTGTTTTTCTAGTTGGTTTTTTCTTAACTCTTATTCAATATTTCTTAACTCTTAATTTCTTACTCTTATTCAATATTATTGAATATTATTTATTATTTAGTTGGAGGTCTAATCCTGAGTTGCACCTGGGTCATGGGTAAATATGAAATTGAATTATTGTATGTATGGCTCAGTTTGTACCTAAGAGTAATTATGATGGCTGGGCAAGGTGGCTCACACCTATAATCCCAGCGCTTTGGGAGGTCGAGGCAGGCGGATCACCTGAGGTTGGGAGTTCAAGACCAGCCTGACCAACATGGAGAAACCCTGTCTCTACAAAAATACAAAATTAGCCGGGCACGGTGGCACATGCCTATAATCCCAGCTACTTGGGAGGCTGAGGCAGGAGAATCGCTTGAACCTGAGGTGGAGGTTGCAGTGAGTCGAGATTGCACCATTGCACTCCAGCCTGGGCAATAAGAGTGAAATTCCATCTAAAAAAAAAAAAAAAAGTAATTATGATGCAGAGTTTGCCTTCCTCATAACTGGAAAATTGACTGATCTCTACCTGTAAACCACTTAGAACTTGCTGCTGTCCCACCTCTGTCTTGGCTTCTGCTTCCTCTACGATAAGAGTTAAGAAAAAGCCAACTAGAAAAACAAGTGAATTAATGTTTCAGGGAATGTGTAGTTTACAAGCAAAGGACAGGGAGGAGCGTTGAAAACTGGAGCAGCTGGGGGAGCCTAGAGGGCCTCTGGTCCACCTGTGGACCTGTGGGTGGCTCCCTTTGCATCCAAATGATTGCTCTGCTCTCTCCTTTAAAATTGGTGAAATTTTTTTTCTACTGTTTCTTATTATACTACCTGAAATTTCTTCCATGAGAAATTTATTTGAAATAAAATATATATTATACTGTGAAGACCTAGCTGAGGAGATTAAGGAGAACACTAAACCATTCAAACAGTGTAGCAAGCATCTTTTTATCTATTAATCTGTGGAATTTTTGAGATCAGCCCCTGGGGGGAGTAGGAGGCTGGAGTGGAATGTAGAGCCTGTGGCTGCCTTAGCCCAGGGGGCTGGGTGCCTAGTAGAGGACAGCAGGGCCACAAAGAGGAGATTAGGAAGGACACACTGCATCCCTTTTAGAAATTTTTCCTGAGACCCCAACAGGGAGGTGAGAAACACCCTATTCTTTCTTTCTATTTATGGTTGCAATTTTAGGCACTCAGGCTTTTCTTCATTATTATTATTATTATTTGAGGCAGAGTCTCTTTCTGTTGCCCAGGCTGGGGTGCAGTGGCATGGTCTCGGCTCACTGCAACCTCTGTCTCCTGGGTTCAAGCCATTCTCCTGCCCTCAGCCTCCCAAGTAGCTGGGATTACAGGCGCCTGCCACCATGTCCGGCTAGTTTTTGTATTTTTAGTAGATACGGGGGTCTCACCATGTTGGTCAGGCTGGTCTCGAACTCCTGACCTCAGGTGATCCGCCTGCCTTGGCCTCCCAAATTGCTGAGATTACAGGTGTGAGCCACTGCGCCCAGCCTCTATTATTTTAGGATGGAAAGAAGGGGCTAGTGGTTAATGTTGGCAAGTTACTTCTCTTCTTGTCTGTGACTCAGTATGTATGTGTATGATTGTGTCAGTGTGAGAGAGAGAGAGACAGAGAGAGATAATGAGAATATGAGGTTATAGAACAAGTAAATCGTTGTTTTGATTTTCTGGTAAATTTACAATAAGAAAAAATAGTAGCCATCCCTCACTTTTTCTCTCTGTCCTCTTGAAGACTGTTATTCACTCAGTTTATGTGGTAAAGTTTGTTTCAGTATTTCAAACAGATTGTTCTTTGGTACTTCAGGTTCAGTTTTATACGAAGAAAAGATATGCAAGGCTTTGCCCTACAGTCTTTATAATCTCCAGTTAGCCCTCGGACCTTCTCAGGTGATAGAACTAGATAAGCTGCAGGCTCCAGGGAAGGGAGTGGGCCCTGTCTGCTGCCTTCCTTCAAGAGACAGATGGGCTTCAGGAGCTCTTTGAAAGAGGGGAGGCGAAAGCCTGGCCTCCTCTCATCTCAAACTGGCTCCTGTCATTCAGGAGTGCTGGTGGACCAAGGAGACAAAGGAGCTAGGGAGGAGGCTGGAGACAGTGCTGATTTACACTAGAGTATGACCATTCATGTGAGCCTTTGTTTCTTTCTTTGTCTGTGAATAACGGAAGGGCAGGAGCCCTCTTAGTTTCCCCCTCCATGCCTAGCATGGTGCCAGACACCTGGTAGGCAGACAAAAGGTGAATTCACTTACAAGTAGTACAGGTCACCCATTGGACATAGCAAGTGGTAAAGGGTCCTTTTTATTAAGAGGCCAAGCCCTTAGATTTCAATGGATGTGGATTCTGGAGTGTTGTTTTCAACTCTCAGGAAAGCAGCCTGCTTGGGATTTAGAGCTGGATAACCTGAACTATTCTGCCCTTGCCTTGCTGTGTTTTTTGGGGCATGTTACTTCTCCCATAGTTTCAGTTTCCTAATTTATTAACTGAAAATAATGCTAACCCTGTCACAGAGTAAATGTGAGAAGATAAAGGTGTGTATGTTAGACTACATGATGATCTAGGAAGTGCAGTGCAAAGCAGGGGTTTATTTCATGTCCCAACTTTGGCGCAAGCCCATTGAATCCTGTCACCTAGACGCCCTGCTGCAGCTGCACCATCTTTCGTCTTTCATTGTTGGGTTAAACATTCAGAGCCTTCCAGAATACGCATTCCTCAGGTCACTTTCATAGCCAGTGTTGTGACATTTCCTGAAGTCTATTCTTTAAAATGAAGGCAAGGGGGAAAGAGCTGTTCCCTAATAAAAGAAGTTGGATTAATATAGTTAGTAATAAAACAGCAGCCTGCAATTGCAGAGAAGGTAACACGTTGGATTTTGGAATTTAACCAAGAGTGCTTCTGTCTTCAGGACTCCTAAGAGCTGGAACACAGAGGAAAGACAGCTAAAGGGCTCACGACAGTCACACTATTGGCCTAGTATCAGTTTGTGATAAATGTATCCTGTGTGAGAAAAAATTATATATTGTTATTAGGCAGATTCATTAGAACAGTGCTCTCTGATACTAATACAAGCCACATGTATAATTTTAAATTTTCTAGTAGCTACACTAAAAGTTAAACAGGTGAAGTTAATTTTAATAATATATTTTATTTAACTCAATATATTCAAGATATTCTACACACAATTACTTTTAAAAAATAATTTTATTTTATTTGTTTTTGTTATTAAGTCATTAAAATCTAGTATGTATACTTACGACACATCTCAATTTGAGACTAGCTATGTTTCAAGTACTCAATTGCTACATGAAGTTAGAGGCTACTGTGATGGACAGGTAGTTTTACTGTGCTTTTAAGCACTTTCACCTTTTTTGCCATGGGGCATGTTAAACACTTTAAGCCAGTTGTCATTTGCATAATAGGCCATTCAATAATTATTAGTATCATCTTTATTCTGAAGAAATGCCTTTTAGTATCGTGAACATTGATTATAGGCCTTGAAAAAAATTACTGGTTAATTTTTTTCCTCTGTAAAATGGTATTAATACCGATTTTGAAAAAAAGGAAAACAAATAGATTCCATTGTTTGAGAGCTATCTGTCAGACAACTTAAATATGTAAAATTGTTTAATCTTCACAACAGATCTATGATGTAGATATTGTTTGCATTTTGGCTAGGAGGAATTGGAGCTTCAGAGAGGTAAGATGAACTACTCAAGGTCACACACAGGTAAAAAGGGACAGTGCCAGGACTTGACCCTGACCTGGTGCTGTTCATCACCACATCTAACCATTTTCCCACATGTCTCAGTTCTCACAGCTGTTGCTGTGAACAGTGGCAGTTACAATGGTTAACGCTTTATAAATTATACACACTTCTTTAGAAATAATGTCAGAATGAAAATGACAGTTTCAGTATCATCACTAATGACAGTTGGAAAAATGCATTTTTCTAGTGTAGAGAGGGTACCAGGCTTGTTTTGCCTCTTTGACAACAGAATTCATCATTTATCCCAATTACCAGAACAACTCTTCATTTTTAGCAAATGGCTGAGGCCGAGCGCCTGTCCTCTAGATTAAAGTACCTGCTTACCTCCTGTGATTGTAAAAGGCTTAGTAAGGCTTATGATCAGAAGGTTCAAAGTTCTCTACTAGATCATCTGAAAATGGGTCTGTGCTACAATAAAAGAAAAATAATATTGGAAGCTCAAGATATAGGGCTAGAGCAAGATTTTCTTTTTTCTTCACCATTTCTAAATTTTGTTGAAAATGGATTTCAGTTTTACATTTTTATTCTTTTATTGGAACTTTTAAATTCTCCCCACTCTTAATTTATTCTGTGAAGTGCTTTTCAAGCACCTCCCTATCTTTCTATCCATTGTCACTTTTCTCTCTCTTTTTTTTTTCTTTCTTTTTCCCTCTTTTTGCCTGGGACGAGTTGTTAATAAGATGGACAAATCTCTCTCTCTCTCTCTCTCTTTCTTGGCATATATTTTTACTCATCCTTTTATAGTTTGCTTCCCTTAGGGATTTCTGGTTTTTAAAGGCCTTTTAAACCTGTGCCTTAATTTTCTTCTTTCTACACTTGACCTCAATGATACTATTTTACTATTTTTTATTTCTCTTGTTATTGTCATTAGTAATTGCATCTATTTTTCCTCCTTTATTCTTCTTTTGTAAAACTTGCATTTCATTATAAAAACCATAATTGTTTAGATGGGTCAAATTCTAGTAAGAAGGTAAATTTTTCTAAGAATAAGCCCTTTATGATATTCTTCAGTATCTCATGTATATGTTCTGCAGAAGAAACCCTATTATCATACATACGTTCCTGGTTAGTACTGTTTTATTTTATAAATGACCACAAAGTTTTGTTTTGTTTTGTTTTGTTTTTTTTTAAATAGATGATGCCAGTAGGGGATTGTTGCATGCTTTCTGTAAGAAGTCATTACTGTTGTCAGCTAACAATTGCTTCCTTCAATCACTGAACCAAAATGTTTAGGAACTATTTCAGTAATTGACGGTTATAAAACGTAAGTCCCTACATGTTATAGATCCCTGTGCTTTCATGTTATATTTCATATCTAACTGAACAGTTAATATTATTTTTAAAAATTAATATGGTCTTAAGTTTTTTCAGTTGACCATAGACTTGAGAAAGATTTATAGTTTCTAAGTAATGGAGACATGATAGCTTATGGAGCAATTGGATTCATTTAAAGATCTTATCTTTGATTCCCAGATGTGTGACACTCAGATGTTGACATTAGGAACTGCACATGGATTTTCAGCATCGAAACTTATGTACACACAGGTATTAGTGGTGAAGTAGCTTATGGCACCATGGACTATATGGCCTTATGTGTGCATATGCTTAAATCATTAGAAATAAAAATCTACCTACTTCCTTGGGCAAAGATTATATGCCAGCATGTAAGAGTTAAAAGCTCTAAATGGGGGCTATTCCTTGCTGGTAGGGACTCTCATGAATGAGTCCTATAAAATGCCATTATGCTTGCTTAGGAAGGTTTTACAACTCCTTTAACTACATTGAGGGCAGGAGTGATATCAGACTTGTTCTTACTTGTATCCCTGGAGCCACTGGTGGTGATACCTGTCACATAGTAGGTGTTCAGTGAATAAATCCTGGATACATGAATGACTACAAAGATAATTTGGGGCCAGGCACGGTGGCTCATGCCTGTAATCCCAGCACTTTGGGAGGCCAAGGCAGGTGGATCACCTGAGGTTAGGAGTTCGAGACCAGCCTGGCCAACATGGAGAAACCTCTACTAAAAGTACAAAAATTAGCCAGGCGTGTTGACGGGCGCCTGTAATCCCAGCTTCTCAGGAGGCTGAGGCAGGAGAATCGCTTGAACCCGAGAGGTGGAGGTTGCAGTGAGCCGAGATTGCACCATTGCCCTCCAGCCTGGGCAACAAGAGCGAGAAAAAAAAAAAAAGATAATTTGAAGGAAATCTAATTTATATTATTCGCTACATGTCCTATATATATTTGGGAATAAACTTGGTATAAATAAATAAGCATTTCATATACCAGTAATGATCACAATTAAAAAATATATCTTACAAGGCATTGTGTAGCTGTCCTAAATCTTCTTCTTTGTCTAAAAAATCAGTCTACTCCACTCGTATCTTATATTTTTAAATAAATCTACACCATGGAGAGTGTATTTGCTATAGACAATAATACTGCTTTCTTGTTCTCAGGAGTGAACACTGAGTTGTCTTGTGTGTGATATGGTTTGACTTGTTACACTGTTGTGCAGTCTTAATAATAATTACCATGATCTTTAATGATAACAATTCTTAATGAGTATTATTATTGTTAATAAGGATTATATTTAATAATTACACCCAATACTTATTATCTTTAATAATAATAATTAGCACATGGGAACCAGTTGCACCATTGTATTATCTTTAGAACAAATACCTCAATCTGTAACCCAGTAGTTTGCAGAGTATCTGCTCCCACCCTTGGCTTTCCAGATCAGAGTGAGTCAGGAGGCTTCTAGGGTTGAGGCCACAGGGAGGGGGTTCTGGAAAACTCCTATGCATTCTATGTGTCAGGGGCCATACTCCCATCTAGTCATTTCACACAGAGGTCTTCTTTTTGTTGTGAAGTACCTTCACCATGACCATGTGACTTTCTACCTCCCCCGTCTGCCTACTCACCCAGTCTTCATAAGTTTTAATTTTTCTTGCACAAAAAGAAGACCCATAACATACTAATTTGTGTGAATTACATTAGGCAGGGTCCATGTTTATTACTTGTATGTTGGTAAAACTTTGATCTTCTTCTGCCTTGGTTATGTTTAGATTTAAGTGCCTGTATGACTTTTTTAAAAATAAAAAAAAAGTTTAAAAAAATCTTTGGTGAATTAAACATTTTTTAGCTTTTCACACTTTGATACAAAGCAGAGAAATATTTCAGTGACAACAGATTTCAACAGATTTTCAACTAGACTAATTTGCTTTATTCTTTAGGGTAGTTTACTTATTTTCTCTGAAAACACAAGAAAAGATACTCCCTTTCCAGTAACTGATGTTAATGTATAAAATAATTTTACATAGGCAAACTTTTGTATTTGGATGCATATTTTGACATAAATGTAAATTAAGATGTTTATGATCATGTTATTTTCAGGCTAGTTGATAACCTATTTACTAGGATTTAAAAAAACAACAGCACGTAAGAGGGACTTATTTTAAATTTCTATTGACTTTATTATATTCACATAACAGCTTAGGCCTTAAAATCAATACCACCTTAGTAGGAAGGAGCTGGAAGCTTTGAAATATATTTCCAGACAAGAGAAATATATTACTTTTACACGTAAAAGTAATATATTTAAAGAGAAATATATTACTTTTACGTGTAAAAGTAATATATTTATTACAACTGGAAGCTTTGAAATAGATTTTTAGACAAGAGCAGATCTGATCTGAAAATACTAGTGCTGATAGTTAATGATAAAACTATAGACATTAAAAGATTCGAGTGTCTGTGTGGTCACCTTCATCTCACCTATGTACCAGGACACCTCTAATTGGTGAAAATGACGGGAATCTAAGGGCTTCTGCCACTGCCCTGGGCAATTCTGTAATAATAGAGGGGGAAAACCCACAGCTTTCCATTAGACCTATATGACTAAGAGGCTTGTTTAATCTAAACCACTGTCGATCACAGATGACTGACTTTTATAACTGTTGCTTCCCTTCTCATCGTGGTGACTGAGATTTGCTTTTTAATGTTTGTGTTTTGCTCTTGAATTTTGTCCCTTCAGGTTTGATGATTCCTGTCTTTTGTGTCGTGGAGCAGTTGGACGGCTCTCTTGAATATGACAACAGAGAAGAACACGCCGAGTTTGTCCTGGTGCGGAAAGATGTGCTTTTTAGCCAGCTGGTGGAGACTGCGCTCCTGGCCCTGGGGTATTCTCACAGCTCTGCGGCCCAGGCCCAAGGTATTAATGCCTCTCCCCTCTCCTCCCAAGTCTCTTGTGTGTCATAATTTGAGGAAGAATATGTTTTCTGAAATAGTTCTCCAAACAAAGGTTGAAGGAGAATTGTCAGATTTAGCATTTCCTAGTGAGCAGTAGAATATTTCTTGTAGAAGGTCTTGTTTCTTGTTTTGGGAAGCATTTGACCAGCACTTCTGGAGCCACAAAATCAACTTGCATTTCAAACCGATCATAGATTTTTTTGCATTTATAACACTGTTATTTTCTCTAAGTTAGGACCAATGTTGAGATATTTAACTCCTGACTTATCCAAACTTATAATACATGACTTATAAAGCATTCAGTTTTCCAAATTTATTTATTGCTTTGGGCCTGTGGCTTCTGCACTTTGCAATAAGCTTTTAATTAAACAGAAAAAAAAATGGATGTCTTTTATCCTTTTGTTTCTTTGAAAACTGTTTTGTAGTTTTGATGCAGTCCATTTAGTTAAAAAATATTGCCATGTCTTTATGATCAATTCCTTTCACTTATTTGATTAAATATTAAAATTGCATCATTATTTCAGTGCGTATTGTACAATACTGGGGAGCCCGTTGTGAGCTTCTGTTGTTTCATTTTGAAGTATAGCCCATTGTTCTGTCATGCCAAAGAATTGACAAAACAAATAATAACAAAAATTCTCCCCAAACCTTGAGTGATGAAAAAAAAAAATTGATCTGATGGAATTTATTGTTCTTGTTTTTCAGCTGAAATGGTTGAATTGTATTGTTTATGATTATGGTTATAACCAAAGGAGAGAAATCCGTAACTTCCAGATCTTAGTTTATATGTTAGTGTCCTGTATTACTATCTTTAGTTAACATTTGTGAAGATGCCAAGGATGTTTGTTATTTTTTAAAATGAGTTTCTCTTCATATAATTCCTAAGAACTATCAGTCAGAGCCTCATTTGTACCAATAAGGATACTATGAGAGATTAAACATTGATATAAAGTTACAGATGTGGTGACCAAGGGATTTAAATTCCCAAGCTCTTGAATTTGATTCTGTAAGTAGATGATTGCTTTTTAGGAAATATTTTAAGTATTTAAGTTATACTTTAGTTCTATCAAGAAAGCAACCTAATTGAAATTAGGAATGTTTTCCCAGGGCAGGTAGTACCCTACTAGTTATTGTGAATCCCAGCGCAGTCTGAATCTGAGCGCTGGCCAGGCTGGGCGCAGTGATATAGCTGAATCGTAGAGTCCAGTGCTTTCAAAGCAGCCTGATAAAGGATGATTCATTTCCTTTTTCCAACGACTTTCCTTCTTGTGTGAGGGATTCACGATTTGATCCTGAGCAAATTGCATACTGGGCACCATTGCTTTTATGTCATGCTATGTACTTAAATGAAATAAAAGAATCTCCCTTCCCTTCCCCCCACAAACTTTTCATGCCACTTTAGGGATATTTTTCTCTGAATGTAAAGGTCATTGTATCCCACTGCTTGCACCCTGGTGTGCCAGCTTCCTGTTTGACAGGGCCATCCATCTCAGTTAGCACAGCCGTTCAGCGCGTCGCGAGCTCACATGTGGAACACAGAGCACTAAGTGGCCAAGATTTGATTCTTGGCACATACTGAGGGAAGGGGCTCTCAGGAAATTTGCACTAGGGAGCCACACTATTCCTTTCAGGGATTTGGACTAAGAATTCTACTCACCAAGGTGAGATATATGAGCAAATAAATGTCATCTACAGTGGAGGATTATTAAACAGGGAACAAGTCAAAAGTGATTATTTGCGTCCTCAAAGTTTTTGAATATTAAGGCTAAAATGCTAAATATTCTACTATTTATAAGTTGAATCAATATTCTTAAGGTGCTCTAGAGTACAGATATACTTTATTTTATAGGTAAGCAAAGATTTTATCACTCAGTCTCGTACTGTAATCTCACAAAGAAAAAAATCAGTTTGTTTTAAATTAGGCTGCTGATCTGTGTTTTGGGGAAATGGAAAAACTTAGAATTGTTTACTTTGAAATAAATATATTAGATCATTGTCTTCATTCAGATCATTAAAAGTATGCTGTTTGCTGCGTGTTTATTGTAGACCAAATAGTATGCATGATAAGACAGGTAATTCATATGCTGGATAAACAGCAGCGTGTGAAAAAGATAGAAAAGGAGGTAGAACAAAATATGACTTTTGATGACTGAAGGCATGAAGTTTTATGGGGGTAGTTTTTTGTTCATTTTTGTTTGACTTTGTTGATTGTTTCATGTTTATGTAATTCCTCCAAGATGAGGACTTGAGGGACTTCCTGGCAAATCCATTTAAAGCAGAGAAATGGCAGTATTCTTGAATCTCTTTTTCCTATGCTGGAAAAGTTGGGCAGAACTAAACTGCAAGGATAGTGGGTTGCTTTAGCCATCTTAAAAATCAAGACTCTTGAAATATGATTTTTCATTTTGATGTGACCAGAAAAGAGTGTCAGTAATTGAGTTGGAAGAGTATTTCAGATTGCCTGTAAAGGAGGAGATACGTTAGCAATGTCATTATTTGGAATAGTCCTCAAGTCCCAATGACAGGGCAGCAGGTCCATGATCTTGTGAACATAGGATAGTCAGTTTCTTTTTCTCAGAGGGTATTCCCTCCAGGTGAGTTGAATTTTTATTAAGAAAGAATATTTCCTCCTAAAGAATGATAGAAATTCTACTAAAATGGAGTTTAGGGATTTCTTTCCCTGTGTTAAAATAACCTTTATTTGAAGGCTAGATATTAGTACCTAAGAGAGAATAGTGTAAAAGATACTGTCATAAACCATGGTAACTGTGTTTCTAGCTGACCCATAACCTCCATTTCCCAACACACATTCTGTTAACTCTGATTCTCAAGGATATGAAATGCAGGATTCATCAGACTTGCTGTTTTGCATATGTAGAAAGCCGAAAGCTGGCAGGCCCTTTGCTTCTACCAGAATAGCTGGACTGAGGTCTAATGAATGGCAAGCATACTTTATACTATATGTATGATGGGCCGTGAGTACACGTCTCTGCATTGAAAGTCTTTTGAAAGAGGCATGTTAATCCAGGGTACTGCTGCTATTCTGGGAACTGCCCCACTCTCCCAACTTAAAACTCACCACTTCCTTTACTATTCTTTCTTCTTTCCTTTTCATCCTTTCAGTTCTTCCCCATAAGGCTTTTGGCAGTAGCCATGGAGCTCCCCACACTGTCCAGAGATTTCTGGAGTCCACTGGTTGAGTAGCTATTCATTCATATTGGCAGTGTGAATGGTGGGCTTTGGGAGGCAGCCGTGATGGCAAGGTAATGCCTCACTGTGCTTGTTTGATTTAATTTGTAAGTGGGCATTTTATCTCTCCCCTACTTTCTGTTAATTTTAAAATAAATTTTAAAATTGACTGTTGATTAATTTAATTAATTAATTTATTTCGAGACGGAGTCTCGCTCTGTCACCCAGGCTGGAGTGCAGGGGCACGATCTTGGCTCACTGCAACCTCTGCCTGCCGGTTTCAGGCGATTCTCCTGCCTTAGGCTCCCAAATAGCTGGGATTACAGGCGCCTGCCACCAAGCCTGGCTAATTTTTGTATTTTTAGTAAAGATGGGGTTTCACCATGTTGGCCAGGCTGGTCTTGAACTCCTGACCTCAGGTGATCCGCCCACCTCGGCCTCCCAAAGTGTTGGGATTACAGGCGTGAGCCTCCGTGCCTGGCCGACAATTTTATTTTAAAACAAACGTGCTTAGCAAATAAGCAAAAATCCTTTCTGACTGGATTTTTTTTAAGGTCAAAATTATATGTTTAAGAAGGGGTATATTAATTGTCACTGTTTCTTATTTATATTGGAGTAATTACATTCATGCAGTCATTTAAATAATGTTTCTAAAACACAGAAAAGGTGTCTTTAATAAATGTTATGTGAATCAAGCAGGGTGCCAAGTACATTCTCAGTGATATAAAATTCCACATATATGCATGGAAGAAGGATGAAGGCAATGTATTAGAATAATCAGCAGAGTAGGTGATGGGATTATGTGGGATTTTCTTCTTTTTCTAATAAAAAAAGTAAATATCAAATTTTACTTCCTTCATGAATTCTTTGAATAAATGGGAAGATAATTATGTCTTATTCCCCAATTTTGATAAGCTGTTCACTTCATCCCTAATTTATCCACAAATGTGAAAATTTATACATGATACAGATGTATTTCTGTTTTTTCAGTGGAAGATTAAAAAAAGAATCAATAAATCGTTAATGAGCCCCTGTAATGTATAAACCAAGGGATTTCTTAGAGTTGGTTTTTTTCTTTCTTTCTTTCTTTTTTTTTTTTTTTTTTGAGACAGAGTCTTGATGTGTATCCCAGGCTGCAGTGCATTGGCACAATCATAGCTTACTGCAGCCTTGAACTTTTGGGTTCAAGCAATCTTCCTGCCTCAGCCTCCTGAGTAGCTGGGTGGCCATGCCACCATGCCCAGCCTAATTTTTACTTTATTTTTTGTAGAGACGAAGTATCCTTATGTTGCCTCAGGTGATTCTCCTGCTTCAGCCTCCCAAAGTGGTGGGATTAAAGGTGTGAGCCACTATACCCAGGCAATTCTTAGAGCTTTAATATAATGCATGGTAACAACTGAGCAATTACTATATGTTGAGCACTATTCTAAGAGATTTACATGTACTAACTCATTTAATTCTCATAACAGACTTTTGAAGTAAGTTATACATTTCCCGTTTCACAGAAGAGGAAACTGAGGCAAAGAAAGGTAGGGGAGTAATTTTCCCAGAGGCGCAGGCTAGTGGGTGGAAGAGCTGAAATCTGAAGTCCATTGATCTATCTCTAGAGTCAAGGTCCTTAACCACACAGCCGTCCTGTGAACAGTTTGATTGCCAGCACTTGCTCTTTACTTTTGGACATAAGCCCTAAAAGGTAGGACTTTTTGGATTAGGTGGTTACTAAATACATGCTGATTATATATATTTGATAATGATGTTTATATATTTCATTTCTTTGATGAAATATATAGATACTTTTTTGAAGTAACAGAGACAGACTTCATTAAAATTTAAAAGCAAACAAAAAGCCAAACCTCATGGAATTGTCATGTACTGAAGCCAACTTCTAAAACTAAATACTTGTAGAGGGCCTATAGTAGGTTGAGCATTTCAAATACATAATTCTTGCTTATGTGACCAAAATGAGTCCTGATACAAAAATAGAACATATTCCTAATCTAGAAGTTTCTTATCAAACTTACAAATGTTTTGTCAGTGTTGATCTGAACCTCATCTGCTTGAAGGCATTGTTATGTAGAAAGCAGAATTTCCATCTATGAACTGGAAACAATGACAAAAATAAAAAAGATTTGAAACCAAAATACCAAGGATATTTTTATAAAAAATGAATGCCTTTATTATTATCACTTTATTATTCATTTATTATATATTTTTCAATGTACTATCTCTTTACAATGTACTATTGGGAAGATCTTTACATAGAGGCTACTTTCAAGGACAATTTTATTGTTAGAAATGAATATTCTTTCAGTTTAAATTGTTCAGTGTTTGAAATGCTCTGCTCTTAAATTCTCTAAAATCATTTTTTATGGAAACATGCAACATATACAAATTCGAGAGACTTGTGTATTAAATATTCATGAACTCCTCATCTAGGATCAACAATTAGAAATTCATGGCCAATCCTGTCTCGTCTCTTTCCCTACCCACTTCTCACCCCCTCCCCCACTGGATTATTTCAAAGTATATCTTAGATATTATATTTTATCCATAATATTTTAATAAATATCTCTAAAAGATAAAGACTATCTTAGAAAACATAAACCACAATACTGTCATAACTCCTAAAAAAAGATAATTCTTTAATTTCACATTCAGTAAAGATTCAAATTTTCTTAATCATTTTGTAATTTTTTTTTTAGTGTTGCCTTATTCAAATTAGGAGCCATACAAATCTATAAATTGCACTTGGTTGATGTGTCCCTTAATTTTTTTTTTGAATCTATGGGTTATCTATTCTTTCACACTTAAAAAAATTCTTTTCTGAAACTTAGGTTTGCTGCTTTAATTCAGAATTTTTGTTTGCTAAACTTAATGAAAATCCTAGTCCTATAAATTCCTTCAAATACTATGATTTTAAATAAACAATTAGTGGCTGTGCACGATGACTCATTCCTGTAATCCCAGCAGTTTGGGAGGCTGAGGTGGGCAGATCCCTTGAGGTCAGGGGTTTGAGACCAGTCTGGTGAACATGGCAAAACCCCGTCTCTACTAAAAATACAAAAATTAGCCAGGCATGGTGGCAGGTGCCTATAATCAATTCCAGCTATGCGGGAGGCTGAGGCAGGAGAATCACTTGAACCCAGGAGGTGGAGGTTGCAGTGAGCCAAGATTGTGATAGTGCCACTGCACTCCATCCTGGGCGACAGAGAAAGACTCTGTCTCTAAATAAATAGATAGATGTCTCTAAATAAATAGATGTCTCTAAATAAAGACTCTGTCTCTAAATAAATAAATAGATGGACAGTCAGATAATTAGTAAGTGCAGTCATAATTTTGGAAAGGAATTCAGAAATTCACCTTTTTTTCTTTTTCTTTCTTTCTTTTTCTTTTCTTTTCTTTTTTTTTTTTTTTTTTTGAGAGAGAATGGTTAAAAGATATATGTTGTCTGGAGTCAAAAGGTTTTTCATGCTCTGAAAGTTTGACATTTTCCCTATTGAAAATGTTTAAAATGGTTCAGGCGTGGTGGCTGACACTTGTAATCCCAGCACTTTGGGAGGCCAAGGCGGGTGGAGCACCTGAGCTCAGGAGTTTGAGACCAGCCTGGCCAACATGACCAGATGGCCAAACCCCGTCTCTACTAAAAATACAAAAATTAGCCAGGCACAGTGGCGCACACCTGTAATCCCAGCTACTGTGGAGGCTGAGGCAGGAGAATCACTTGAACCCGGGAGGAGGAGGTTATAGTGAGCTGAGATTGTGCCACTGCACTGTAGTCTGGGCAACAGAGCAAGACTGCATCTCAAAAATAAATAAATAAATAAAAAAGAAGAAAGCTTTTAAAATGGTTTAATCTTGTCTTGCTTTCTCTATTTCTTCCTTTCACTCTCTCTCTTTTCTCTACTTTTTCTTCTTTAAACACTAAATGTTTGGGAGACTTTCAGCAGTTTTTTCTTTGTAAGGGCAATGTTGAAAAAATATACGTATTTAGACATTTTAGGCCTTAGAGCTAACTTTTAACAGACACGCTGCTTTTTAAAAAATTCTGTGGCTCTCTAAAGAGAGCTGAAAATGCTACCCCAAATTGCTGTTAACCATGTCTCAGCCCTCATTAGAGCTGGATAGGCCGCAATGTAAAACACTATTTGGAGAACACAATTCTTCAACAGACCCCATGCTTTGTCCTCCTCTGCTATATAAAATTAAATATTCATACATATGTGTGTGTGCACATATGCATGTTCATATGCACACAGTGAAACCTGAAATACTAATTAAATGCCAGCGGTAAAATAATGCTCACCTTATTTCCTCATCCCAATACATAGTTAAGATTGAATATCTAATATAATATTTATAGTTCTGTATTCCTTATATTTGTTTATGTTGGCATAAATATGTATTTAACATATATAGATATATAATTATGGCTCACATGAAGGTCAGCTGATGGAAATATTGTTTATATGTTAATTTGTAGAGGGTGAAGACTCTAACTTGATTTTCGGGATACCTAGCAGTTGACTAGGTAGTGCTTGGGGGTAAAAGCTGTTGAGGGCAAGAAATGAATGTGCGATCTCACTTTACCTCTGACCTTGAATTTTCTACTTGAATGCCCACTAAAAAAAGTCCTATCAGTGGAAATAATTCATTTAAAAATGTAGCTTATTATTTCCTCCATGATGAGGAAAGTATTTAGCAGTGTTTTCAGTTATCTGTTTTGCTTGGGATGATAGGCCATGGTAGCAATTAACTTTGATATATTTTTTAAACTGCCTAAAGTCCTTCTTCTCCAGAGCTTAGGCATTAATGCCCATGACCTGGAAGGGACTGGTCATCTGAGACATTCACGTAAAATGATCCAGGTTAAACAGACTGACCTACAGATATATACAACCTTTATTTAATAATTAAGGTATGTCTCATTAAAATATATAACTTCTAGGAGTTTCAAGTGTGAAACCTACAAGCCTAAAATTTGTGGTACTCTGATATGATATATATCATGTTTAATTTTTTGTTCTGCTCCCCTTTAAAGCATAACTGTCTTTTACTAACTTATAGATTTTAAATGTAAAATAGAGTTGTTTGCTGAATAGCTAGGTTTGTTTGTGGTTTAAGAAGATGTAGTACAGATTTCATTCAAGGAACTCATTTGGTAAAAAACACATTCGTTAAAGCACTTAAATTTTTCAATAGTGCTGTTACTTTTTTGATATATTCTTTACATTTAAACTTGTCCATTGATATAACTCCTAGTTTTGATGCTATACCATTATTTTCCAACTCTAAGTAAAGTCTATTTTGGCATTCATAATGGACAGTAAAAAAGTCTTGGCCATAGAGCATTTTGTAATATTAAAATGCTTTTTAAGAAATTCCCTGCTTCCTATTTTGTCTTTTTTTCCTTTGGAAAAGATTTCTCATCATCTGAATCTTATAATTTCAGTTATTTGCAAAATTGTGAAATTTCAGAATTGTAGGTCTTTCACTTCATATGTTAGTATATATTTTACATTTTAATACTTTGTCCAGATTTTCTTTGATACAGTGTTATTATATTTTTACATTCCTATGGGATCCCAGTTCCATAACTATTCATTTATTTCTGTAGTATTAAGTGTTCAATTTATTTATTACTTAGTTCAAATAGCTTAGCATATAAGTGGGACCCAGAGCTGTCGGGGACTTCCTTTGTTTACAGTATGACAGAAGAAGAGCTCGGTGGTGGTTTTGAGAGGCAGGAGTGAAAAGTGAGCATTCTGCTGGCTGTTTGGTCACAGTTGGGCACCTTAGGTTGGTTTCCTAGGTGCCAGATAGATTTTGCGTGACTGTGATGAGCATTTAAAACCCAGCACTTTGAAATGCAGGTTTCTTTTGATGGCAGCTTTGAGAGCTGTAAAGGGTCTTAAGTCAAGGCTGTAGAGCACGTGCCACTTGCTTGCTCAAAAGCAGTATTTGGCAAAATTATTTGTATGTCAATGAGAGAAAACACAAAGGTTCTTCCTCTATCTGTCTGCCTCTTTTTGGTTTGAAGAAATATCACTCAGGACAGAACAGCAAATCTGTGCTACTATTTTACAAGCTTGTTACTCAAGTTGGAAAAGATCGCTGTGGGCTATATGCAAATCAGACAGCGCAGAGGTCCCCCTCAGCTTCCAGGTTGCGCTCAGCAGAGAGATGCTTCCAAGATACTCTTTCTGTCAGTTTTATAAATCAGAGAATAGGATGCTGAAAATCTCCTAGAACATTTAAAACCTTGGCCTTCAATGATTTGGCTGCTCAGGTCTAATAATCTCCCTGGTAAAAGCCTACCATCATGGGAGCTGAGCTAAGAGGGCAGCCTGTTCTTGATTGAAAGCCCTCACCAGCCTCACCAACTTCAAATGGTGGTTCTTCTTGAGAATCTATGCTCCAGAGCCATGGTAATAAATAGCAATTCTAAATGTCTTGTTTTATTACTATGAATACGGTGATTCCTTAAGGGGGTGAAGAGACTTCTTTAAAGGGGGCCTATGTTAGATAATCTGCAATGAAAGATATATCAGAAGTGCATGAAAAAAATCTTTCCATGCATACATTTTTCCATGCACTTCTGATATATCTTTCTTTAAAGATTTTAAAATTAAGATCTTTAGTCTTTTGAGCACTATTGAAAGATAGGTGGTTGAATTTTACCACTCTTACTTTGCAGAAAGGAAAGCTAAGAAACTTTAAAAGAGCACACCTGGAGGCTGTGGTTCTCTAGCATCATATTTTATTCACTCATTTAACAAATATTTTTCAAGTGTCTATTATGTGTTAGATGTTGTTCTAGGTGTTGAGACACAGCAAAGAACCAAATACATAATGTCTCTGCCCTCAAGATACTTACATTCTTATATGTAGGGGAGATGGAAAATAAGCAACTCAATATGTAATAAAATGTTAGGTAGGACCTAACATTATATTATGCTTATTTTGATCCTCTTCTCTCCATTTCGTCTAGAACTAGGGTTTTGGCAAATATAGACTTCTGGAAAGAAGCTGCTTAACCAGAACAAAATGACAGGTTTTGAATATGTTTTGAGGATTAAAACTAAAATGATTGGACACTTAAAAGGTTAAGGTTCAGCTGTCTGAATTATCTGAAAAATTTACTTACATGGACTAACTCATGTTTGGAATAGGATAAATGTAACATTGTTACAATTAGCTTATATTAAGTCATGGTTTTGCTTTTGTGAGGGAAATTGAAGCTTTTACATAATAGACATATTATGGCTATAATAAAATTTGTTAATATTTATTGAGTGCTTCTTATATACCAGGCACTGTCCTAGGGCTTAACATTTACTAACTCATTCAAGCTCATAATAACCCTGTGAAGTACGTAATATTATTGTCCATATTTTACCAATGAAGAGGCTGAGGCTCAGAGAGGCAAATAGCTTGACCAACACCAAAAATTGGCTTCAGAAAATGTGTACTTAACCAATATCCCATTTAGTGGCACTGTATTTCTAATCTGTCAATTGAGTCTAGAATCCAAGTGAATAGTAATTATACCTTACAGGCATAAACCGAAGGTTGACATTTTCAAATTGATAACTTAATGAAGATATGTATTTTAAAATTGAGTGGGGAGCTTGTTTTGAGCTTAAATGACAAAATTGAACTTGCTATCATGGATGGCATTTTATAAGAGCCTGTTTTGTTAGACCCTATTTTTGTATATTTGTATATATAAGCTCCTTATAAACTTATAAAGTTTAAATTTGTTTTTTCTAATTATAAAGTATAATACTTGTTAATTACAAAAAAAAAAACTAAAAATTTTTAAAAGTAGAAGACAAAATTCCCTCATGAACCAACCATTCTAGAGATAAAAATAGGTAATATTTGGGTTGCTTCCCTTTGGTTATAGTTCTATGCATACTTTTACGTAGTGGAGGTCAGATGTATGCAATATTTTCACTTCTAGTTCTTACTTAACATTATAATGTATAACTTCCATAGTCTATATTATTAATTTTAATACTACGTAACCGTGAAGCTTTGGATTTTCAAATCAAATGAGAAACATTAGTTTTCTCTTGATTATCTATTAATGGAAGGATTTAGGAATGGTCAGTAAATTAGGAAGTGTTAAGTGCAGATACTATATACCCAGCACATGCTGGGCAATCAGAGTAATTTACGTCAACATTTATGTGCAGATACAGTTGTTCTTTGAAAATAAATTTATTTTCATTGTTCATTGCAGGTGCAAGGCCAGATTTTTTTACAAAAACTTTTTTGACATTAATGTTCATTTGGCTTGCTTTCTTACCTTTGTCTGTGGTAAGGAGTTAAGCGTTTGTTTTTAATGTGGAAGAAGGCTATAAAGACATTGTGTCAGGAAACTTTAGCTAATTGATTTCATATTTTGTTTTTGTAATTGTCTTGTTCTTACCCACATTTTGTTCATTTTCCTCTTTACAAAACATACACGCAGTATTGTGCGGGTTGGTTACTGACTGCTTACTAGTTTCACGATGACAGTCCTGTGTTAAGATGTTTCTTTGCCCAGGAATTAACAACTGATGACAGTTTGTCCATTTGTTAGCCTCTGTTTTTTGCTGTGTGCAGTAGGATGGAGATTTTATGAAGGAGTCTTTGGGGGAAACTCTGAAGGAAGGTTTTTTTCTATGTTTGAATTGCTTGAGAACAGCCCATTATTGGAGGTAGGGAATTTGTCGAACAAATCATGAAATCTCCCATATTTGCTGGAGTGATGGGTTGTAATCCTTTTTGTTTGTTTGTTTCTATGGGACCTCAGGTCCTGCTGGGCATGGAAAAGAGATAAGCATCTCTCTGTCTCCCTTCTGTATTGTATAATTCTAACGTGACCCAGCTTCTTTTCATAGTCTTTCTTATAGCATACCAAGTATGAGATGGTCCTACCTGGAACCTATTTGAGTACCTACTCTGAACTTTTTCTAATAGTGTCATTGGCTCCATTCTGATTGTCTCCCTTCTGAGTGTATTTCTGGAGTCATGCGGCTCATACTGAGGCCTATCCTCAGATACTGGGATCGTTCTCTTCCTATGTGAGTATGTTGGTAGTCCCAAGATAGAGAGGAGTATTTGTTTTCAGTAAGTATTTGCCTGGGTTTTCATAATAGATATAATTGGCTAGCATTTATAGAACTCAAATTATCTATTAAAATATATTCATGTAACCAAAAATATCAATTTATGTGAAAGAAATATTAGTTATGAAACCAATGTTTCATAATTAAATAAGTATACAATAAGTATACAAATGAGATATCGATTTAACATATTACATTATAATTTGCTATGTTCCTTTTTTACATGTGACCCCCACTAGATATTAAAATGCACCCATTTGCACTTCAAACTAATGCAATTAAGATCATCAGTTGCTTTTCCATCTTATTAAGGAGGAATTTCCTGTTGTGGCTAATGACAAGATTATGAATTTGTCTGAGTCTCTTGGCAGATATTAATTTAACCATGTAAATTAAAAGGAATAGGCCCAACCCTGCTGTAAATCAGGGGATTAAAACATTTGGGGTGGCACATTCTACCAGGAGACTGAGGTGTCACTTAGTACTCAATAAGGGATGCTGGCCACATTGTCTTGGAGTTCCCTAAAATAACCAATTTTTCATCCAAACAAGCACCCACCAGTAGGATGTTTTTTTCTCATCTCCTATTGGAATGCCTTAAGACATAGTCTCACTAGATTCTTATGTCCATTTAGTCCTAAAAACAAGAAAAAAGGAGTGGTATGGGTATTGTTGCTAATGATAATGCTAGGAAACATAGAGCTTACTATGTGTGAGGCACTGTTCTAAGTGTGTTACACATCTTAAATCATTTAATGTTCGCAAACCTCGTGTGGCATAAGCATAATTATCTTCATTTAACAGCTGAGGAAACTGAGGCACAGATGGGCTAAGTGACATACCCCAGGGTACACAGCAAGTAAGTGATGGAGCCAGGACCTAAATGTTCAAACCCAGGCATTCTGTTTCTTGAGACAGTGGCTTAGCCACCACACCCCTCTGCCTCTCTAGGGCATGATTAAGACATTATTGTAATAGTGGGTTATCATTAAGAATACGAATAAAAGTCCCTGTAAGTCCTGACCTAATATAACTAGATTAACTCATTAAAATGCTAAATATTTCTCTCTCTTTTCCTTTATTTATTTTTTTCTTCAGGGGGTGGATTGGGAGGAAGGGAGAGAGGAAGAGAACTTCAAAGACATTACAAATGCATTCTACTTAATCTGAAATACTTTGATGCTTCTGGAAAAGTGAGATGATTTAATTTCATATATAATTGCATGAGGAATTATAAATTATGTTTTCTGAAATACCTATGACATGAAACCACAAAATGAACAGATAAAACTGATTTGTTCTCTGACAAATCAAGATATATGGCGGTGTTTTCATTACAAGTGCCATTTGTGCGGAGGGAGCAGCTGAGTATGCTACAAGATGACAGGAACCGTTCCCAGGCGGCACTGCTTTCACATGGACATCCCGAGGTAATTTATAACCCATGCTAAAATTTTTAAAAAACATGCTGTCAAGAAAGCCAAGGTTGAACTTCTAAAGTCATGGAATGCAGGTACATCTTTCTAATTGACCATCTTTAGCATAAACTTACTCCTTAGAAATAAGTTGTTTTATTCTGTGGGGAGAATGGATTATTTTCAGGGCACTGGGGGTGCCATTTAGAAAATTCTCTCTCTTAGTGCGTTTAATAGTTTCCTGGAAGATATGTGTTGACTTCTGCTGAAGGGTAATATATTCATAGTAAAACTGACTAAGGATTCTTTTTACTTCCCACTGGCCTAAAAACAGTGTGTTCTAGGCCTCTGTGGTGGTGGAAGGTGAAGACTCAAAATCTGGATGTTGTGAGTTGAAGCACTTCTCAAAGGACCTGTGTCCCTAAGCTGCCACAGTCATTTGTTTGTCTTGAATTTTAAAAGGGCTTTGAAATGTGTGGAACCAAAATAGTTCTGTTTGTAGTACTGGTGATTCTGGGAAAACGAGAGCATGGTTGTCTGTGTGGGAGAGAGCTGATGTGGGTCGATTACCAGTGGCACTGTATCGTGTTGGTTTTGCTCTGCAGTGATGGGTTTCTCACTGAGCTGCCCAGAATCACTCACTCGATGCCTTTTGGGATCGATGACATTTGATTTGTAATGAGTGGGCAGGAATGGGAGTGGAGACCAGATCTTTGGGTCAAAGAGGGAAAAAAGGAACTCCGTACAGCAGATCATAGTCTCTTTTGCATCTGATTCCAGCCTGATGAATTCTCACACACAGGGGGCATTATTCTATATAACTAAGACTTGTATTAGATGCTTTATGTAATGCTTTCTTTTTGGGTACATTTTCTATTACGTGTAACAAAACATTGACTGAAAGTGTTTATTTAATAAGAGTTAAAATTTACTAAACCAAATCAAACAAATCGAATTGTTCAAAAATGTTTGGATGTAGAAGCAAACCACGTTAAGATTTGAAAATAAATTCACATTTTACATTAGTTTTTAAAATAAAACTAATAAACTAATAAAATGTGAAAAAATTTCACATTTTATATTAGTTTTTAAAATAATTTCCTTTTAATTTTGAATATAGTGAAACGTAGATGGTGAAGAACAAATTGATTGACTAGTTTCTTTCCCCTAAGAAGTGGATAAGCAATTGATCACGATGACTTCGCTCACTTAACAGATCGTTGGCCCTCTAGTTCTGTGTCTTTTACAATCTGGTTCTGACTGAGGGCATTGTAGTATAGTGCAGTGGTTAGGCGTTGTGGACTCTGACTGCCGGGCCTTTCATCTTGGTGCTCCCCACTTCCCAGCTCTGCGATTCTCTGCCTCAGTTTCCTCTTCTATGAAATCAGGGTAGTAATTATAATTCCCCCTTGTAGGGTTGTTAGGAAGATTAAATGAAACAATCCAAATAAAGTGCTTTACATTGCCCTTGACACAGGGTAAGGGCTGAATCATGTTAGTTGCTATTATGATTCCAGTTGTTGTTATTATTACTTTACAATGCAGAAGCCAGATACAGTGTGTCAATTTCTTTTGTTTTCTGTAGCTTCAATTCATATGAGCCCTTATTCTGAGATACTGGATGTGAAGTACCAATCTTAAATTTTCTTAAGGTATAGGTAGACTAGGTCTTCTGGTATTCATGTTTTTAAATTGACAATATCCTATTCCATGACTGCATCAACTTAGAAGAATGTTATTTTCTTTTTTGTGGATAAGTTGTTCTGCACTACATTGCTTCTTTCCCCTTTTCTTCAGAGTACTTAAATATTTACACAGGCTGACAATATAATAAAACTTCCACCCCCATCATCTGGTTAAAATTGTGTATTTTAAACAATGAAATATCCTTAACTAATGACAAATGAAACTTTAAATATTCACTGATAGCTTTGTAATTAGTGAGTTATAGTCTTGGGACAAATTTTTTTTCTGTTCCTTGGTTTTTCTTCTTAAAGTTCTAAATATTGAGTTACCTCAGTACAAATGCAGCTTGACTACAGTGAAGCCATTTTATTTAATCCAACTCTTCCCACAGTCGTGTTGAGAAGACAGATGATTTTCCCTTCCATTCCTCCTCTGAAATAGTTGCTCATATCTTTTCTCTTCTTCTCAAGTGGTTCCACTTGTGGAACTGCCTCAAAGCACATCTGGGACTATGTGGAGCAGAAGGGATGTAAATGATTTCCTCTGGGGATGCGTTGTCAGTAGGTATTTGTATGCTGGAAAATTTGAATGTAATGAGAACTGAACTTGTCACCCTTGAATCATGGTTCCTTTTTATCCTCTCTCCTAGAGCATTTCACAGGAGGTAGCTTCATGCCGAATTATATTATTTTGGTGCACTTTTACCTGGCCTAAATGATCATGGCTTAAAAAAAAAAAGTAAATGGTGATATTTATATGATTTAAGCGCACAGCACACCTAAAGACAGCAGGTCATGTTATTTTATTTATTTTTTTTTGTGAGTGTGTGTGTGTGTGTGTGTGTGTGTGTGTGTGTGAGAGACGGAGTCTCACTCTGTCCCCCAGGCCGGAGTGCAGTGGCGTGATCTCCGCTCACTGCAAGCTCCGCCTCCCGGGTTCACGCCATTCTCCTGCCTCAGCCTCCGGAGTAGCTGGGACCACAGGCACCTGCCACCATACCTGGCTAATATTTTGTATTTTTAGTAGAGATAGGGTTTCACCATGTTAGCCAGGATGGTCTCGATCTCCTGACCTCATGATCCGCCTGCTTCAGCCTCCCAAAGTGCTGGGATTACAGGTGTGAGTCACCGCACTTGGCCCATGTTATGTTATAGTCAGTTGTGTTCCAGCATAATGAAATTAGCCTGTAAACAAGGCAGTAAGAAATGACATGGAGGGGAATTCAAAAGTAGTAGTTTAATTTATTCTGATTTATTGACTTTTTCTTCACCTCTCCAGTCTTCTACTTTACTGTTTCTCTCCCTTTTGTTAGTATTTAAACCCCTCCTGTCTTCCTGATTTTTGAGCAGATTCTATTCTTAAAGAAAATTAAACATGAATTACCTGTGGTAAACATAGCATTTGAAGAAGACCTCTCTCCTGCCAACTAGTAGATGTGTGGTCCTCCTGTGTTTTTGGTGTGTGTTTATTTTAATATTAGAATTACCAACTGAAAGCCAATAATACTCTAAGAAAAGTGTAATTACGAAGGTAAATCTGTATCAAAAATTGTGTGGTGTACCTCAAGGTCAAATATAATTATTAGTGGATAGTCTGTTTGATAATTACCCATTCATAGATTTGTACATAATGTTTTCAAAATTGTATATTTTTAAAATTCATTCAGTTTCCTACAAAGTATAATCCACTAGATCATAAACAAAATAACCTCCTTTGGTATAATAGAACCACACCTGTATGGAAATAACTGTAACACTCTAAAATAGAAATATAATAGTCCTTGTGCGAAATAATGTAATGTAACTTCTGCTGAGTCTTGGGTCCAGTAGTTCTACTTTTCCTTTCCTTTGTACTCACCCCTGCTGAGGCCTATGCCTTTGACAGCCACCTCTCTACCCTGTGGCCCTTGGCAGTGGCAGTGGCAGTGAGGGCAATGATGATGCTACAAGTTGGCACACAGGCTTGGTGGGGCTGAGGACAACCTTACAGAGAAGGACAGCTCACATGGAGTGTTACTGGCCCTGGAGGATACTCGCAGAAGTCTTGGAGAGCAGGGTGGAGCATCATGCCAGGAAAGAGAAGGGCTGGGCCAGGAGGGTCACAGTGCAGGTGCCCCAGATCTAGCTTCTAATCGTAGAGCTTTGCGTGGCCACAGTAGACCCTTGTGGGAAGGCATTAGAGAGGTGATGGGCCACGGGTCACTCACCAGGCACAACCTCATTGGATAAATCAGGGATTTAGTTATTTAATCAAACTTCTGATGAATGAAGTATTCACTTTTCCATCAAATTAAATAGCTCATCTGCAGTATTCTAATGTAATTTGGATATCCATATATGTTATCTTAATGTAAACTCAGTTATGTTTTATCCAGGATGCACTATTGGTATTAAATTCTTCTTATAGCAATACAATTTTAAACATGATATTATACATAGCAGCTAATAAGTTAAAACAATACTATATAGCACTTTAAATGATTTATATGGCTAATGATTAGCAATTTATTCTTGGAGATTTATACTAATTTATGACTTGGTCTCCATTTCAATTAATTGTGTACAACAGTTACTTTGTTTTAGTCATTTTGAATGGTTATTTCTTTGAGACCATGGCCACTGGTCAGATAACAAGCTTACAACTATTCTCTTCCTGAAGATAACTTCTTCCTTTTGGGCTTGTAGTCACACATATGTGAAGTATGTGTTATAAGTCTGTACTGTGAAGGATAGAGCGTTTCTTGCTTCAGGTCCTATATTTTAATACGCACATAATTGTGGTGCTCATTCTTATGTTGTTTTGTGTTTTAGGTTGTATTTAAATTACATATTCTCTGTTGCACTCATTCTATAAACTTTTCCTTCTTTTATTTTCCCCGATGTTTTGCAACCTGAACTTCATGCTTCTTCAGTGCTGCATGTGGGGTGGCCTTTGCTTTATGGGAAGACTGCCGTTTTGCCTTGTCCTGGCTCTCTGTCACAGCCTGCTGCCCATTCACCCCCTCTTACCACGTGCCAGTGATCATTCCTGGAGGGACAAGTGTTGCAGTCAGATCCCAGTGAGACCTTGCTCCCAGTCGTTGTTTTGTTTGTGATCCTTGGGGAGAAGAGTGACCAGCTATAGGCTTTTCTGAAGAAGATGCCACATGGTGCTTCGAAAGGAAAGGCTTTTGCAGACTGGGGCCCGTGACAAGCAGGAAAGGCTGGCACCGGAGTCTTGAGTGAGCGCTTTGACACACCGAGTCACAGCCCATTATCACTTGTTCTGGTGTCAAAACAATACAGCAATTTGAACTGCAGCTCAGCTCACTCCTGCTGTCACACAAGCTCCCTCCTAAGTCATTAGAGTGCTGGCATGGACTCTTTCCGGATCAGTCAGAGATGCATTAGGAGAGGGGTATGTATTTATTAATTCAATTTAATAAGTGACTATTAATCATCTGCTGTGTATTGGGCATTGCCCTGGTGGGGGGTGGATGGGGAAAGAGGAGAGTTCCCGTACCAGTACAACAAGATCCCTGACCTGAAGGTGCCCTTGCCTACGAGAGCACACAAGTACCGTGGCTATCATGAAGACAAAATTGCTTTGAAAATTCAAAAGAGGGAGAAATCTCATCAGATTGGAAGGATCAGTTTAGATGGATGAGGGAGGTGATGTGTGAGAGGGGCCTTGACAAGACTGCAAGATTTTGATGGGCAGAGAGAAGGTGAGACAGACAGTTGGCAGTGAATTCTGCTTGGCTGGTATGCAGGATATGTTTAAGAGGTATCAGAACTTGAATCTATTGTAAAGTACCTTGGATGCCAAACTAAAAAGTTAATGTTTTATTTAGTGGTCTCCTGCTTGAGACCACCACTGAAAGGGTTTGAGTCAGTGGAGTGACATGTTAGGAATATGTCAGTCCTTATTAAAATGTTAGCTTAGGTATTAATCATTTAAGATTGCAAGTGACTATATGTAGCAGAAACTCTTCAACAGCGGCTTAACCAAACAGGAGTTTTATTTGTCTCGTGTAGGTGTCCAGTGCAGCATCTTCACAATGCCGCCAGGGACCTGGGCTCTGGCTATCTTCTGGCATCTCTTAGATTGAAAAATGGCTGCTGGATCTCCAGATACCCAGTTGAGATTCCAGGCAGGAAGAGGGTAGGGAAAGAAGAGCAGAAGGCCAAATGCCTCTCGTGAAGCTCTGCCTTTATTATTCTGGAATGGACAGCCTTCCTTAAGACTTTGTCTTTATCTCAGTCTCAGGACTAGAGAGCCTGGGAAATCAAGTTTTTTATTTGACACAATGCTGCTCAGAAAAAAAAAAAAAAAAGCGACTCTCTAGTAGGAAAAGTGGACATTGGGTAGGTAAGGAGCACTGTTGGCCACAGCTTATTTGTGAATCTATCATGGGAAATCAGAGAAGGCAGAGAGCAGAGGGGCAGAAAGCTAACAGTGCCAGCAAGGAGTCCTGATTAGATTCAGAGAAAATAATCTCAGAGAGCAGTCTCCATTTTAGGTTTGTTTAATGAAAGAATATGGGACACTGAGTTAGGAAAACCAGGCTTTAGCTCCGGCATCATTATTAAACATGCATGTGTTGAGAGAAGCTACTTCTTTGAACCTCAGTTTTCTTATCTATAAAATTGGGGACTTCAAAGCCTGTAAGCCAAAAGCTGTGATGCTAAGAAAAGATTACATATGTGCTTCGGAGTACTATTTTCAGATTAAACACTGAGTAAGTTACAAAAATAAACATATAGATTATGAGAAGATATACATTTTATTAAAAAATGTTTTCTCCTAATTTGAGGAACCAAAGAACTAGCAAACATATTTCATGTATTAATTTGAAATATATTAGCTAAAAAAAATTCTGTAATATTCCTTGGCACTGGTGTTTTCTGTTACCAACTAAACAGTACTTGCATTTATTTACTGTAAAAGAAATAAGAGATAACAGATTCATCCCTAAGCCCCTGCTCTAACAGGATTATTTATGATGTGACAACTTATTACACTCCTTTCCTGATAAATAGTTAGCTACATTCTCCATGGATTTTACAGTTTCATCTGGGGCAGTTTGTTCCCTACAAAGTGAAGATACACAGTTTTTATTTCTCATCTGTGACTTGTCCCCATTAGGGAGGTTTTTTTGTTTGTTTGTTTTTTGTTTTTTGTTTTTTTTTTACCTGATTTCCTTCTCAAATCATTGTGATAAAAGACTGGTTCATATGTGTCCACATTGTTTTAATATGGAGGGAGATACAAAGAAATAGAAAATATGACCACTACCTTTGGGGGACTTATTACCTAGTTGGGGAGAGAAGACAAAGACACATAGGAAAAATAAAGAACAGCACAGAAGACAAAGTAATGCCATGCTGAAGCAGACGCTTTAGTCTTTGTGTGCTGTGCATTCAGGAGGGGCGTGTGGTGAGGGGTTCCTTCCCCTGCCCAAGGGCAGCCTCTCTCCTTGCTCCTTCCATTGCTGACTCTCTCAGCTTTATTTGGGGTTATGCTTCATCATTTGTCCCCAGAATTCTTGTATCTTCTATTTCTCACTCTTCATTGGCTTCTTCTGTTTGTAATACAGAAGTGCTCAGTCAGGACTACTGCAGACAAAACCAGGAATTCTTAGTATTTGCTTCCTGACTGAGGCTACCACCATATTTTATATCCTCCTTGTTAAATATTTTCCAAGTATGCATCACTGTGTCCTTACAATCTAGCTCTCATTTGCTTCAAATAGCTTCACACTCCCCAGTCAACAGTGCTTTTCTATTCATCAGATTTTGGGCCTGGCAGTCAGGCTCTGGTCTTCCTTTTCATTCCCTTCAACCATGTGACTCCTCGCACTCCCCACCCTCCTTCAGAGCTGAATTTTCTGTAGTTTGTCAGATGCCCCATATTTTTTCTTGAATCTCTGTCCTTAGGCGTTTTCTGAAATGCTTCCCCCTCTTCAGTTCACCTGAGAAACTTAAGATTCAATTACAATTGAGGTTATCAGCCTGGGAGAATCATCCCCTTATCCCACTGTTCACCAAATAGCATTAGTTACTTTCTTCTTTATGCCCCTATAACACTTATCTTTGTAACAGTTGTTAACACAGTGGGTTATCATTTATCTGTTTACTTATCTCTTTTCTCCCTGTTCTGTGAGTTGTTCTAGTCTAGGAACTAGTCCTGTCCACACCTATGACTTGCCATACAGTCCAGACTGCACTATAACCATTATAGTGGTGAAAGCACTAGCTTTGGAGTCACACAGTAGGGATTTATACCTTGACTCTGTCACTTGCTTGTTTTGTGACATTGGGTGTGTATGTTGACCTCCATGAACTTCAGTTTATCTGTAAATAAAAATAACATCTACCCTCATAATGTTGTGAGGAGAAAATGACATCCAAACAATGTTCATAGCATAGTTCCTAGAACATGGTAGGTATTCATATTAAAATAGTATTCGTTGAAAAAATGTTAATAAATAGAGCAATAGTCATTTAGTGGTAATACTCTCTCCCTCTTTTTCACTTCTTGTTTGAAGGTAGATATAAGCAAGGAAAGTTAAGGGGGATCGTCATGCATAGATGTACTTGGCGAGTTTCTGGATGGTACATTCTGCTTGTAAGGATGGAGTTAAGTTTTAAGTGAGAGTGGGAGGACAAAGAGGTGAATTTTTTTTTTTTTTCTTTTTTCTGGACATAGTGACTTGGAAAGAACCCGTCACAGGTGGCAAAGGAAGCTTTGTTAGAGAATGAAAATGGAATGTATGTGGCAGAGGAGAGTAAATGATTCAGTGTGATTTGTATTTGATACATAGTAGTATTGTCCAAATGAGATCCTTATCATAAGAAAGAAACTACCCAAGATTAATAAATGCCATGTATTAGCAATTACTACTTGGGCTTCTTTAATTAGGAAAAAAAAATTCCAGGTGTCTGTGATCACTAATGGAGCTTTACAAGTAAGAGGCAGAAGGGAATTTTATGGTTTTAAAAAAAACTTTATTTTTATATTTACAAAGGTGAATGTAAATGTCTTACCAGACCATAAATGTATGTTTTGATCTACTTTTACACTATTAGCTGCTTAGTTATAATAGGAAAATTCATCATAGGTTTTAACACTTGCTTTTATGATACCCTTATGATGTCATTCCTGTGTAGTACATTGCATTAAAAAATAGAGTGACCACCCTGAGCAGACTGTTAAAATAATGGAGCATTCATTCTTCTTGAACTGCAATCTAAATATTCCATAAAGTTATAGTAGCGTGCGCTGGGAGGGCAACATTTCAGAGTTGTGGTCTCACCTCAAGATTGGAGATTGGTAAAGACATTAATTGCCAGCATTCTTTGTTCAATTTTTTGCGAAGAAGCAAGGTTTGCAGATGATACTGGAAAATATGGAGTTCTGATCAACGAGGCACAAATGTACTCCTGTTCTAATTGTGAAGTTATCTGTACTGAGGAATAGGTGATCAGTAATATCAGTTTAACTCAAATACCAATTGAGACAAGAAGACTCTCCCCGAGGAACAATGACTCATTTTACAATGTGGCCACAGAATTTAGCACACAGAATTTAGCTGGGTTCATCCCAGCTGCCTCAAATATCATTAAACTAATCTCAGAGTCTAGGATTAGATGTGGCTGACCCAAGCGTCCTTTCAGGTCAGAGTTCAAGGAGTTCTGCTTAAGTTTCTGTGAGGAGGAGCAGAGAGAAGAATCTGTGCCCGATATTCCTTTAAACAAAGGTTTTATTCTGTAGTGCTTTTAAGATCCCTCAAATAGCCTCAACTACTAAACTAACACACACAGAAAAAGGCAGTTTGTGATCTCTAGAATAGTCTGTTTGCACAGGTTATTAATCACTCTGGGCTGTGATGTACACAGACCAAAAGAAAGAAAAAAAGTCAGTGATGGTGGGGGGCAGTGATGGAGTGATGGGGAGCCATGTTGAACTTCCTCCCTTCCTCATTCTTTGTTGATTTGTAATTAAATCCAGACTTAGCAGGAGTATCATTACATTGTGAAGATGAGCTGGAAACTCTTTTCAAGTTAAATTTCTTAACATTATCCCCTGCAGTAGGAAGGGCATTCACACTGTGACCAATCTTTAAAAACAAAACAATGCTAAATAGTGCTTGCATATTTCAAGTAAAGATTCCTCCTTCAGAAAGACTTGGCATTTGTTGTAAGTGGTGTTATGACACCATGGTATAGAAAACAAAAAAAAACAAAAAAAAACAAAAAAAACTTGTCTTGGTTTTTTTTAAAGTAAGGCGTTGAAAATATAAAGTAGGCAGTATACTTTAGCCATGATAAAAATGTTAATTCACCATCTTGTCCATGGAAAAAGCTATTCCTTCAGTGAAGTCGTATTAACTATGCAATATCTTACAGCCAAGTATTGCTCTAGAAAATGTTGGAGGTTTGCGGCCGGGCGCAGTGGCTTACGCCTGTAATCCCAGCACTTTGGGAGGCCAAGGCGGGAGGATCACCTGAGGTCCGGAGTTCGGGACCAGCCTGACCGACATGGAGAAACCCTGTCTCTACTAAAAATACAAAATTAGCCGGGCGTGGTGGCACATGCCTGTAATTCCAGCTACTCAGGAAGGCTGAGGCAGGAGAATTGCTTGAACCCGGGAGGCGGAGGTTGTGGTGAGCTGAGATGGTGCCATTGTACTCTAGCCTGCACAACAAGAGTGAAACTCCGTCTCAAAAAAAAAAAAAAAAAAAGAAAAGAAAAAAGAAAATGTTGGAGCTTTGCACATGATCTAAATTCAGCTTTCTAATTATTATTTAATTTCTGTTTTATATCATCATACCCTCCCGTCTACTGAAGTATAGATCACCATTAAAATAACATAGCTGAGTAGTGTATAGGAGTGTCTGTGAAAAAGAGAAAAACTAGATGGCTGTTGGGATTATCGTAGAGCCATAAAACATAATTAATATATCTTTTCCCACTCCCTCATTATGTTCAGTGCTCTCCTCCATGACTTCCCTGGTAGAGCTTGATCCAGCCTTCACTTAGCTACTTCCAGAGATGAGGAGCTCACTTTTTGGTGAGGCTGTAGACATCACCATTTGCTCTTGTTTTACTATTTCTAGGGATTATAAAGGAAATCATCTTGAAAGTATATTGATATAGTTCTTTTTCTACAACTCAGATATTTGGAAACTAAGATCATGCCCTCCCTAAGACTCTATTTTTTTTTTTTTTTGTGGACTAAACAACCACAGGAGTCTTTGTATACATTTGGTCTCTTTTCTCTCCTTTCATGTTGTATTAAGTTGTTGCAAAAGTAATTGCGGTTTTTACCCTTTCAATGGCAAAAATCGCAATTACTTTTGCACCAAGCTAGTATATCCCCCTTGTATCTGGTTGCTCATGGTCCCTCTGACACGAACTTATCTCATTACCTCATTGTGGTCTTGACTTTCTATAAATGCATTAGTTTGTTTTAGCAGATGTTCACAATAGTGGCTTATATTAAGTCACCTCAATGTAATAGTTTGTCTTGTTTTTGTTTCCTATTTCACATAAATTTATGCAAGGTCAAAAATTATGTGTATACATATATAATTTTAAAAATAATTTAATACATTCTTATTCCGTTTTATATAGTCAAGTGTTATAGCCCATCCTTTTGAATCTAAATCATATTATCAACTATATTAACCTTGCAAAATCTACAGATTTTATAAGCGTCTTCACCCAAATCATTGGTAAAATGTTGAATAGGCGGGGCCCACGATAGTACTCAGTGTGTAACCCTGAAAACCACCTTTCAGGCTATTAATTTTAAGATTAGTTATTCAACAAGGCACAAACTATGGAACTACCCTGTCAGGTCCAAGGTTATCATGAAAGGCTTTCTCACGTATTTTTGCTGTTCCTATAAGTCTGATAAAAGGACAGGATCATGGTTTGGGATTACATCTGTGGACTGAACTTTTTTACTTTTTAATTTTTGAACTTTGAGTGAAAATATTACTTGTTCTGGAATTTCTGTTTGTTCATGATTTTATTTATTTATTTATTTTTACCATCAGATATCGCTTCTATGCATTCCTCCCATACCCTGGGATGTGAATCTCTAGGCCAGTAGGTTTATACTCATTTACTGCATCCAGATGTTCTTTTATGATTTTATTTTCTATATTAGCTCCCAGGGCTTTCTTAGCCATTGTTCTAGCATTTCCAGTTTGAAACTTCTTTTGGTCTAGCAGATAAAATGGAAATAGGTGGGTAATTGGGTAGTTTTGCCTCCACTTTCTTTATAGTTTTACATGACATCATCTCCCACAGCAGTTGTCCTGTGTTTTTCTAGATCATCATTGAGTTCCTGACTTCACTTAATAACTTTGTCAAAGTTAGAGGTTTCACTTATCTTAGATCTCCTGGGCTGTAACCTCTTTGATAAGATTCTTAGAGATTCCTACTTGTTTCTCTGCTTCATTTTCAACAATAGTTACCTAGTCTTAATTAAGATTATGAGATAACTTTCAGATCCTGGCCTCACCTCTTATTAGGGCATCTGACCTCAGGGAGTTACTTAACTTTTCTATGTTTCTTTCTTTTCTTCTCTCTCTTTTTTTTTTTTTTTTTTTTGGGAGACAAGAGTCTTGCTCTGTCACCCAGGCTGGAGCACAGTGGTGCCATTTCAGTTCACTGCAACCTCTGCCTCCCGGGTTCAAGTGATTCTCCTACCTCAGCCTCCTGATAATTTTTTTGTATTTTTGGTAGAGATGAGGTTTCACCATGTTGGCCAGGTTGGTCCTGAACTCCTGACCTCAAGTGATCTGCCCACCTCATCCTCCCAAGATGCTGGGATTACAGGTGTGAGCCGCCACACCCAGCCAACTTTTCTATACTTCATGTGTAAAATAAGATAAGAACCCTCCTTACTTTAAGGCAGTTTTAAGGATTAATTGAGATATTATTTTAATGATAAGTGACATTGTACACAATGAATGTTACTCTTATTACTATTATTTCTCATGATGATGCCCACCTATCTTCTTTTTCATAATTGTGATCATACGAATATTTCCACAGCTTCACAACTCTTTTAAATCATCTCCCCTAACATGATTTCATCCATGGAATTACACCCATTTTTTTTTCAGCTTTTCAGTGTCATTTCCTAAACTATAAAATACATACGTCCTCTCAGAATGCCCTTATTGTACCTTTCAGAAGAAGTGGTCTTTGGTACCTCAGAGAAACCTGTGGCTTCATGTCTCTCAAAAGTCTATTCTTCTGATTTAAGCCCAGCATAGTTCACCTTCATAAATGTATTTATTATATTATGCCTTCCATGATGAGTACTATAAGCCAGATGACTATGGGGGCAGCCTGCAGCTCTTAGAAGGCTCTGTTGAAACCTGTTTTTCCAGTGGGATAGATTATCCGTGGAAAATGCTGATATTTCACTGGGCTTTCTCACAAAGTTAGATATTTCACTGTGGTTTATCTCACATTGTAAAAATGAAACATATTAACATATAGGGCTTGGAATTTAATAGATTTAGGGAAAAATAAAAATTGTGGAAACAAAATTATAAAACTATAAGGTTTCACAGTGTTTCCATTTTAACTTTCTACCATGTTTAGGTGTGTTAATTATAAAGACTCTGCCTGGTTTTTATCTATGGTAAGCAGAGAATAATAATAATAGAATCATCCTTTTGTGTCCAGGGGGATTGGTTCCAGGACTCATTTGAATATCAACATATCAAGGATGCTCAAGTCCATCTTACATAAAAGGGCATAGTGTTTGCCTATTACCTCCTCACCTCCTCCTGTATACTTTAAATAATCATCTCTAGATTGCTTATAATATCTAATACAATGTAAATGCTATGTAAGTGTTATACTGTATTTTTATTTGTATTTTATATTGTTGCATTATTATTATTTACTTAAAATTTTTAATCCAGGGTTGTTGAATCTGTGAGTCTAGAACCCATGGACTGAATGAAGACCCACTCCACTTACCTTGACCCATGCAATATTCATATAATCAAGCATTCCTAAATTTTTGGAATTTCTAAATAAGAATGGATTTGAGAGAGTTTGGCCCTGAAGCTTTTTTATTTCTTTTTTTTTTCTTTTAAAAAACTATGTATAACCAGAAATAAGCATGTGGAGTTTGATTTCTTTACCATGAATAATTGTACTGAAATATTTCTAGGACATGTTCTAAGTTTACAGTTATATGTGTGAAGGTTCAGAGAACACTTTTGAGGAAACTGCTTTCCTTTTCCCTGAAAAAGTGATAGTGGTGGAGTACTCCCCATACACCCTCCCAAAAAATGCAGCTCCTTTTCTCCACCCATCATTTGCATTTGCCCTCCAGCCTTTCTCTATTTCCCTCCAGGGCACACACCCTAGTCTTGTATTTCCCTGGGTCAGCCTGCTTGGCTGGAGGGTGCTTATTTAAGTGCAGATTCCTGGGCTCATATAAACCTAGTGAATTGGGTCCCCTGGTGGTAGATCCCAGAATCTTCATTTTTCTCAAGTTCTTTATGGGGGAGTCTCATGTCCCCAAGTTTTGAGAACCACCACTTAAGTCCATTTGTCATTGGCTTCTATTATGTCTGATGAAACCAATATTATGCAGAGCTCTTTCTGAAGTGCTTTGTTGTTGAACAGGCTGCTGGTGGGCCAGAACAGATTGTCACCATGTAAATGAGGAGTCAAGGGACATAATTTTATGGGCTCACACCTATCTCTTAGCCAAAGACATTTCAGGTTAGTTGTTTGCCTGTACTGGTAAAGGAATATAGTCTCATTTGAACTGGGACAACCCTAGTTCTGGGTACATTCTGTGGTATTATATTTGCCAACTCACATTCAGCCCATGCATTTATAATTACTCAACTGTTTCCATGCATTGAGTCATTGCAGAAAAGCCTCTTCTTTGTAGAACCTCATTAAGATTTCAGCTGCTAACAGATTTTATTTTACAGTTCCAGCTTTCATGATATTAAGATATGGAGATTTGCGCTTCTGGGAGGGGTTATTTACAAGTTTAAAGCTCTTAGAAGCATCACAGTGTTTTTAAGGGCATAACCAGAAAGGAAAATAAAAAGGGTAGTCTGGTATTCTGATCAATGTGATATAATACTTTGGAGGCAAAAATTTAAAATGTTGAATTGCTTTTAAAAAATTGTTACTTATTTGTGATCTGTGTGATTTTTTTCTTTTTTTAACAGCCTTTGGTTTAAAACAATGTTTTTATAAACGTTGTTTATTTTTGGCTTCTAAAAAGACACATAACATTAAAGCAATACTCATAGGGTTCATACTTTTTAAATGAATATACTTTCCTTATGCTAAGAATATATGGTAAATGAATAATCTCTGATTTAAATGATGCTTTTTTTTGCATGGTTGCACTCAGAATTATACTGTGCCATTTTATATCTTGTATTGTTCTTCCCCGTGGTATGTTAAAACTTTTAAATAATGTGCACTATTTTAATTACAGTAAGTAATCATTAACTGAGAGTTATTGGTTATATCAATTAGAGGTGCCACTTATGTTTTTTCTTCTATCTGTTAACATAATAATCATTCATTAGGCACTCTACAGAGAGAACTTAAGCTAAATGAGAGCGAGTAGGTCCACATCGGGAGTCAGGAGTGCTGGCCGCCATGATGGCTGCTTTCATGTGAAAGGCCTTGCCTCTTTTCTTGACGTGATGTTACCACTGCTTTCACTGAGGAGACATTGGCTACATGTCCCCTTTGGCAGTCATCTTGGGTATCTGAGAGTCTTCCTCATCCAGTGAAGTTCCTCCGTACAGCGTTTAGAGGCCTTTCCTCTTGCTTTGCCCTTCTTTGGCATCTGCATGTGGATTATTTACTTGCTCATTTGTTCCTGGTGTCTTTGCATTACCTACTCTTTCTCCAGCCAGGAATAATAAACACCTTATTGACAGATTGACTTCTGATTCTCTGTGTCCTCCTTGTCAGGTTGATATCCTGCCATCCCAGAAGGCACTGTGTAGATGTTTGCTAAATAGATGGTTGAATAGAAGAGGACTTAATTTTTGCTAACCGACCAGATTGATTTAATTTGTTGGTGTTCCAATCCAGCCACTTTGAATATCAAGGCTTTCTTGCTTAATATCCTTTTAGGCAACATTATAACTGTTCATGTTTCTATATAAAGATTTCTAAATTGGAGGGTTTCTCATCCGAAAATAGTCAAGAATTTATTTAAAAAACTGAGATTTCTGAATGCAAATAGCTTCCTTTTTGCATGTAGGTTGCTTTGCTTTATTTGCAAGGAAAGAGCAGCGATTTAAAAGTAATAAACACACCCATTGTAGGAAATATAAAAAATACAAAATGATGTGAAGGATAAAATAAAATTCCCCCTTGGTGTTACCTGTGACCCAAGATATTTCTTACCTTGAAAATTTTGCTGATAAAGTTAAAATCTGCTTTATGCCCCTCATAGTCTCTTTTCTTTCTTTCCTTATAGGCAATTGGCTATCTATATATCTTAGTTTTTCACTTAATATTACAATATTATACAATATTATACAACAATATACAATATTATACAATACAATAAGTTTTTCACTTAATATTACAATATTAATCATTTTGTCATGGCATTAATTTTTAATCCTTTTGTAATGGCTGATTGTGTGAGTATAACATAATTTACAGAACCATTCTGTTGGTTTTACACAGGTTGTTTAGAATTTTAAAAATATTATCAATAACTCTTTAATAAACATTTGTGGGTGTCATTCTATGTTTTTGATTCATTAACTAGGATAATAGACAATAATTTTAAAAGTCTGCATTCTATGCCTGGTTGACAAATTCATGATTGATCTTCACTGACATTTAAGGTGTTAACACTGTCAAATTTCAGATTTTAAGTTTAACTTAGTTTTCTTGTTATTACAGTTAACCTGGACTTAGAATATACCTGTTTCATTAGAATTTGAGCTGGTGAAGAGCTTCATTGTCCTGATTGAAAGGTCAAACTGAGGGATTTATAAAGCCTGCCTGAAATGACAAGACTGTTAGATCTGAGTGTTCTAAGATATTCGTCATTTAAAACCCATAGCATTGATATTTTTAAATGTCTTATTATGAAATATGTTCTGCTTACAAAAGAATGTAAGTAATGTATAATGTATATGTTTAGTATTAAAGAATAATAAAACAAAAACCTTTGTACCTACCACTCTGCTTAGGAAAGAGAACATTATTAGTACCTTTGAAACTTTCATGTTCCCTTCAATGCAATTGATTTTTTAATGCCAAGGATCTCAGTGATAATGGATCAAATATTTTATTTTGTTTTGAAACGGAGTCTTGCTCTCTCGCCTAGGCTGGAGTGCAGTGCTACGATCTCGATCTCAGCTCACTGCAACCTCCACCTCCTGGGTTCAGCGATTCTCCTGCCTCAGCCTTTCGGGTAGCTGAGACTACAGGTACCTGCCACCATGCCTGGCTAGATAATGTATCAAATCTTTTTTTTTGAGATGGAGTCTCGCTCTGTCACCCAGGCTGGAGTGCAGTGGCGTGATCTCAGCTCACTGCAACCTCCACCTTCCGGGTTCAAGTGATTCTCCTGCCTCAGTGTCCTGAGTAGCTGGGACTACAGGTGCGCACCACTACGCCTGGCTAATTTTTGTATTTTTAGTAGAGACGGGGTTTCACCATGTTGGCCAGGATGGTCTCAATCTCTTGACCTCATGATCCACCCGCCTCGGCCTCCCAAAGTGCTGGGATTACGGGTGTGAGCCACCGTGCCCAGCCAATAATGTATCAAATCTTGAGGAAGATTTGGAAGTGTCTGATTTTTTTCACCTGTACTGCTTCTACCTGGTCCAGGTGGCCCTCTCTTCTCACCTGGCTCACTGCAACAGCTTCCTAGCTGGTATCTCTGCCTTTTACTTCTGATCCACTTCAGGGCAGCCTCCCCCAGTAACCTAAATGATGACTTAAATACAGAAACTAAATAATGCCATTTATCTGCCTAAAACCCTTCCTGGGTTTTCTGTTTAATTTAGAGTGAAATACAAATACTTGCGGTGATCTGCAAAGCTCTTCCTAATCTCTTCTGATCTGCATCTGCAACACTTACTCTCCAAGCTTACTGCCAGCCTCTTTGAATTTCTCAGCCCTGCCCAGACTTCCTGGTTTTATGACCATCACACATTTTTTTCCCCCATATTTCTGCCTAGCACCCTCTTTTTACCACTCTTAGCAAGGCAGGTTATTTTATTATTTTTTAATCCCTTGGGCCATTTTCCCTGACTACCTGATTATTCTTTCTCATAACATCCTATTATTTTCTTTCTTTCTTTTTGTTTTTTTTTTTGAGACAGAGTCTTGCTCGGAGTGCAGTGGTGCCGTCTCAGCTCACTGCAACCTCCGCCTCCCGGGTTCAAGCAATTCTCCTGCCTCAGGCTCCCTAGTAGCTGGGAGTACAGGCACGCACCACCACGCCTGGCTAATCTTTTTTTTTTTGTATTTTAGTAGACACTGGGTTTCACCATGTTGGCCAGGCTGGTCTTGAATTCCTGACCTCGTAGTCCGCCTGCCTTGGCCTCCCAAAGTGCTGGTATTACAGGTGTGAGCCACCGTTCCCAGCCTCATCCTATTATTTTCATTCCTAGCACTTGTTAAATTTTTAATTATATATTTTCTTATTGGTGAGACTAAGTAGACCTAAGTTTCATGAGTATAGTTACCATGTCGATCTTGTTCACCATCCTGTATGTCTAGCCTGGGTAAACACTCCAGAAATATTGAATGAATGAATGAGAAAGTTTAGTGATAGAGAATATTAGCATGGCACAGCTTTTTATGTTCAAAAGATATATATGGTATTTTGGGTCCAACAAAATACACCTGATTGAATTAGTTGAGTCAGGCCTACATCCCTGGACCTCCTTTTGCCTACCACACCTGTTATTTTTAATTCTTACCGACTCATTTGTAAAATATAACCAATGTAGGTTAAATAATCAATTGGAGATTTCTCAGGTATTTAAGACAGACTTAAGCAGCATAATATAGAAGAGATCTTGGTATAGTGGAAAGAATGTGGGCTTTGGAGTCAAAAATATGAATTTAAATAGTTACGGTGCCTGTTAGCTGTGTAATCTCGAAAAACTGTCCCCTGGTGTTCTCATCTGCAAAATGTCATGATAACACCTACCTCATTGGTTTGTTGTGAAAATTAAAGGATGTTAAATCTTAGCTCTGTATTTGCCACAAATAGACTCTTCATTCATGATATTATAATCATTGTCTTACCATTATTACGTAAGTGCAAATAGCAAATAGTTTCATCATTTTTTTGCTTCTGGTTTTTGCTTCATCTCTAAAATGGGGATCTTACTTTAAAGGAATAATGTGAAGATTAAATGGCATAATGTATAAATGTGTTGATGGCACAACACCTAGTGCAACTCCACCTGGCTCATAGTTGGCCCTCAATAAATACACATGGCTAATAAAAATAACAGCATAAAAGAATTGGTATCATATTACTTGGTGGCAATTTGGAGTCTTTAAATTCTAGGTATTCATTTGCCAAATATTTATTGGATATCTGTTTTATGCCAGGTGCTAAGTTCAGTGCTAGAGCAACAAGGAGGTCTAAGATGGAGCTCTATTGAGTAGCCTGCATTTTAATGGGGAAAGGAGGTTTCACATGAATTGTATAGTTTTTCACCTCATGAGTAAATACAAAGTGTGGTGCGATTAATTCTCTTGGAGGGAATAGGAAAAGTGCTATTCCCTCTGGAAGTACTGTTTGAGTTGGGTCTCAAAGGCTAAGCAGCATTCTCCAGAGGATAAGAAGTACCTTGTTCTGAGGAAGATAATATGAGTTTTGGAGTCAGGCAGACTTGGATCCCAGTGTCTGCCATTTAACATCCTTGTAACCTTAGGCAAGTCATCTATTCTAACCTAAAATGGAGACATTAATATTTATATTGATGTAGTTTCAGTGTTGTCCCTGCCCAAATCTCACATGGAGATATAATCCCCAATGTTGGAGGTGGGGCCTGGTAGGGGGTGATTGGATCTTGGGGTGGATTTCCAACTTCTGTTCTCTCAATAGTGAGTGAGTGAGTGAGTTACCGTGAGATCTGGTTGTTTGAAAGTGTGTGGCACCTCTCCGCTTCTCTTGCTCCTGCTCCCATCATGTGAGCTGCCTCGCTCCTCCTTTGCCGTCCCCATGAATGTAAGTTTCCTGAGGCTTTCCCAGAAGCTGAGCAGATGCCAGCAACATGCTTCTTCCTGTACAGTCTGTGGAACCGTGAGCCAATGAAACTTTTTTCTTTATAGATTACCCAGTCTCAGGTATTTCTTTGTAGCAATGTGAGGACAGACTAATACATATATTGTAGGATTTTTGTGAAAATTAATACAATGATAAAGGGTCTGGCATGCAGCAAGAACTTACAAATGCAGGGTCTTTGCAGTCACTTGGAAAGCACTTCTCTCCACACTAGGAAATTACAAAATGGCTTTCACTCCCAAGAATTCATAGTTCTATGTCTTTACCTGATCAAACATGAATTTCTTCTACTTTGTAAAATCTTTTAAATTAAATTAAATTAAATTTTATTTTTCTGAGACAAGGTCTGGCTCTGTCACCCAGGCTGGAGTGCAGTGGCAGGATCTTGGCCCACTGCAACCTCTGCCTCCCGGGCTCAGGCCACCCTCCCACCTCAGCCTCCCGAGTAGATGGGACTATAGGTACACACCACCATTCCTGGCTAGTGTTTATATTTTTTTGTAGAGATGGGATTTTGTCATGTTGCTCAGGCTGGTCTTGACCTTGTGAGCTTAAGCGACCTGCCCACCTTGGCCTCCCAAAGTGCTGGGATTACAGGCATGAGCTACTGTGCCCAGCCTAAATCTTACCTGTATCTTTATCTTTAGAAGTTCAAAGATTGGCTGTTCAGCACCACTTCAAATTCAGTTTATTAGAAGATTTACTTAGCTCGTAGGAGTTACTCTCTTACCCACTGTTAGAAAAAATAGTAGTCTTCATTCTGTGAGTCTTTATTTTTTTATTTCCACACTTGTCAAACCTGGTGAATCTTCTAAGATTCTAAATAAGAAATCAGTCATTTTAGCTCTTTATTATTGTGTTTACTCTTTGTAACATCAACAATAATAGTAGTTTACATTTGGTTAAATGTTTAAAACTTATAGAGAACCCAAATTCATATTACCTAATTTAATGTCCTCAAAAACCCTTTGAGGTGGAGGCCATCATCATCTTGTTTACAGATAAGGAGATCGAGAGGCACTGAGTGTGGGTGACTTGGTCATCTGATTCTAATTCAAAACTTTATACTGTAGGGGAGGAAAAACTTAATGTTTTCTTCTGCCCCCTAGAGCTATTCTCCACCCAGGACCCTATAAATTGAATGACAAAAGACAGATTAACAAGAGGAAAACAAATAGAAGTTTATTAACGTGTGCATCTGTATCTGCTTTTCAATTGTCTTCAACTCAAAATAATCAATATGAGAAAGAGCATATTTTGGGGGTATGTATTCTGCTACCTGCTTTTCTGTTTTGCCCATCTGCAGATTCTGTTGTTTTCTCCAAGGTTACCAGTGCTCATCCTCTTTTTGTTTTTTCTTTCTACTGCAGTAGTCTTTCGTTCCTGTGTGGCCCAGGTTATTCAGCAGTTCCCTATGACCCAGATTCTCTAGTCTGGAAAACATGTGTCTGTTTTTTTATTGATAGATTAGTATTTCTTAATCATGTGTTAATAGTCTACATTGGCTTCTCATTGCCCTGAGAAGCAACTTCAGGATCCTCTTACCCTCTTCCCACAAACCACTAGTCACTCTTTATTTCTTGTTGTTAATTCTAACATCCTGACAAGGTAAATGAAATGTACTTAAAATATAACTTCTTTAAGGTGGAACCATTTCACTTGTAACATTCTTTTGTCCCATAGCACTCTGCTAAACTACTGTCTTTCAAATATCTTTCTGTTTTGTTTGTTTGTTTGTTTTTGAGACAGTCTCTCTTTGTCGCCTAGGCTGGAGAGCAGCAAACCCTGCCTCCTGGATTTAAGGGATCCTCCCACCTCAGCCTCCGGAGTAGCTGGAAATCCAGCAGCACGCCACCATGCCTGGCTTATTTCCGTATTTTTAGTAGTAATAGGGTTTCACTATATTGGCCAGGCTGGTCTGGAACTCCTGACCTCAAGTGAAATGCCCACCTCGGCCTCCCAAAGTACTGGGATTACAGGCGTGAGCCATCGCGCCCAGCCATCTTTCATATATCTTTCTAAAGCAAAAAAAGCCAAATTCTTCCATCATGGTTTCCTTTGGGACTTCTAGACCTATAGTAAGTCTATTTTAAAAAATTATCTGATACACTTAGCTTTGTGTGTTTATTCTTTTTTCCCAAATTTTGTGTGGCTTATATTAGTTACTATTCATTATTGTTGAGTTATTTTTCAGATTCACTCATACTTGAACTGAATGACTTTGATTATAAATTCTTTGGATATAAAGAGCACTGTCACTTTAAATTATTCTGTGAATAGCAGAAGCCAGTGTTGAGATGATAATGGTGATATTTAATATACTATTTTTCTCTATTAGGCATATCATAGATTTAACAATAATTATTAGATTTGGAGTCTCTGCTAGCTGCAGCCTTTTCCGAAATTCAAGGTATATTTCTGTGTAGCGTATCTTCACAAAACATAAAAACACTAAACTGAAATTAAAACTGATTTGAAAGTATACTAGAGAGGATTGTGAATATCTATGAAAGTACATGACTTTTTTTTTTTTTAATTAAACATTTGTGATCTCTGCCTACTCCATTTCCTAGCACCTTTTATTTTGTTATTCTTCTTTAGGTAAACAGCCATTCAGGAAGATGGTTTGTGCAAAAAGAATGAAAATAAAGGCATGAAGGAAAATGTATGCACTAGCATCTTCTGTCTCTCCCTCTGAGATTTTATGCTCTGCTTCAAAAACCAGTTTAAAAATAAAAAAGATGAGGGCGGTTGCAATCTGCTTCATTTTATGCAGATTAGGTATGGCCCTCGGGTACCTGCCAAATTGCTAATATGGCCTTCCGTTGGGCCTGATTAGTGTGAACCCGGATCTTTTCCATTAAAGCAGAAATGAATTTGTTGGGAATAAGGTAACAACAAAAGTGATATTTTCACTAATAACCGTGGGTCAGGTTACATTAAAGCAGTTTCTCAGTGTGTACCTGAGGCAGACTACCCTCAGCATTTATGATTTCCTCCATCCTCACTTGGCTCCTCTCTGAGGACATCGTGGTTTTTAGAGACCAGTGGGACCGTGACCTCCTTTTATACCGAAGCTACTTTGAGAGGTCATTTTCTTCTACATTCCAAATGCAAAATGTTATTCTCATTTTTGTAAACACATCTGTAGGCCTTACACTTGTAATAACAAGTATCTTAAATTATCCAGAATGAATGTTTATATAAGGATATCCACTCTGGGCAATTGAATTTTTGGATAATTCCAATAGCCATTTTGAGTGCCCCTGGGTGAAGCATTAATTATCTTCCAAAAAGATAATGGAGACAATAAATATGGAACTATCAAGCATCTCTTATGACTCTATTAGAATACATTTTTAAGAAAATATTTTGGTACCAATGATTGTATTTTGTGGGAAAAGAATTAGAGGTTTGTATGAACTAAGCAGCAACTGGAAGTTCAAAAAGACAAATTGGGCCCTATCTGCAGATTTGGGTGCCTAAAGACTTATACAAAGTAAAGTCAGCTTTGTCAGTTGCCTAATTTAGCCCATATTGAAAATCACTGGAGCTTTAGCACGAGCAGTGTTTCATGTGAAGTCATTTTGTAACCCAAATTATTTCTTGCCCATGGAGGAGTAAGAAACACATTTAACAGTTGACATTCTGCATCATCATGGACAGACCAGAGAGAGAAGTAGCTACACCCAAAATACATACGAAAGTCTTTTACGTGGGTTTGCTTCCCATTAAGTGGTTTATGGATGAATAAAATATTTATTTTTAAAGGCCTTATTCTGATTTATTAGAAGCATTATTGAATATACTACCCCAACCCAGTATTTTGTGTCTTCAAGTAATTTGATAGCAAGGGCAAGAATTGCAAAGCTTTTGTTTCCTATTTCTTAATTTTATTTGGCAAAGTACAAATCAGTTAAAGCTAAAATTATCTGTCACATAGATGTGATTGGGGAAGAAATTTATAATCATTTTTGGACTCTTACAGTTCTTAGAACATCATGTTTCAATATTATTATACAAGCATTTTTTTTTGAGTGTCTACTAAGTGTCAGACACCAGGCTAGCTTAGATGAATGAGGTGGTTTCTGGTTGATTATGACCAGTTTTGAGATGTGTCCAAGTGTGCAAGAACCACAAACTGATAAAGAAATGTTCATGGGCATTTTAACTTAACAAAAATTTAACTTACCTTGACTCATACTGGAAACTGTTATCAGAATTTAAAAATTAATGACTTGCCCTTTATTTCTGGTACAAATTAATTTTAATGTAATATTGGGTAACTTGGTCAACTACTTTCTTCTAGTGTAGCAACATAATAATACCATGATAAACTTAAATGCCCAATTTCTTGATGGATTATTATAAGGTGTTTATGATAAAACACGATTGAACCAATTAAAAATGAGTAGAGGTAAACTGGGGCCCACTAAGGTGTCATCAGTATCCAAAGGCTCATCTGTATTCAGAAAATTAGACATGGCGACAGAGTGAGACTCCGTCTCAAAAAAAAAAAGAAAATTAGACATGAAGGAAATCAGTCTTATCCTAGTGAATATTTTCATGCTTTTCTCCCCATGTATTATAGAATGTGTATGTTAATAATGAAAGCAAAACAAAATAAAACAACATGAAATGAGATTAAATGGATCTTTTTTTTTCTCATTTAAGTTAGTGGCCTGAGTGACTAAATATATTTTGATTTGTGATTTTCCTTCCTTTTAGAGGTGGGAAGTTGATGGTGATATATTAGAATCAAAATGAAACACCACTTAAGTTATTTTAAGGATGGTTGAATTAAAAAAAATCCATATGACAGATTAGCTCTTGGGACCCCTTTGCAGGCTTTTGTCTATATTTATTTATTTATTTACTTATTTTAGAGGCAGGGTCTCACTCTGTCAGCCCCCTGAGTAGCTGGGACTGCAGGTACGTGCCACCACGCCTGGCTTTTTATTTTTATTTTTATTTTTGCAGAGACAGGGCTTCTCTTTATGTTGTCCAGCCTGGTTTCCAACTCCTGGGCTCAAGCAATTCTCCCACCTCAGCCTCCCAAAGTGTTGGGATTACAGGCATGAGCCACAGAGCCTGGCCCACAGCCTTTTTTCTAATAGAATGTAATAGAAATCTACAGTATTAGCTCTCATACAGTTCTTGCCATCTTCTTATCTTTCTTACCGGGTTTTATATCTTAAAGCTCTGAATAAAAGTAAATCTTGTCGACATGTGGAGGGTCTTCATATATCAGTGATTCCTAGGGTATTTATTAGTATTTATAATCAGATAATTTTGAGATTTTTGTATCTTGCTCCCAATTTTCAGCATCACTCTTCCTGAGCAAATTAAATTTATTTATTTATGTGGTTTATGCTATGGGCTTCATTGGTCATATACAAATACATCTTTAAGAAGAGGGGATTACTTATTTGTGCAGGTATATAAACTATTCTATTGGGTACTATGCAAATGCAAAATTGATCTGAGAGTATCGTGTCCTAATGATTGTGTTATTGTCTTTCATTAACATAAAAGTGTCCTGGGGAAAGTTACTCTTTAATAATTTTAACATAAAGAACTAATGAATACAATTATATTTATTTAGATAGAGAAGTCCATTAGTAGTCAGTAGGCAGCAGCTTTTGTTATTTTAGGAAGAAGTGCAGTCGGCTGGATGATATTCAGTTTAAAAAAACCTGATTGAGCCATATTTTTTTTTCGGTTGATCTGAAAGCCATTGTTGTTTTGCTCACCAACTGGCAGACCTTCAATTATCCTGAATTTAGAAGTTGTTTACTATACTTTGAAATTTTAAAAATGAGCCCTTCCTGAGAAACAAAAAGCTGGATGCTTGCCATTTTTTTTTAAAGAAAAGTAGAACTTTAATGGCAGAAAAATCAATCAACCAATTCAATGTTGACTTTATTTCCAGTTTTGAAGCCTTAGTGTGTTTTTAAAATGACAGTAATCAAAGCTATCATTATTAATCTCCAAAGTTTTGGGGCATCATTTTGATCTAGAATGTCAGAACTGCAAGGGGCCATGGAGATTATCAGTAAGTCTCTGGGACTGTAGTGGATTCCACAAGATTTGGTTGAGGGTTTCAGCTATTGAGGCTCTTCTCTGTGCCATTATCAGGTGTCTAGAACATCTCTTGGGCTAGTCTTCCTGGATATCCAGGGTACCAAGAGTATGGGCGCTCACTTTTCCATATGTTGGGGGTTGGCAGAATGCTGGGGAAGGGTCTGAGAGCACAAGGTCAACCTGCAAAGAAAGCTGGCACTGCCCACTGGCCACGGCACAGTGACCTTTCATCCCTTCCAGCTTCATTCCCTCCTTCCCTCCTTTTCTTCTTTCCTTATCTGTGAGCCTCTACCATCTGCCAGGCACCGTGTTATCTGTGGAACTTACAGTCTAGTGAAGAATAAAGGTGCCAAATATTTTTAAGTGCAGAGGCTCTCTGGGATCATTTGTAGCAGAGGGTGGGTGGTCCCTGATGCCTTCTCTGATTGCGGACACTCCTACAGATGGCAAAATGGAGGTTCAAAGAGAATAAGTGGCCCCAGTCAGTAAGCTAGGACAAATTTCCTATCCTAGGGTCTTTTGGACTATGTCAGATGACTTGCCGTGTTAGCAGGTGACATTTTAGAAGATCCAAGTTTTTGCTTCTTTAAGTAAAGGCAACTTTCCCTTAAAAACATCCTAAAAAATGTAATGCTTACCTCTTTTATGTTGACTTACAATTCATTAATGCCAACATATGTTTATACAGGACTTTATAATTTTCAGTGCACTTTAACTCATGTTATTTTATTGTAATTACCATCTTGTGAGTCAGGCAGGGGAGTTTGTTTCTTGTTTTAGCTTTTAACTCCCCATTTTATAGAAGAGAAAATAGGGGCCCAGAGAGGGTAAGCGAGTTATCCACAGATGCAGAGCTGCATCCAACAGAGGGCAGATCCAAGATCTGGGATCTCTTGATTGCCAGGCTGCTGCTCTTCAAACAAAAGTGGGTATGTGACATACACACACCCACTGTATTTTAGGCATCCTCATTTTATGGGGCTGTAGCCAGAGTTGTTAGAACAAGTTAAATTGACATGACCTTTGCCTTTTGGTGGTTTATAGTCTAAATATGGTTTAAAAAAAAGCTTCAGGTTTATTAATACACAAGAAACTATTTTTTTTTTTCCTGGGTATTGTCTATTCAGCCTATGCCAAGTCCTTCACACTTAGAAGGAAATAAAACACAGTTACAGTGCACCTTAGCCCTACTTTCCTACTTAAATGTTACAATGTTCCTCTTTCTCTGCAACAGTAATGAGATTTGCCAGTGAATTGAAGGGAAAAAAAAAAGGAATCTGGGAATTTTGATTTTTCTGCTCTTTTGAGGAGAATTAGTGGATTAATCTAGATGCTCCCAGTCCTTGCTTTTTACTGGGCACGCTGGGCAGTGATGTCCAAATCTGGCTTATCACCAGCATCTCCTGGGATCTACCCCTGGAGCTTTTGTTTCAGAGGCCAGGATGAGGCCCGTGACTGCTCTACAGATGAACTTGGAACCCATTTACTTAATCTGACCACTCCAAACACCATAGTTCTTAGTAATCTGCAAATTCCTGGGAATGGAGAGAAAAACAACCCATTTGTGATCTCTTCTACCCTCCAGATTATCTCTAACTGTGTGGTCCAGCTGCCACAGGATAACTAGACATGCAAGGGGAATAGCCTCTAACTCTACCACAGTTCCATTGCCCATTAATTTATATGGCATTTTTTCTGACATTGCTGAATATTTTTTGGGGCTCAAATAGGCCATTGTCATTATTTATCACCATGTATGTTGTGACTGTAAGTCTACTTTTGATTCAATTAGAGAAACATTTGCTTACCGAGAGAACACCTCCTGTGTATTGGACTCTTGGCTTCTTTTTTGGCCATTAAAATGGTAGCGGAATATTTTAAAATTTGGTTTACAGCCTTTAAATATGACATTTCCAAAAAATGTAAATCAAGGAACTGTCAGAATATCTTTAAATGTAAAACATCTGAAGCTGTGTGCATTAGGTTTAATAACATATATATGAAAATGTCCCTGATGTGTATATGAACACTGAAAGTAAAATATATTAAAATACTCGTTTTTTGTTTTTTGTTTTTTTTTTTTTTTTTTTTGAGACGGAGTCTTGCTCTGTCGCCCAGGCTGGAGTGCAGTGGCGCAATCTCTGGTCACTGCAACCTCTGCCTCCCGGGTTCACGCCATTCTCCTGCCTCAGCCTCCCAAGTAGCTGGGACTACAGGCGCCCACCACCACACCTGGCTAATTTTTTGTATTTTTAGTAGAGATGAGGTTTCAGCGTGTTCTCGATCTCTGTCCCTTGTGATCCACCCGCCTCGGCCTCCCTAAGTGCTGGGATTACAGGCGTGAGCCACCGCGCCCGGCCTAAAATATTCTAAAGGGAACAAAAACAAAAACCCAAAATCTTCAAACCAAAAGCAGTTGCCACTTCTACCAGTTATAGCCGTAGTTGCTTCTGTGTATTGTAGTTTCTTAGTGAATTACTGTGAAATCAGGTTAGTTGGAACATGAATAAAAATGTACAACATAAATGAATATACGTTTGCCTTCATATTATTAATATATGGTGACGTTTTCTTTGATAATCTACATGCCATCATAATATTGCCCCTAAGATTAGGTATTATGTAACCGTAAACTGTAGGAAACACAATATGCCTGGAGGACAATTCTAGAATATATAACTGGGAGCATGCAATTGATAGAGAGTTTCCAGGGATATTGAACCTAGACATGGAGTACCTGGAAAGCCAGGTCCTCAGGAAAACCTATTGCAACATTTGAAAAGAATACACATAATTAATGAGGATGTGAAAGATGTGAGGCAACTGTATTCTTAGACCTTCAGTGGATACCTCATCGTAGAGGATGCAGAAACACTGGCTAAACATAAGTTATGAATAGCATCTGCTAGAATGTAGCAAAGTATGTTTAAAAGAGTATACTCTTTCGCTTGTGTCTTTGATTATTGAAGATATTTTAGGGGGACAAATGCTAGGGGGAAATCTCTTTATGCAAATGTATTTCCGAATAGAAAGGAGGAAAAAAGAAGCTTCTTTGCATTACCTGCCACCATGAGTTTTTTAATTTAAAACTCTTTTAGAAAATGATTAAACTTAGAACAACAATAAGAAAATATGTACTGGATGAAATGGTTTTTAACCAGTGACAGAAGTTTAGAACCAACCCCAAATAATTTCTCATCACACTTTTCTTTCTCATTTGTCTTATTCCTCCATGTAATAGTTTTAAATGGCACTTTTATGAAATAAATAACTAAACACCAACCACATTTTTTTTCATATCCTGACCAATATTTTGGCTGTTTTACAGAAGAACTGGAATTCTGAAAATTAAATAAAGATTTCTGAAATGCTAACTTCAGAAAGTTTTATTTAATTTGTGGAATAATTTTGTTCTCTCCCTCTCCATTTTTTTTTCAATAAGGTCTTTATTAATTTAGTCTAGTTACTTAGTGCTTATATTAAATAATCTAATAAAAGTCAGGGTTGTAACATAACATTTCCCAAATGTGAAGCAGCATCTATTACATTAGACAAAATCTTTATGCCGCAAAATTGTAAAAGCCATGTATAGAATTACAAGGCACCAAATGGTACTGTATATATTTCTAAAATAGAATGTTTCTGTAGTGTAAGGGGGTAGTCAGCTTAAAAAAAAAGTGTGACAGACAGCTGTATCACTATAGTTTATTCAGAAAGTACTCTAAAATTAATTTTAATTTTTAAATAATAATCTTCTTGATAATTTCCTCTGAAAGATAGAAATATGATTTAAATATACAGGTTAGTATTTTTAAAGGTAAAACCTACTTTGTTTGTGTTTGTCAGTGTTACCGAATTCTTGCAAACAGAGAAGTTATCTGTGGGGATGGGAAACAGTGCATTGTGTGTGTGTGTGCTCACACACTTGCATCTCTTGATTTTTAGATAAATTCATATGACAGTATATGTTCAGTGTTTATTTTGAATCATTGAATTATTTATTTTTGTTTGGCATTTCCTTTTGTATTGTCATAAATGCAGGATTAAATCCATTGTAGGCTCCCAGACAAGTATGTTGTGAGGTTTCATTAATTTGTGTAAGTTATAAAGGCACTTGAATAATGTAAGATGACTCAAAAATGCTGTTTCATTTTCCACTTACTTTTACCCCAATGCAAGCCAGTTGAAATATATATAGAGAGAGTCCTTAAAATCAAAGCAGAAGGTGTAGAAGAGTTAGGTTTATTCCAACAAGTTGTACTGGGGCACTGCTAAACTATGCATTAAAAAGGAAAATATGTATACTTCAAAAACCATTTTTGTTTCACCTTTTTTTCTTTTTCCTCATTGAAAAGTCATTCCCACCACAGCTTTAGCAATAATAACTACAATTTATGTCTTTTTGCTGCTACAATTTGATGATATACCACAGTCAGGCCACAGGTTAGAAACACAGGCTGAATTATTATATACTGCTGGGTAGTGATTTCCTGTGAACTGATTTATGGATAAATAATTCTATGTTCTTATTATATAGGATAGACAGTTTTTAATTTCTTTAACAAAGCATAGCTGAACAACAGAAAATTATATGCTATAGCATATGAACACAACCACTCTGAGGAAGATAAACAGATGCAATCAATGTCATGAGTTCTCCTATTTTTACAAGGAGCCTCATCAGCAGTTGGTATTGTGGAAATAATACCGAGAACCAGAAGCCCCAAGGCTTAGTTCTTCTAAGGCTGGGGTTTTTATTGACACTCTTTTGTGGAGATCTTTTCCAGGGAGTTATGAGATATACAAACCCCAGCCTTTGGATATTAAAGCTAATGTCTCATTTTTTTTTCTCAGGTTGAGTTTTCATTTTGCTTTAAAAATTAATGTTAAAATGCACCTGGAATAAAAGAAAATTATCCATCCAGCTGAATTATAAGAATACTGCTGGATATCTTGCTGGGTTGCTTATATCTGTTTCACAGATTGAACTGTAGGCTTTATTGTGCAGTATACCCAATATATATCTATTTTATCAGCATCTATCTACATGCCACTGCAAACTGTGAGAACTGTTCTCATGTACTTCACAGGCAGCCTGTTGTAGGCCTTCATGAAGTAAATATTTCTCATATTTAAGGTACAGGGGTAAAAGCTATCATCTTGGCTTATTTTAGGAATGGTTTCACTTAGCTATGTGTTTAGCAATAATAAGCTTCTCTGCTCAATTGTGAGCTCCATAATTACAGGGACAGTATATATTGAGGTTATCTTTGCATCTTAGTGACTTATGTTGGAGGGACACAAGAAAAAAGTTGTTGAATGAATGCTTCATGCTTAATACAAACACTTCTAATGGCTCATTGATTATAATGTATTATCACATTTTATTTTATCCTCAGACATGATTGACTTTCTAAAGGCTTGAATCAAATATTGATCGACTATAATGTGTATTATCACCACTCTTTTGTTTTTATATAATTAGAGGCAAATGATACTAAAAATATGAATTATGCATTTACTGAGAATAGTAACTGTTTTCTTTGAGATAAATACCAAAAACATGAACACAAACAACTATTGATATTTCTTTTGGTGAAATGTCAGCTCTTTAACTCTGGCAGAATACTGCATTGAGAAAATAAAAAACTGGTTTCCATTATTGCATCTTTTTAATTTTAGACAAAAATTGCCTCCATTCCCAATCTAATTTTATATCACTAATGGGAAATTTACCTACAATTGCATTTTGTTATTTGGTCTGTACACATTACACATTGAGTAGATTGGTACTCTATATTTTAGTGAACAGATTTGTCTGGATATAGACGGTTTTATTCATACTGTGCTCAATTCAATCATGTTAACATTTGTATGAATTTCAACCCCAAAATAAAGGCCCATAATTTGTGACTCAAAGACCTTATAACAGCATCTGTAATAGTCTTCAACACCAAGCATTTTCTAAATGTTTGCAGATGACAAATTCCTTGTAAATAATAAAGATGATTGGAAAACAATGTTTATGTCTGAAATGGCACTGTTGTGGGAAACTGTTTTTTCCAGAGAAGTCCCAAGTTTAACTGGCTCTTCAGACTTCTGGGACTGTGATGTCACCTGTTTGCTCATTGGTCTCATTTATTCCTTGGTTTAACATTAAATGTCCAGACACTGCCTGATGTGTGACTGTGGACGTGCTCTGGCCCTCCTCTCCAGGGGCCCATTTGTGTGGTTGGGCGCTTGGACGTGGGTACATCCTCAGGGCATCGGTAGCAGAGCTGAGCAGAAAGGATATTGGCCCAGTAGTTCAAAAACTTGCAAAATGAAGCCTAGGTTTTATTCCTGGTTTTCATCCACTTATGTCCTTGAAAAGTCATTCTTTGATCTTCAGCTTACTTCCAGGTAGAATGCTGAGTCCAGGCTGTTTTCATAAGGATAAACTAATGGTTGTATAAAACACTGTGCAAACTGTAAAGTAACATAAAGGGATATTGTGAATAAGTAGGTTTTTTATAAGGTATACAAACCAACCAAGAATATTTATTGTACCGTGTTATAGAGAAAGGATTACTTCAGGTGGGTTATCTGGGTTGGAATTATTCCCATGGCAGAATTTCAGCAATAATATAGACAGTTTCTAGAAGTGAATATTGGGGATCAGTACTCTAGACAGAGTGAGAGTGTGATAAATTTTCAGAGAAAAAATGGAAATTGCCATGCATTTAGCATCTACTATGTTCCTGGCTGAACTCAAAGGTGTGTGTGTGTGTGTGTGTGTGTGTGTGTGTGTGTGTGTGTGTGTGTGTGCGCGCGCGCGCGCGCGCGCGCTTGCGCACGTGTATGAAATATTTCCTAATTTAATCATCACTAGTTTTTCTCATTTTTCAAATTGGGGTTACAAAACTTATAGAATGTGAATGTTGGGAATAACATCTGTATACTTAAGTTATGCCATCATTATTGACATTTCTCTAGTGCTGCAATATTATCCTCAATGGCCACATAACTTGTTCTTGCTTCTTTGTCCTTGTTCACTACACTGGAGTGATTGGTGTGGTCTGCATCCCTCCTTAGAAGCCAGGAAGAGGCTGTTGTAATTGTAACTAGACATACCTACCTGAATTATTTCGGTTCTTTTTTCTCCCCTTGGAATGAGCGCTGTTTTTAATCCACCTGCAGTCCAGTACCGGTTGAGCATCTCAAATCTGAAAATCTGAAATCTGAAATGTTCCAAAATCTGAGATCTTTTGAGTGTCAACATGGTGCTCAAAGGAAATGCTCATTCGAGCATTTCAGATTTTGAATTTTTGGATTTGGGATGCCTACCTGGTAGGTATAATGCAACTATCTCAAAATCTGAAAAAATCAGAAATATGAATTGCTTCTGGTTCTCCAAGGATTTTGGATAAGGAATACTCAACTTGTATAAATTAATCTCTGGAAGTTTTGCTTTATTGTTGTTATGTGTACACTAAGAAACTTACAAGGATCTATTGTCCCTTAAGTTTTATGGAGCACTTATGTAGCAGTCCCAGTGCTAGAGTCTCCTTTTCATGTAAAGTCTCATGATAACCCTAAAGGGTAGGCATTGTTCGTATCCCCATTTTACAGATATGGAAATGGACACATGGAAAGACTAAACAATTTGCCCAAAGTCTCACAGGTGACAAGCAGAGGAGGCTGGGTGTAAACTCATCTTTGACTCCAGACCTTACTCCTAACCTTTGACCTATACAGTGTGCTACTGAGTCAGGCATTCACGGCCTCCCAAAACTTGGAACCAGTCTTTTCTTCTAGTTTGCCTCTCACTTGAGCCAGTGTGATAACAAGAAGAGTGAGAGCCTGGTCTTTGAAGTGAATCTGAGCTCTGCTACTTGCTAGTAATATTACCTAGGCTACTTAAGATAACCCATCCCTTCTGAATCTCCATTTCCTCATGGAGGGAGTTGACACTAGATATTCAGGGGTAAAGAACTGATGGAGAAATTGGAGGTACACCTATACTAGATTTGGTGGTGCAGAAAATAAGAGACTGAGGGAACAGAGAGATTGTCATAGTGTTTTTGTTTGTTTTAAAGTAGGGGAGGGCTAGGTGCAGTGGCTCATGCCTGTAATCTCAGCACTTTGGAAGGCTGAGGTGGGCAGATAGATCGCTTGAGCCCAGGAGTTGGAGACCAGCCTGGCCAACATGGTGAAACCCTGTCTCTATAAAAATACAAAACTTAGCCAGGTGTGGTGGCATATACCTGTAGTCCCAACTACTTGGGAGGCTGATGTGGGAGGCTAGCTTGAGCCTGGGAGGCAGAGGTTGCAGTGAGCTGAGATCTCACCAGTACACTTCAGCTTGGGTGACAGAGCCAGACCCTGTGTCAGAAACAAACAAACAAACAAACAAAAAAGTAGGGGAGATCTGAATCTACTTACAGGTCAAAGGAAAGACGCCACTGAGGAGCAAGGATGGAAGAAATGAATGGGGAAGTGGTGGGAATAGAAGATGGGACACATTGATGTATACTCCTCCTTTGTGATTTAAAACAAAAGTCTTTTATAGACACATGACTGAAAGCTAATATAATCATCAAAAATCTTTTGAGTCAATGTATTTTGAAATAAACTGACTATATCTTCTCTTTAAGACACATTAAAAAGGTCAAAAGAATGACTAAATTTTTGAGATTAAATTATATTCATGCTCTTTAATAATTTTTACATTTAATCTGCACAGTATTCTTGTAAGATCAGTACTTTTATTGTTCCAGTTTACAGATGAGAGGATTGAGGTATGGAGAATTTTAAGTAACTTGGTAGGGTTACATAATTAGTAGGTGACAGAGCCAGGATGTGAACAGAGGCAATTTAACTTGGAAGCCTGCATTCTTAGTCACTATGGTATACTGCTTCCCAATTTGATTTCCTCAATTAACACTTGACTACTATTCCAAGTAATATTTTTGTCTATTTTATATCAGGGAAGGAGGACTGTTCTAAAGAATGTATTTGCAAAGAGGATTAACACAGTACGTTAGACAGAGACCCTGTTTGGAGGAAAGGCTCATTAAGAGTTACTCCAAGCCTCTACCTGGCTGGAGTAGAGTGGGCTTCTGGCCATAGCTCTCCTAGCAGATCTTGTACCTGCAGACCCTGGTAAATAGCTGTGCAGAGACCATGACTTCTAGGACTGTGCAAGTTAGTTAATAAGGTGCAAAAAAGGAAAAGCACACACTTCCCATTGCCTGGGAAAATAGCATGTGCCAACAGCTCTCTTCCAAGATATAGAAACCAAACTGTAGCAGCTGCTCTATGTGGAGGTATTAAGTGTTGTTAAAACACCTGTGTGTGTCTAATTCCAGCCCAAACAAGTCTTCTTCCGGCTCATCAAGGTGGGGTAAGAATTTACCTATATGGAGATTCTATTTCCAGTAGAATGAGTTGTCTATTATTTCCTGTAGAGATTTCTCTCCCTCCCCTCTCTAAAAAATTGAGGTATAATTTACATACAAAAATGTATGCATATTAAGTGATCAGTTTGATAAATTTTGACAATTTGTATAACCATGCAACCACCATGCCAAACAAGAAAATCCCCATATGTCCCTGCCTATGTAATGCCCCTTTCTGTCCCTCTGACTTCTATCCCCATTAGATTAGTCTTGCCTGTTCTTGTATTTCATATAAATGAAATCATACAGATATATTCTGTTGTGTCTGGCTGTAGTGTGGTGTATTCTTACAATGGAATGCTTCTTTACAATAAAAAGGAATCAACTACTGACACCACAACAGCTTGAATGAATCTCTTGTAGAGTTGTGCGTTGAAGCTTGTAGGGTCCTTTTTTTTATATTACTTGCTTAGTCTTAGTAACCAAAATGACCCACAAAATCTGCTTCTTTTACTTGCCTATCATAGTGCACAACTGTCAACTTCATTCCCCCCCATTCTGTCATATATTATCTGTGTGACTTTAGAACACAGCCAATTTATATTCAACTTATGGGTGATCATGGTAATGACTTTTGAAAGGAATTTAAAATTGTAGAATGATTTTTTAAAAAGGAAATATGTTAGACATGTTACATGGTTTCTTTTTAGTATTTGCAAATGTCAGGAGTAAAAGAAGCAAGGAAGCAGACCCACTCTCTCGTGGGTGGCTGTCCAGTGGGCCCTGGATGTTCATTTCATGACTACTACATGCTGTGTGCTGTGCACTTTTCATTGTCATGAGAGAGAATGTTAAGAAAACTATCCCCGCAAGAAAACAGCTTTTCTTGGCAAGTGAAATATGACTTAAGGAGCCAGAACTGGAGACATACGGTACTATGAATGAGAGCTGTGTTACTTTATTGGATCTGAGTCCAGGCACTATTTATACTGCAGCATATTCAGCACCAGATTGTTAAATCTTAATACTGAAACAGTGTATCATTTTAATATTTTTGTTCTGTTTATTCCCTGTTTTCAAGCATTATGTCAAGCATTGCGCATTCATTTATTTCATCTTGGACAGGACGTGCCCTGACCAGAAAGTCCATTTCCTATTGCTGGAATTTTGCCCCATAGCTGTCATTTTGTGAGGCTCTTAAAAGTTCACTTGGGTGCACAGGTGTTTTCTCTCTTTGATGATAATATATTTTTTTAAAGAACAGTGTAGTTGGACTCACCTGTATTGTCAAAAATAAAAATGCTGTTTTTCTTTTATCACTAAAGCATCACTGCTTTTTATGTGTGGCAATTTCTGACATCCTGGAGACATGGGATTTTTCATCGCCTACAAATAAAATTTTTGTTACCCTGTGTCATATGTGAAATGGGTTTCTCTATTTTTCTTCATCAATGTTACGTGTGCCCTGTGTACCAGATAAAATGGGCCTATCTTATGAATAAGTTAGCATTTTCACCATATGTTGCTGAAACCATCCCATGAATCTTCCTCTAACAAGGGTATTCCTAAAATTGCTGTTCTACGTAGCCCAAGCTTAAAAAGGATTTTTATTATTTTTTCATTGTTATGCATGTTTACCATATGCAGCAGGAAATCCACAGGGAAAAAGTACTATTGTCACTGTCAAAAGAGCTGAGGAATAAAAAAAAGAAAGGAACTTGAGGGCATCTTTGCTATTTCTGATCTGTGGTCAATCACCGTGGTATTGCATTTGGCCTGGGAAAGCAACCCCACTGCCTGCTGAAACGCAGATATGGGAGCGAACTCTAACTGCTTCATGAGCTCCAAATGCTGTTCGCACTGGGAATCGCACCACAGTCAGGATGTAACTGCGTGCTGAGCCCACACACAGGAATTTTCTTGTACAATTCAAAACTGAATCTTATATTTACTTAAGGCTTACTTTTTTTTTTGTCTATGAAATCAGCAGTCCTGTATATTTAGCATCAGCCTTAAGTTAGAATGTGAAACAATTCTGGGGGGAAGGAAGTATCCGTATGGTTTTCTAAGTAATTTAAGAAACAGGAAAACATAAAAGAACTGATTGTCTGTGATTAAACCTCATTCTTTCCTTCCCATCTTCCTGTATAGTTAACTAACTCAATTGTCGGCCAGAAAGAAATAGCTTATTGCACTGGGTTGTAAAATATCTGAGTGGGCCTTGGATGTTGATGATTGAATGACCTTCTTAACATTGAACAAACAATGGGAAGGTTTAATAAATAGCAGATATGTGTTTATTATGTTTTTCTTCCCTGTGCAGGAATAATCAAGCTGGGAAGGTGGAACCCTCTCCCCCTCAGTTATGTGACAGATGCACCCGACGCGACAGTGGCCGACATGCTACAAGATGTCTATCATGTTGTGACGTTGAAAATCCAATTACAAAGGTGGGTGTTTCTGAACATCTGCTTTTCCTTACTGTCAGAGCTGCTCCGTCAATCATAGATTCACTGCAAAGATCAGCATGTCCTGTCTATTAATTTCTGGACATTGGACAAAATGAAAAGAAGGAGAGAGAGGGAAAGAAGGAGAGAAGGAGAAGGGTGGCCCTTCCCCAGGTGTCTTTATAGTCACATTCCAACTACTTTATGCTTTGTTTTCAGAAGCAGTGAAGTGGTAACCTAGGGGCGGCTTGACAAATCATTAAAAATCTATAGCCCTTAGGAGTAGCTTTACACAGCCCCTTATTCAATGGGTCCTCTAGGCCTGCTTAAATGTGTAGCACATAGTATTTGAAGAATAAACACCTCTGCTGTTTTCACATTTGTGTTATGAGGGGAGAGTTTTGTTCTTGTAGGAGGTTTACCAAGAATGTCCTGACATAGGAGATCTTTTTCTTCCCTTTCCAAGGGCCACATCAAAACAAACAAACAAACAAACAAACAAAAACACACTTTGTGGCCTGCAGAGATTCTGGGGATGATTTCTTTATTTTTTCAAATATGGCATCTGGAACAAGATATCTCTCTAAAGAACTGGAGGTTCTTTGCAGTCTTTTATTGTAAAGTGCCTGATAGGTGTGATTTAAGGAGTGTTGTCCTTTAGTGTAAGTGTTTTGAATTTTCCCCTTTTGGGCAATTTATACTTTAAATATGGACCCCCAGCATTCCCATCTGTGTCTATGAATGGGTGAGGATCTGAAAAGTCATTTTTTGGTTCAGAGAGTAACTCTGAGCCATTCTATGAGGGTGAGGGTGGGCCTTCCAACTGCAAATCTGACAGGGGATGTTTGTTTACAGTTAACCTTAGGCATGCACAATAATTACATTTGTATTGGGGAAGTTTATAACCACACTGCCATGCCATTTCCACCAGCACATTGGAAAAATCATATTTTATAAAAATAGCATCTCTTGTATTGCAAATGACTATTTTTCTTGGATGAGTGGGATGACAAACTCAAAAGAGACCCCTTGGGCCCTCGCAAAGTCTTGGAGAAGCAGTTTTACTTCCCTTCCTTCACTTAGACCCCATTCTTTAGCATTTCTTCTGAAGCTCCCACAAGACCCAAGAATGGCTGCTGCAGTGTCTCCTCTTCAGTCAGGGACCCTGGTTGAGGTTTGTGTATTGTTCATTATTGCTCTGTTTTGCAGTTGTTCAAAGTTGGAAGACTTGCCTGCGGAGCAGTGGAACCATGCCACAGTCCGCAATGCCTTAAAGGAACTGCTCAAAGAGATGAACCAGAGCACATTAGCCAAAGAATGCCCTCTCTCCCAGGTCAGTATCTTCAGGTGGGGGTCTGGGAAACAGAAGAAGCCATTGGTAGACTCTCTATCAGGGGGTTCCTTCTGCTTAAACAACTGTCTTCTCTGTCTTTTATTTATAGACTTAAACTGCATTTGAGGTGTAAAAGATTATGTTGCTTCTGGTTGTAGAATAGAAGTTATAGCTTATTAACCGGGCATGGGGTAGCTCATGCCTGCAGTCCCAGCACTTTGGGAGGCTGAGGCAGGCTGATTGCTTGAGCTCAGGAGTTTGAAACCAGCCTGGGTAACATGGCGAAACCCCATCTCTACAAAGAATACAAAAGTTAGCTGGGCGTGGTGACATGTGCCTGTAGTCCCAGCTACTCAGGAGGCTGAGCTGGGAGGATTGCTTCAGACTGGGAGGTGGAGATTGCAGTCAGCCAAGATCACACCACTGTACTCTAGCCTGGGTGACAGAGTGAGACCCTGGGTGGTTCTTAAAAAAAAAAAAATTAGCATTTATTGAGACTGGGTAAGGAGAGAGTATTAAAACAATTTACGTATACGGGCCAGGCATGGTGGCTCACACCTGTAATCCTAGCACTTTGGGAGGCCGAGGCCAGAGGATTCCTTGAGCCTTGGAGTTCGAGACCAGCCTGGGCAACATAGCAAGATAGCGAGACCCTGTCTCTAAAAAAAAAAAAAAAAAAAAGAAAAGAAAAGAAAATAGACGTTTTACATATACAGTCATTAACTTCTCACATATTTCATCGGAGATAGGGACCAGTGTCTCCATTTTATAGATCAAGAAACAGGAGCTTAGAGAAGCACTTACATTCACTGCCTAAGCATACTAGCTGGCTAAGTGGCAGGCTGAGATGCTACTCCCCACCCCCCTGTTTCAAAGTGGATGCACCAGATTGTTGTTTTATTTGGTCAGCTGGATGAGTCAGCCATGCTAAATCCATCTATGCATGATTTATTGGGCCTTTTGCCTGTCTGGTGTAGAGAGATGATCTTTACATCATATACATTTGTAGAGGTTTTGTAGTGAATTCACAAGAAGAAAATGCATCATGAGGAAAAGTGATACTCTGTTTTTTAGTGAACGCACCATAAACTAATACAAACCATGAAAATGAGATTGAGAGGATCAAAAGAAGAGCAGTGGAGGAAAGGGCTGCCTTTTCCATTTGTGTTCATGGGCTGGGACTCATTTTTTTCTACTGATGAGATAATATTTTTCCTATGGTGGATTGGGGCTGCTGTAGAAATGAACCCAGGTTGACAAATCATCTAAAGCTTTGAATGGAAATCTGTTTCCTGGTGTGAGCTGCTACACATGATTTAAGACAATGTCTGTTAAGTTGAAGGGAAAATAATGAGAAACCTATTACAGAAATTTGCTGTGCCATGAGCTTTGTTCCAGGGTAAGGGAGTCTCTGGAAGATAGGAAGGCTATTGGGTAAGAGCATGTATCCTGGAATCAGGGCTGGATTCATGTCCTGGTTGACAAGCCTCTATAACCTTACCTTTATGAGCCCCCCTTGTTTGGTTAGTAAAACTGAGTAGTAATGGTTCTGAGTTATATAAAGAGGATTAAATGATTGGAAATTACATAAAATGCTTGGCCTAATGCCTGGCATGCAATGATGCACCATAAACAGTATCAGCTATTATTATTGAGATATGATGTGAACTGAATGTGTGTGTGTGTGCCTTTGAGGGTGTTTTGGAATTTGGATCCTCTGAAGCAAAGTATGCTATTAATATTTTTGCCTCGAAAAAAATCAAGAAGGCATGCATTCACGTATAGGCAGCTAGATAGAAAAGGACATTATTCTGACCTTATGTTTAGGACTTTTCATGGAGGCCATTTTAATACCTACCTGTAGGTATGTATGTAGATGTTAAAGCCTTGTTACATACAAAGTTATAAAATGCATATTTTGATTATACTGGTGATACAAAGGAACTGGACAAAGAACAAGTTAGGAAAAGCTGTCAATAATTTTTCCCAAATTTCACAATCATTCACAATTAATTTTCTCTTGCATTCACATGGAAGTCGAAATGGGCTTTGTGTGGAAGTGTACAAACCTCTAACTTGATATTACCAATTCAGAAATTTATCCAGGGCTTCTGAGGCATGTGGAAGTTTGGTCCAAACTGTTGTATCATGAAAATCATGTTTGGTTATAATTGTAGATATGACTAGAGAGGCAACATGAGTGAGGAGAATCCAGATCAGGAGCCAAGAGCCCTGGGTTCTAATCTCAGTTCTTTTATGCCAGATATGTGATCCTGGGCAAGTCTGTTCACTTCTCAGGGCCTCGTTAAACTCTTCTATAAGCTGGGCATCATTGTATTTGCATGTTTCACATAGTTCGGAGGGTTGTCTTGACGTTCAAATGAGATCATCTTTAACCCTATCATAAAAACCTCTTTCCCCTTCCACTCTCTGCTCTCATGGTTTGCTCACGTAGTTGTCTGACCTAAACAGTTTCTTCTCCCTCACCCTTCTGTTTGATCCTATGGGTTCCATCACTTCTCCATCTAAAATCTTTTTCCCTTGTGCCACTGCCTTGTTCATTCTTTCATCATCTGTCATCTAAAATATTTCAGGTCTTCTTGCCTCATGACTTTTCTCCTGCCACCTGATTCTCCTGTGTTCCTTGTTTATAATTCCTCAGTCACTCCCCCTACCCACCCTGTAGGAAGTACGGACTCCATATCATAAAGACCATCAAGATGACACTGTTCAGCCTTATATTTCACTAGAGCTACCTTCTTCCCTCTTCCTGCACTCATTCTATATTCCAAACACATGAAATTAATTATTTTGAAATGTTTACCATTGCTCAAAATATCTCTTGAGAGTGGGAGCAACCTAACTAGTGTGGCATTAAAAATCTAACAAGGCCACCTTCTGTATTATCTTAAAATTTAATGCCAAGTTTATATTCTAGTCCATATACCTGTTTTGTTGTTTTTTGTTTGTTTGTTTGTTTGTTTTTAAGACAGAATTTCGCTCTGTCACCCAGGCTGAAGTGTAGTGGCACGATCTCAGCTCAGTGCAACTGCCGCCTCCCTGTTCAAGCGATTCTCCCGCGTCAGCCTTCTGAGTAGCTGGGACCACAGGCATGTGCCACCACGCCTGGGTATTTTTTTTTTGTATTTTTAGTAGAGACGTGATTTCACCATGTTAGCCAGGATGGTCTCGATCTTCTGACCTCATGATCCATCTGCCTCAGCCTCCCAAAGTGCTGGGATTATAGGCGTGAGCCACTGCTCCTGGCCCCTGTGTTTTAAATATTTTTAAAATGGCATAAAATCATTTTGCCTGTTAAGTTAGTAATCTCCTTCTCTCCACATGAGATTGGTTCTTTAGGGAGATGTACCTTGTTAATCTCTGGCTTTGAAAGCCCCTGCACACAATCCTGGTGACTCTAGAGTCCTTCAGTTTGACACTTGCTTGCTTTTGCATGCATGATTTCACCTGGCTAGAATGCACTATTCTTTTCTACTTGATGAAATTATCTTTCAGATTCCAGCTGGAAAGACACTGCTAGTGAAGTGCCTCAACCTCCTGGTTGAAGTAGTTGCTACTTCTGCTCTTAGTAGCCTTTGTAAATAACCCTGTCACAGCACTTATCTCAGCCTGTTGTCATTGTTACCTGTCAGTTTCCATCACTAGATGGACTGTCCACAATAACAGAGGCCATCTCTTATTGATCTTTGTGTCCACAGCATTCAGCATAATATATATTTTGTATGTAGCTGTTACTATAATGCAGGAATTTAACCTTTTAGCAGGATAATTCTTTGTGGTGGGGGGCTGTCCTGTGCCTTGCAGCATCCCCGTCCATTACCCACTAGATGCCACTAGCATGCCACTATACCCCTTCCCCCAGTTGTGACAACCAAAATGTCTCCAGATGTTGCCAAAGGTCCCATGACAGGAGGAGTACCACTCTCAGTTAACCAATTCTCTGATGTGCTTAATGAATTAAGTTTAAAAATGTTTCATAAAGTATAGTTTTATTAGTATGTAAAGTTTTATTATTATTACAGTGTTCTTGGCAGTTCCAAAACATTTTGAACTAGAAACAGTGAATAGAGTAATTTGGTGATTGATGCCCAGCACATTTCGGTTAAACAGGGGCTCATATCTGTTGTTTAGATTTGGGTGAGATTTGATTTAGGCTTCTGATATGTTGTGTGATTATGGAAAATCTCACTGGGATAGCTCTTTTCAGCTATCATGGATATGTAATGTGGACCCTGGCATTCATCCTACAGCCATTATCCTTAAACATTCCAGATTATTCACTTAAATTGCATAGCTAGATTGTAATTTAGTGTGGAGATAAGCGCGCCTATTTTGTTGGTAGTTGTCATAGAACAGATGCATGCAGTTTTTATAGTTCAGCCTGTATAAAGTAAAAAAGAATGCATTTTTGTTCTAAGCAAGGTGAAACAGTAATTCAACAGTATATTTCCACCAGCATTCCTGGAGTCCTGATTAAGAATCAGGCACTTTGCGATGGGCTGGGGATATAACAGTGAATCTGAGGGAGGAACTAAAACCCTTTCAATATAGGAAGAAGAGAGTGAGGCATCCAGTACTACTCACCTTAGGTGAGAAAGGTGGCTTGTTGGGTTTTTCAAAAATAGACTCAACTCATGAGTAAAAGATTCCTGTTATTGAAATAATTCTTCCTTATTACCCCTAAGCCAAACCATTTTAGGTGATTCTTCACTTGAGTTTGGCAATTACAAAGGGAATGATTCAGTGGATAGTTCATACTTTCTTGAACACCCCAGTGGTCTGAAGTTCAAAAGAGCAGTTTTGAAGGTGGAAGAAAGGTATGGAGAAGTCCATAAAAGTGCCACAATTGTAGCCTGAGGCATATATATATTTAAAACAGGGAAGTAATGATTTAGCCGTTCTCTGTCTGGCCAGATGCTTGGAAAGTACAGATTGTGGTTGTGTGTCTGCGTATTTATTTTTGATTTCACCTTTCAAAGTGTGTTTAAGTGCTGGCACCTCTTCCTTTTCCTCTGATGTCTCTGTGAGTAACCACTTGCAGCCTCTTTCCTCTGCCACTGGCTGTCCTGAGCATCCTAATTTAGCAGACCTTAGGCATCGTCCTCCCTTATTAAATAGTCCTTAGCTGTTCCAATTTGAAAACCTTATGATTGCATCTTTCTGTGGCTTACTTATTCTTACTTGAGGAAGAGTTGAAATACCTAAGGTCGGCTTTTGATTGCAAAACCCCAGGTGCTCAGGGTTTTGACCCATTTAAATAAGTAGAGGTACCAGTACCTGCCTTGTGCATCTCATAGGTGATCATGATGTTCAAATGGGATGACTAAAGAGACAGTCTTGTTAACTGAAAACTGTGGGGTTTTTTTTTTTTTTCTTTTTGCGACGGAGTCTCCCTGGGTTGCCCAGGCTGGAGTACAGTGGCATGATCTCAGCTCACTGCAGCCTCTGCCTCCCGGGCAGAAGCAATTCTCCCCGCTCAGCCTCCCAAGTAGCTGGCATTACAGGTGAGCACCACCATGCCCGGCTAATTTTTGTGTTTTTAGTAGAGATGAGGTTTCACCATGTTAGCCAGACTAGTCTTGAACTCCTGACCCCAAGTGACCCTCCTGCCTCGGCCTCCCAAAATGCTGGGATTATAGGCATAAGCCATTGCACCTAGCCTGAAAATTGTAATGAAAAGAACAATTTGCAAGTGCATGCAACTTCCAATGTGCTCCATCTCCTAAACATATTCTCTGTGACTCTAGACATGTTTTCTTATGGTAAAATATACATAACATGAAGTTTGCCATTCTAAACGTTTTTAAGCTTACAACTGAGTAGCATTAATTACATTCACAGTGTTGTGCAACCATCACCCCTGTCTCTTTCCAGAACTTTTTCAACTCTCCAAATGGAAAGTCTGTAACCTTTAAGCAACAATTCCTTATTCCCCTCTCATCCTGACCCCTGGTAGCCTCTATTCTGTATTCTGCCTCTGTGAATTTGCCTATTCTACCTACCTTATGTAAGTGGAATCATAGAACATTTATTTTGTGCTGGTTTACTTTACTTAGCGTGTAGACATGTTTTTGAAGCAGCTCTGTCCCATGGTGCTGGCTGAGACTTTGTTGCTGAATATTTGAGGAACAAAATGACTGACTAAAGCTATTGAGCTGCAGAGATGTTACTAGATTTCCGGTGTGACAATGGTATGGCGTTCATGTAGTGTGCCTTTAGAAATAGATTGTAGGATAATTATTTCTGTCATCCTGAGCAAGCCTTACCCATTTGGACTTAACTCATATGTACAACATGCCAAAACAATTGAGTAGTGAAATCAAGCAGCCAATTGGGTCAGCAGAAAAAAACAAATTGAGCATGTGCTCATCATATATAGTGGCTGATCAACTGCATGGACCAGAATCATGGTAACTGGTTGCCAACTGTCCGTTTAATTTAACCTAAGTTCATGTATGTAGTGGGGATGCATCATGTCTTGTGTTAACCAGTTGCCAACTGTCTGTTTTAGTTATTTTCATGTGAGGTTATTTTAGTTTGTGTCCCAACCTCGTGGACTCATGCTGAAGAAGGCTCACAAATGACAGCTTGAAAATATTCCTAACCAAGGGATTGCAGTGACCATAAGAAATGATTGCACAGTGGGGAGAAAGATGCCATTTGCTGATTCCACATCTTGTGCTAGGCCTTTTACACAAATCATCTCACAGAAGAATCCTTACACTCTCTGATGCAGGAGACAATATCCCCAATCACAGGTGAGGGTGCTGACATTAGAGAAGCAAGCCATTCAGCAACAGCTTAGGGGAAGAGCTCTCAAATGTAGTGTTTTCATACTCCAAAGTTCAGAGGAAGTGTTTCTTTCCCTTAAAATGGCAGCAGTTTTCAATTCTGATGTTATAGCTCAGAAGTGGGGACAGAGAGGGATAGTAGAAGGCTGCCAAATGACATTAAATGAATTTTTTTCATGACAAAGTAATTCCTCAGAATCAGTTTTTTTCCCATTACCTAATTGAAGTATCATTATATTCTCATGTTTAATATGTTATTTAGCATATCACCAAGCAGATTGAAAAGGCCGAAAATGAGCAAAGAATGCACATATCACTCACTCATTGCCTGTCTTTGCTCTCTCCCTCATGAAGACATAGAAGAGGAGGCTAGGGGATGCCCCTCCTCTTCCCTCAGACAGGGGATTCTCACTGACAGAATATGTAATTCTTCACATTGCTTTAAAAATGTTCTTCTTCATAACAAGTGTATTATGTGTTTTCAGCTTAGCTACTCTTAGTACCACACTGCTGTTCAAACAAATAAATCCCACCAAGCCAAGCAGATTGTAGTGAAGGATATCCAGTTATTTTATCTTTTGTTTTATTTTGGGAAAAGGGGATGCTCAGATCTCTGTTTTTCTAAGTGTATCTTACAAATCATTTTAACCTGTGTTTATTATTTTGCTTTTTCCTATTAAGTTTTAAATTCCCTTTAGGTTCCGTAGTTTTCTTGGATTCTAAACTTCTTAGTTAACTTGTATAAGGGGCCTGAGATCACAGCTTCATGTTTTCCTTTTTTTGCTGTTGTTACCTTGTTTTTTGTTTTGTCTAAAGTATTGGTTGCAGCATCAGCTGTTGAGCTTGGGGTCGCTGATGGAGGTGGTGGTGAATGTTTCCTTCCATTCATTCGTTAGTCTCCCTTCTTAAGAGATCCATGAAATACTGGTCCACTAACAGAGTGTCTTCATGGTGCCTCCCAGTGCTATTTGACTTTGGGAAAGATGCTTTTTATTCTGAGTTTCTGGGGCCTCAGTTTGAAAATGGAACCATGCTTATAATCATATGTGACATCTATTCTCTGGGCTAGTTGAAAAACAAACAAGTGAGTTAAAAAGTTGTTTCAGGAACCTAAAAGAAAATCTATTTTTAGATAGATCAATCTAGCTATCATAAGTATTAAATACCAATATTATAAAATTTATTCTCTTGCAGTTTGGCTTAGAGCAAATTCAAGTCTGCTAGTAAACTTTGGAATAAGTAAAGAAAATTCTAATACAGTTTGATTTCTGAAATACCTTATTTAAAAAAAATTCCAGATATTAATGGCCAACTAAATGTCAAATTGACTACAAATAAGGACACCTATACTTTATCTCCCATCCAAAAACCTTTATACTTAAAATTTCATAATTAACTACAATGAAGTCAGAAATTTTCAAGTTTCTGTAGTTGGAAAGACATTTTAACCATTTTAATTTATCTTAGAATATAATATTATTCATAAATTAGCTTTGTCTGTGGCCACTGTTTATGTGGTGGTGTTTGTGGCTGTGTCTCGGTATCTGAGTGGGGACTGCCGCAGTTGCCCATTATACGTGTACCCTCATCCTTTCTTTTTCACAGCCCACCACCATGCAAAGCGATACATGCTTAGTAAATGCAAAATCATTTTAATATTAGCCTTAGTAAATCATAGTTCCTCGGTTTAAGTGTTAAAAATAGCAATACACATATTTTCTGGGTTATTTGTATTAGTATTGCTTTGTATAAACAGAGATACTCGAGTTGGTTGCATTCTGGATTGAAAAAGTTGACTCAGCTCTTATTCCTTTATCAAAAAGATATGGATCCTAACAGTCCAACTGTGCGGTTGCTTTAGAATGACTGGAAAACATAAAAGAGCAACATAAACTGCAAAATTATATGTATTTTAAAAAGCAAAAAATTGAATTAGATCTTTTTTGGCAGGGTGGTAGGTGGGAAAGACATTAATTATTACTCATCCCATTCTGCATCAACTGTATCTTATCAGGTTTAAGATGCTATTGATTGTAAGATGGATCTCTATTTCAGTGATGTTGAAGTATAAAAAGTGGTTGAAATACGGTAAATATAGATTCTCGGTGTCCCAGGACCTTTAGAGAACATTGTTTTCTGTAGAGTAATAGCACATGCTGGGTTCATGTTAGCCCCTTTCAACTTTATGTATCATTAATTAAGTGTTGATGTTCTAGATATTTAATGGACACTAACATCAAGATGACCTTGTGGTATGTGTCCAGAGCATTCTAGTGAAGCCTAGTGATTTAGCTTCAGATTATGAGAATTTAACAGTCTAATGTAGGGTTAGAAAATATTCATGAAACTGGAATAATCAGATATAACATGGCCTTTCTTTTAAAATATTCCCAAGATATTTTTATGTCTTCTGATTTTAAAGTCTTCTGAGGATGGACTATAACAATTCTTATCAGTAAAAACTATTTTGGGTATTAGTTCTATATAAAGACCTGCAGGGAGTTGATATGAATAAAATGTGTCATAAACTCAAACAGACTTTTCTGGTGATTAAAGATTCTCATCTAGGAAATTTGTTTGCTACTTTTTTTTTTTTTTTTTTTTTGCTCAGTTCATAGTTGAAACCTGTTTATGTTTTTGTTATGTGATCAGTAGAGGTAACAACTTATTTATGATTATCTGGGACAGAAAACAAATCTAATTGAGTCAGGGTAGCCAACATCTCCTTTACAAATGAGTTATATGAAATATAGGACCTGCCGACGGAGCCAGTAGGAGCCCAGATATTCATTTCCTTGCCACTCTGCCTTGTGCAGGGTCAATTGAAGATATAGCAGGAGCAAGGACAAAGAGAGGGTAGAGAGTGAGGGGAATTTGGATTATCTGGGGCCAAAATGATGCAGTCGTCTGGGCTTGTGGCCTCGTATTATGGGCCAGGAAGAATTGAGGAACAGTGCCAGGCAGTAATTAGACACTGTTCGTTTTAGTTAACTTTCTAGACCATTTGGCAATACAGAGTTTAACTCTGACTCCTGCCATGGCTGTGTATCCTGTGCCTTTCCAGAGGATAAATTCATACAAATAAGATAGAGAGATGACAAGTACGTTTGTGGTTATTCACATATACCAGTATGACTGATGCATCTATTATTAAGCTACTTTCATGTTAAAAAAATTTATTACTATGACATTTCAGTTTGGCACTTTTAAATCTCATCTCTGTCCCTTTTCCTGTGTTAAATTTCAGTGACTCAGATATCCCACATCAGAACTATGTGAGACACGAGATAGAAAAAAAAAAAAATGAAACAGACATAGTCACTGTCCTCAAGGGTCTCACAGTCTAGGAACAGAGTGAATCTCAGCCAGAGCGGGAGCTAGCTCAGCTAGTTAGGGAACAGCCGTACTTGGTCGTTAATAGCGCAAAGCAGAAGACTGTCTCCAGGAGATTAGGATTCCAGTGGTCATCCTATAAGGCAGGAGACAAGGCCTCATAGGTTCTGTGATACACTCCGATGATATTAGCTCTTTGAGTTCCCAGTGCTGTGTTCAGACCTTGGGATGAAAAGAGTTATCCTTACTATCTTCCCTCAGAGAAAAGAATTGTCATGTTTAGATCAGCAACTGGGGAGGGCTAACCATCTGCGAAAGAGGTTTCTGTGAATTGAATTAAGAAACCCCTCCCCTACCAGTACTGCATAGTGATTAAAAAAGAGGAGTCTGTTGTTTTAAATGGGAGTTTATGAAGGTCTGTCTGCTGGCATTTTAACCTCCTGTTAAATAACTTGATTTATTGTTACTCTTTTTATCTCTATTACTTTGTAGAAATGTCGTTAGAAGTTCTAAGATTTCTCTGAACTGTTCTATGTCTGGGGCTAACTTTTTTTGAGAAAGATGAGATTTCAAGGCAAGATATAAAACCTTACACAGGTCATTTGGATCTCTTGAGTTGTTTATGCACAGGACAAAATAAAAAATAAGAAATAAAATCTATGTATAAAACATACACAGTCATTTCAGGTATACATTAACATCTGCCACAAATGTTGGCCCAAACATACTGTATTAACTGCATCTCTGTAGGAAGTTCAATTCAAGGTGTGTAATTATAATTTTAACTTTTCAGTGCTATGTCAGGCTATGCTCCACTTCTCTTTTAACCCCAATGATTAATACACACAAATCAGCTGAGCAGTTGGGCTGAGGAGGATGAGAGCAAGGAAGAATCATGCACCTAAGCACTCAGAAAGTTTGAGCTTTGGTTCATTTTTTATTGAAACACAGTACAAGTATTGTGTTTAGTTTCCCCTGCTCTAAAATAGCACTGTTAATTTTTTCATTTGGTGAATTTTCACACAAGTTCTAATCACACGTTTCTATAAATTATATTAATTTAACTTATTTCCCTAAATGTTGTTCTGCAGTGTGTAGCACGGATGTTCTCAGATTCTTGGCTGTGTAAGCTTGTTGCAGTTGGAAGCGGAACAGAAACATCTGAAAGGCATTATTTGGATTACGGATGCTGGAGCATCTGATCTCACCTTTTGCTCTGGTTCCTAAATCACAACTGTTCTTCCTCTTTGCATTTAATCTGCATGTTCTGTCCCCTCCATTGTTGACATTGCCCCAGGGTTGGCTTTTTGGAGAAAGCACTATCATTGTATAAATTAAAGGGATGGTAAATTCAGGTAATCGTGTTTGATGTTAATAGTTCAGTTTACAGGAGAGTGACTGTTTTAAGTTTAAAAGAAAAAAGAGGTTAGTGCAGGTTATAAAGTGCTCTTTCTTGTCCCTAAAAAGAAGTAGTCATATTTTGAAAAAATAACTATAATTTTTTTTTTCAGAGTATGATTTCATCCATTGTAAATAGCACATATTATGCCAATGTGTCAGCAACCAAGTGCCAGGAGTTTGGGAGATGGTATAAAAAGTACAAGAAGATTAAAGGTAAACTGACTTTTTTGTTTGTAAAGCCTGTTTTCAGTTTCTGAGGTTCATGAGTTGTTGGTTGTTTGGAATTTATGCTCATTTTAGATACAATTTACGTAATTTTTTTACAAAGGTGAGATCTTTAATATTCCTGTCATGAGATCCTAGTTGGCTCCCTTAAAACTAAGAAGATATTTGAAGTAAAAGTAAAATTAGTAGCACCATATGTTAAGTTTATAGTTTTCATAAGTGATACCTGCAAAGACCAAAATCCTTTAGAATGGAAACTTAAAAGCTGTCATTCTAGGTTAAATCAGCACTTATAGTTTGGGTACTGATTAACAGATACTGTTGGGGTATCAGGATGTCTTTGGTCAGAAATGGAGTTTGATGTTGTGTTCCTGTGTCGACGATTCCAGAGCAGTGGTGAAAACACGGGCTCTGCATTCAGGCAGACTTGGGTTCAAATCTTTAGCTTCTACATTCTAGCTGTGGGAGCTTAAGCAAATTATTTAACTTCACCAAGACTCAATTTCCTCATCTGAAAATGGGAAATCATCAAAGTACTTAGGTCACTGGGTAGATGCGAGGACTAAATAAGACAATACTGGCACAAAGTAACCTCTTGACAAATAATAGTATACTACTACTAATAATTAATAGTAGTAGTCATACTAGCAGTAATATATTACATGTAGAATTATGTTTGGGCCTGAAAATAAAGTTCCTTTGTGTAGTAAATAGCATGCTATTTAGATCACCTAGACTTTTAAACATGTCAGGACCATTTCAAATATGTCAGTGGTGGAAAAATTCTTTTGTTTTCACTCCATTCAGATAAATGTTACCTACCAGGGTCCCTGAGGGGATTTGGGGAATTTCTTGTAACATTGGTTTTGATGGTCCTTCCAGTCCATGTTTTGCATAAGTATGACATATTTATCACACTTTATAATATGTATTCATAGCCTTGCTTACTCTGCCCCCATCGGAGGGGCAAATGACAATTTATGGTGGGTAAGTAAAAGTAAAGGATGAATTTGTTTCTTTTACTACTTGCAGATTTTCTCAGGGGAGACAGGATGTCAAAGTAGTGCTTGTTGGCTATTGAGTGTTTGGGAGATTTTTGACAAGGTTGTCTTTTGAAGAAATGAAGTTTACAAACATTGGCAGCACATTTCTGATCACAAAGGAATGAGAGTGTTTTATGCTAAATATATGTTTTATAAGGCAAGCCAAAATATTGAGCTACCCAGGAGAAATTAAGTACACTGAAAATTGAATTAAGATCCATTTCTTTTCAACAGACTCTAAAATTCTTAGGACCCGTTAGATCCTGGTTTGGGCAAATGCTTTCGCATATTAATATTCACCCTTGTGCAATATAAGATGAATAACCCCTTCTCATTATAAGACATCGATGTGTGGCTCAGAAGGTTTCTTTTCTGTAAGTGTTGCCTCCAGGTTTTTCTTTTAAAATAGGATTGTTAAAGTACTTTGACATATCCTCTTCGGCTGAAAATCAAAAGAATCATGCAGCTTCAAGGTCATTTGTTAGATCCCATTTACTTGCTGTTATAAGAGAAAGTAAGAGAGTGTCCTCTTTTAATAGGCTGGAGTGTAATTCCAGATTCAGAAAGATTGGAAACTCTTCACTCTAGTGTTTTCAGAATTGCCACTACAGAATGTGTGTGTGTGTTTGTGTGTGTGTGTGTGTGTGCATTCGCACATTAACACTCATATCTTCTACTTTTCTTTTTTCTTTCCTGGAGCTTTAATTCTTCAAGCTGTATCTTTTTTTTTTTTTTTTAAAGATAGTAAATGCACAATTAAATCTTTAAGTGCTGTAAAAGCAGACTGAGACCTTGATTTCATTCAGTTGGTCAAGGATCCACACCTGAAGAGGCTGTCAGACACTGTGTACACATACTATTCAAAGAGATGGAGCTAGTCATTGCTGTTGAAAAGTGTGTGTGTGTCTGTGTGTGTGTCAGTAGGAGGAGAAAAGGGAAGGTTAAGGTATGTGTGAAGTAAACACAAGCTGCCATAAAACAGTTCAAGTGGTGTTGATTCATCAACCAAGGGAGTGGGAGGAAAAACAAAGAATTCATGACAGGTATAATGGTGTACAGAAAATAAACACCCAGAGAAGTGCGTTTTATTAACTTTCGACCCTCAGAAAAAGGGAAGTGTTGGACTGAAGCAGGCATATTTTATTTGGTAGAAGCCTTTTTCTATGAATAGATGTTGCTGTGGGAGTTTCTACCTAGTAGGACTCATTTCTCATGGGAAAGTAATGATTTGATTTGTAAGAGTTGTGTCCCTGCTTTCAAAATGAAAAAAAGGCAATGAATTCCAAATTTGGAAACCAGTAGTAGTGAAACCAGAATTCTACCATAGGGCTTTTTCTGAGACCCCAGAAGTCAGAGTTCCATGTCCCTCTCAGCCTCCCTACCTTCCATTTCTGCCTCAAAGTTACCAATTTACATGCACTTCTATGCACTATTCAGCTTAGAAGAAAATCTTAAGTCAACTTACTGAGGTCCCAAACTAAATGCAGGCTACATTGTTAAATATGTTTCCTATTATCTGCTAATGTCTGTTTTAATAAAACAGTGGGAACTAAGTGGTTGCTTCTTAATCAAAAACATGATTTCCTAAACATAAGCTATGTGATTCTGTTACAAATTGCCACATATAGATCTCCTAGGTCAAAATTTTTTTCTCTTCTCATAGAAATAAATAAACGGTAAAATAATGATATACTCTGAAAGATCAAAGTAAATATGACTAAAACCTGGCAAAAATAAAAGTCTACTGGAAGGACAAAAAAAAGATCAGATTGCAAATTCTATAGTCAATGCTGAAATAAATATGAGAAAAATGAACAATCAATAATTTGATATCATTAAAAACAGATGTAAAAACTACATACAAATGGAATTGTCTAAATTTTGAAGTAAACATTTTAATGTGCATTTTTTGAATTTGTTGTTATTTCAGCTAAACTATTTACACTTATTCTTTAGAAAGTCCTAAATTGGTTTGGCTTAGCATGTTAACTTTATTTTCCCCAGTGATCACAGCAAAGCACATTCTGTTTACCTTTTTTCTTTAATTTCAAAGACAATCATGGTTGACACAGACATATTTGAGTTAACATGAGCATTACTTCAGAATAGATAGGGAGACAGTGTGTATACTCTGGTTTCAAGGTCTAAGACCATGAATCTGTTTCCCAGGAATATTTGACATTGAAGAAAATGGAGTGGGTAGGTAGGGTAGGGTGGTAGGTTGGTTTAGACAGCATTTTTTTTTTAATTGCTGATCATCACATACCATAATTGCTTCTGGACCAGATTTTACAATGTAGAGCTCATAAGCTCCGAAGTATAAGAAAAAAAAAAGTACATTTTATCTAAAAGCAAAGAAAAAAGACCAATATTAATAGTTGTTTAATGTTAGGAGTTTTAGTATTGTACATGAGATTCCATAGACACCTAGAAACATTCATGCTATTCCAAAATTATTTTTAAGGTCTTGGGATTATGAGGGATTTACCCAAGTAGTTTTTTCCTAAGTTCTACACATTTTAGTAAAATTTTAATTTTTTACACAACTTTTTTTGTCTGAACTCTTGATGTGAACTTTCCCCATCATTTTTATGAAATGAAGTGGCAATCATATATGTAGTAGCACTATCAGTTTTACTCTCATGGCAATCTACTTTTGGGGGGATATAATAAAAATAAGAAAACGCCTTAATAAAGAATCTTTTATATATTTTAAATGTGTCCTAATTAATAAGTTACAAGAAAATAATTTTATATCTAAAGTGTTTGTCATCTGGTACCAAAAGCAAAATAAGCAGTCATCTTTGGTGAGGTCAATCCCAATTATTTAATATGCCTCAAGAATTGAAGGGTCATTGAAAGTTTACACAAATACAGGTGGTTATTATAAAATTATTTGTGTTATAAAATAATACCATTAGAATGAGTGGACCTAACCAAACCCTGTATTTTGGCCAGAGTGCAAAATTATCCCCATCACTTTTCTTTTCTCAGTCATTGCCCAAGAACCGTCTGATTGTTAGTTGTCTTAATTTTATTTGTTTATTTGAACTTCTTTTGCCAGATATTAAAAAGCTGGGAGAAAAGAGGATTTTAAAAACCAGTGTTACTTCCCCAAGCCTGGTTTATTCTACTAATCAGTATTTTATCTGACCCTGTCTGATCTAGTCTTGCAAGATCAAACGTCCAGGCCAGCAGGCAGACAGTAAACAAAGCCCATGAAGGGTTTCGGTAAACACAAAGATTAGATGTTGAATGAAAATTAAACTCCTTGAACTAGTCCTCTGTACTAAAGTGGTTAAGTGGGTTGTGATTAAAAGAAATAAGTAATTATGATCATTATAGCTGAAATGATACAATGTTACCACATTTAAAGCACCTCTTGTACTCAAAAATGATTGTGTCATTTACAAAGTGGTGCCTTGGAGTTGAATAGAGAAATCAATGTCCCCTGACCTGGTTCCATAAGGCAGCCCTTGCTTAGCCATGGTGGTATCAGTGGTCAGGACAATGCCTTTAATCAACTCCTGGTCCTTCTGCCTCTGCTGTTGTTTAACTCTGATGAGGTAAAAGTAACTTACTTTTGTCTACCTAATTTTTCTGTCATGAGAGAAATTTGCTTTCAGCTTCAGATCTAAATGAAGTGTTCTGTAAGGAAGTTTGTCTGCCTTCTGCCTATGTTGTAAGTTTGTCTGCCCTCTGCCTATGTTGTATCTTGTTGAAAGTAATGGCAGGATAAAATCCTTTGAATATTGTATACATATTTACTTACGTATTTTATACTGACAAATTATAGCTGTTTACAGGGTACAAAGTGATGGTATGGTTTTTAATACAACGTGAAATGATTAAATCAAGTGAATTAACCTATTCATCACCTCAAATATTTGACATTTTTTGTGATGAGAACATCTGAGACTTACTCTGTGATATTAAAATGCACAGTACTCAATTATTAGCTATATTCACCATGCTGTACAATAGATCTCAAAAAAAACCACTTGTTTCGCCTCACTGAGACTTTGTACCCTTTGATTATCATCTCACTGCTCCCACCTCCCAGCCTCTGTTAAACACCATTCTACTCTCTACTTCTATGAATTCAATTGTTTTAAATTCCACATATAAGTGAGAACGTGCAGCATTTGTCTTTCTGTGTTTGACTTGTTTCACTTAGCACAACGTTCTCCAGTTCTACTCATGTCGTCACAAATATCGGATTCATAGAAATAGAAACATCATTTCTACTGTCAGCCACCTTTTATCTCACCAGTTTTTCAACATATAGGAGAGCCTTGTGTGTTTTCATTGTGATAGTCACTGATAGTATGCATAGATCACCTATGCTTGCTTGGCCCTCCAATGGAAAGCTTATTGGTAGTTTAAGTGGAAAAATGGTGCGTGGGGAATGTCTTGAGCACTCAGCTTAGACATGGACTAATTCCTTGCATGGATCTTAAGAAGCTCATTCCAGCTGTACTGTAACTGCTTTGTTGGGCTGAATATACTTATTCATAAATGTTTAAAGATATAAAAATGTTTGTTAATAATATAGTTTGTAGATTAAAAGAAATGAGCTTGCAATCTACTCATATTTGTACTATTTCTGATGTTATTTTAAATAGACATTAAGAAAGGATGCAAAGGGAAAAATGATCTATTTCCTTACGCCCCTCCCTGCTTCTCTTGCATCTATTCATCCATCCAGCCTCATGTATACCTACTCTTTGGAAGAAGCATAAGACATAGTTCCTGCTTTCCAAAAGCCTACAATCTGTATGAAATGCTTACTTTATAATATAACACATATCTTGTCATTCAAAAACAAATTCTAGCTTCTATTTTATATATAATACCTGGCAGGATTCTAAGGGCTGGGAATACAGTGGAGAGCATTACCTTTTTCTTCCTCACAAGATAATTGTAGTCATAATTAAGTAAATAATTTTAACTAAATGTTTAGTGAGCACTTCTGCTACAGGCCATAATTAATGCTAGAAGCAGTGAGAAATGTCCATACACACGTAAGATATACTTCCTACCTCTGGTTGTGTTGTCCTTAACCTGGCAGGGGAAGCAGCTGTATAAATGGATCTGGTAAATATATAGTAGTGATATAAACTAGTGTAATGGTGGCATAGAGGAAAGTCCGGAAACTCTTCTTGCTAGATTTGACGTGGGGTGGGGGGTGGGCGGTTAGGGAGAGACAGCGCATGAATTATACCTTAAGGACAAGTGGAGTTACTGCAGCAAGGAGGAAAAGAGAAGGAGGAATGTTTTGGGCAACCGCATGATCATCAGTACAGATGCAGAGGTACGAAAGAGCATTGCATGTTTAGAAAATTACAAGTGGCTATCCAGAATGTCTAGAATGGCAGTACATTTATCCTGATACTATAATATAACAGGTGCTCAGAATGGCTAAGCTTTTGATCAGTGAAAAGGCAAAGGTAGAACTAGCTGGATATAGGGAGGGTAGTGACACCAAATGTTGATAGAAATGGTTGGGACCTGGCTGGGCGCGGTGGCTCACGCCTGTAATCCTAGCACTTTGGGAGGCCGAGGCGGGTGGATCACAAGGTCAGGAGGTTGAGAGCATCCTGGCTAACATGATGAAACCCCATCTTTACTAAAAACACAAAAAGTTAGCTGTAATCCCAGCTACTTGGGAGGCTGAGGCAGGAGAATCGCTTGAACCCAGGAAGTGGAGGTCGAAGTGAGCTGAGATTGCGCCACTGCACTCCAGTCTTGAGTGACAGAGTGACTCTGTCTCACATAAAAAAAAAAAAAAAGAAATGGTTGGGACCTGGCTGGGCGATCATATTTGTTGTAACAATGAAAAATAAGGCTGAGAAGGTAGAGAACACACCTTAGGGGTCTTTGAAAGCCCAGTTGACGTATTTTGAGAATCCTTGAAGGTTTTTCAGCAAGAGAGTGACATATTGAAAATGAGGTTTTACGAATGATTCCCCTAGACACCATCTGAAGCTGTATGAGGGTGTGAGTGGGTGTATGGCAGGAAGGGAGGTGGGTGGGAGGGGGAAGGCTGGTGTGTACACCTGGTGGAAGTAGGCAAAGTCGAACCTATTGCAGTAATTGACGGAAATGGAATGGTGAGGGAAGTGAGGCCCTGGCTTTGAGTGGCACAAGTGAGAAAGACAGGAAGCCACCAATGCAAGAGGTTCAAGCAGAGGAGAGCCATGAGACTTGGTGAGAGTAAGTAGGGGTATGAGAATGAGAAAGAGACATGCAAGCAGAATCCAGGTTTTGAGCTTAAGTGACTCTTGATGGTTGTGACAGAAATAAGACAATACCAATGGAGACGAAATTGCTGATACCTCAGTGAGAATTTTGACAACTAGGTAGAAATGTCCATTAGGCTGTTTGACATGTGAAACCAGCCGACTAAAGGACAGGATGGAGAATAAATTTTTGAGCACTTTTTTGGATGACAATTGAAATGGTACCAAATGAACATTCCTTAAAGAGGAGAGCAAGAGCGGGAGAGGGCTGGAAGCTTTGAGAGGAAAAGGGCCAGGAGTTAAGAAGATGCAGCTAGAGAGAGTGAGGTGTCACTGAAGCCAAGGGAAGATGAGTTACCAGGGGGAAGTGTTATCAAGGGTGCAGTGGAGGGGCAGGGGAGAGGAGAGGGAATTGGAGGCTCTTGGCTTTGGCAGAAAGGATACCATAATGACATTGGAGGGAGCTGTCTCTCTGAAGTGTGAGAACAGGGAAGCCTATGCATCTACTGAGGGAGGGGTGGCAAGGACATGAGAGGAAAGAGTCTAAACGTGGCTAACTGAAGCATGAGGGCTAAGTGTAATTATCAGAAAGAGGATGGAGCCAGCAGTTTTGAAGAGGAAGAGGAGTGATAAGCAAGAGCCCACCAACTAGGAGGGAATGGATTTGAGGCTCAGATAATGCAGTGCCTTTGAAAGAAAGAGTAATAGTGATGTTTTCTTCAGAATCTGGGAGAAGGGCAAGGAGATGTGTAAGGAGGGAAGGTTCTAGAGATGGAGTGGACGGTGAGGATGGGCAGCTCATGCCATGAAGTGTGAGGCTGGGCTGGCATGACCTCCTAGCAGTGAAGGAGAGAATGATTGGCATGGGGGCTTGGTGGTGAGAACACCTGAAATAGGATCTGGACAGACCATGTCTGGGGAACAAGGAGGGAGTGTGCTTTAGATTGCTCCTAGTTTCAGATTTCCATTTGTCCTGCCCAGAAACAGAATAAAAAAACTCAAAAACATAGATGTGATGGGGGCTGACAAAGAATCTACAGAAGTGTGAAATGAGAGGCTTTGTGTGTAGACCATGAAATGCCCAGCTTATTTAAAATCTGATGATTGTGGGGACATCCTCTTCTACTGGGGAGACCAGCAGGTGAAAATCAGAGAACTCTTTTGGTTTCTTGATCAATTAAATAAAGATTATTACCTAATTTTCCTTAGACGATTACAAGGTTCAAAGCTGAAAAGCACTTAAGCTCATAAGGTGCTTGAAGCACTTTAACTATAAATGCTATGTAAGATACTAGGACTGAAATCACATTGCCTAATGGGAGACAGTTATTTAACTATTTGCCTGACTGATGAATGGCCTTCATTCCACCATTTGTGAGAATTTGAGATTATTTGACCCTTGGAGTTCTGAACTCCCAAGGGAATAGACATGAATCTATAATCATCTAGAGTACAAATCAGACTATGAGTTCTAACATTGGGCCTTTCAGGGTATCACCTTTCTAAGTTTTATGTACCATAGAAATTTTGATTTTTGACTAATCCCCCTTCTGGGCCAAAAGCTGCTTGAAAGAACTTCAGAGGTAGAGGTTTTGGGAACACAGGAACATATCCATTTTCTGTCCTCCCCAGAGTCCTGTGAGCATGAGGCCTTAAACACAGTGAATACTTAGTAAATATTAATATAATTGAATGTAATATAGATGAACTTATTTGAATATATGCATTTAGAACAGTTTTATTTTTACACATATTATATGGTGCACTGATCTTATTTGCTACCTGATCTGTCAATTGAGAGAAAAAAAAGAAAGAAAAATCTTTGCTTGTTTAGTTCATGTTGCAAATGTCCTTAGCAAATGTGATTGGTTAGAATCATTCTATGTTTCTACTAGTTATTGAGCTAAAGACTTAACAGTAGTCAATTCAGTTGAATAGGACAGTAATACCTTTATAAAGTACGAATTAGAGAACATTTGTGTAGCCTAAGATAAACATGCCTTTGAGGTTTTCACAGCTAGTTTATTGAGTATTTTCCTCAATATAATGGCCTAAAACATCAAAGTCCTATAAAATCACAGAGACTGGTCAGAGGAAAAGAATGAATCATGAATTGATTGTTTTCTTTGATTAACTTTTCTTCAGGTAGGTTGAATTAAAGAATTAATACACATGGAATGCCAACTGACAAAGGCAGAATTTTCCTAAGCAGTAATGTTAAGTTTCAACAATATGATCTTTTTTTACTATCATGTGCTGAATTCACCTTAGAAATTATAGTTTTAGATTAAAATAAAGAATAAAAATGAAGATATTATTAGATATAAGCAGTTTTAACCTATGTAGAATGTTATAGGAATACTTGAAATGATCAATGATATCAAACTGTGATAAAGCATTGTTTGAAACCAAAAGGGACAATAGTGTTCTGGTACAGAGGGTGGAGACTAAGAAAGGTAGATAATGCTCACTTTTTCCATGGAACATAATGGGTCCTAGGAGCTTTTATTAGCAAAGAAACAGAGGTGTCCACATTTGAGTTACTTTATGGTGGATATATGTTTCTGTGGAGGTTAATATGATGGAAAAAGGAAGTTGATAATAAGGGGAAAATACACCTAAGAAAACCAGTCATATGGTATTATCACAATGCTGGCTGGTAGGCTTTGCTTATGGGCTGTTTTATTAGGAGTTAACAAGTTGGCTCTGAATATCTTGCTCTAGGCAGGGACTTTGCAAGCAAGTTCTCAACCCAGAGACAAATTCTCTTGAACAAATTTAGAGAAAAACAAAATCTTTGGGTTTGGTGGCAAGTTTTTTGTTTTTTCTTTTTTCTTTCTTTTACTCTTCAGCTCTTTCAAGCTCAATAATTTTTTTAAATTATATTTGGTGAACTCATCTGGTAGTTTTATTTGTTCGTTTTAATGGTATGGGATTTATATCTGAGAGATCTATTAGCTTTGGCTACTGCAATCATGTCCATCTGTGTTTGTATTAACAGAATTTTTTTTTGTATAATAAATTGACCTTATACCTCCAGTTATTGACTAGGAGAGAATAAACCAGAAGTATTTTCAGTGACTAGGCATATTCAGTGTTGGCAGACGGGATGCTATTCTGGTTTGTTGGGGGAAATTAGCATTATGTTTACCTTTTAAAAAGATTTTAACCCAATGAAAGAGTTTGGGTGGACAGTGGGGTTGTTGACCATTAATGTGTAGCCCAGCTGAGTGAAAGGAGACAAAATAAGTATCAGGTGGAAGCATATGGAATTGCCATTTTTGTAGGTCAAAATTGTTACGTATCGCCAATTTCATATAGTTCAATTATATGTGAATTTGTGATTGCCCAAGATTCTCAAGCTGTTATATTATGTGAGTGTGCATACCCAGTTTCATTTCTTGTTGGTTACTTGTTTCAAAGAAATAATTTCTATTTATAGAATTTATAGGGTACCTGAGAAAGCTCTCTGCTGTGTGATTCATATCTTTCATCAGTCAGGTGGGAGTCCATGCTGATGACACTCATTTTGGGACAAAAGCTTTGGCCTCAAGAAAAATAAGATAATGGGAGGGGATTTATAAAAATAAATATAATCACTATATTTATATACTGATTATATAGGCACATATATATATCTTACAGATGACTGGAATGAATTGCTAATAAACTGACAAAATAGGAATTTAAAGGAGCTATCTTTTATCATCAAATAGAAATGCACTTTAAATCATAGGCAGATGTTATGGACCCATCTACATGTGGCAGACAGTTAAAGTGTCTGAAGCAAATATATTGATGGAGTTTTTTAAAGTTAAGATTATTCAGTACTGTATCTCTAGGGGCTGCCATTATTCCTGGCACATGATAGTTGATTAATAAATGTTTATTATATGAATTTTAATGTAAATAATTCTATTTAAGTGACTAGCTGATTCAACTGTTGAGGAATCAATGATTTCATCACTTTTTGAATTGACAGTCTTTTCAGTGTATGTTACACAAAGCATACAGTGAAGGCTGAGGTTGAGCTTTTACCATTCAGATGACTTATCCATCCTTCCTGTCACATACGTGTGCCACGTGCACTTGTGCACACAAACATGCAAATACAAAGTGAAACTTATCGGTAAGAAAGTTGATTGCTCCTGACCCAAATCCTAAAGCTATTAATAACCACATGCCCCAAACTGGGCAGTTCATCTTAAGCAGCGGAATACAGACTGCAGGGTCCTAAAGGCATAGGTTTGAATTCAGAATCTTCCATTAACAGGTTTGTAACATCAAACAATTATGACATTAAAGTCAAATAATGACATTAAAGAAGCCAACTGAGCTTCAGCTTCTTTAATAAAGTAGGCATCTTAATATCAATGTCATAGAATTGTTGTGAGAGTTAAACGATAATGATGTGTCAGGGATTTAGCTCAGTGCTTCAGCTACTATATAAATGGTGGGGCTTGGTGTTACCTGAAATGCCAATACAGTTTGAAAAAGGTATGTTAGTAGTAAAAATATGAAAATTCTTATAATAAATATATTTTTTCTAAAGAAAATCCATTAAAAAGCACTTGTGAAACATTTAGGCTTTAGAACTTGACTTTGAGTTATTCACAAAAAGAGGAAAAAGTAGCCATGTGGTTTGTGTTTCTTATTACGAGGCGAGAGCCAGCAGCCTTAATCATTTTGAATATTCCTAAATATTTATCTGCATTTGGACAGTTATTCGACCTAGAGCACATTTTTTAAATTTCTCTGGTATTAGACAAGATCGTTGTCTTTAAAAACTGGGCTTCAAGGTTTTAGAGCATAAGGTGGGGAAGCAGAGAACCTGGAGAGGAGGTTTGTAAATTTAAGGCATTCATATGCTCGAGTATCTTTTTTCTGTGCTCTAATGTTTGGGTACCAATTTGAAATTGTTGGTTTGATTGGCAACATTTTTACTAAGAGTGCCAAAAGCAAGCCAGTGTCCTTTTTTACATTTGTAGAATCACTTCCAGAGTACTTTCTAAGGTTGAAAGAATCGTAGAGAAATTCTGCCGTCGTCTTTTCTTTCTTTCTTTTTTTTTTTTTTTTTTTTTTGGCTTATGTTCTTCTACCCAGGGTTTCTAGGAGAGGTTCTGGGGAATACTAGAGTGTTATCTTATTAAGGAATCCATTAGCACTCATTCATGCTAATCCATTTACATTTGCATAAGCATCTTAATGGCTTAAAGAAAAATCCATAGGCCAGAGATTCTGGAAATTTCTCAGTGCAAAACCTTTTACCCAATTCATTGCTTTCTACCCATTATAACTATGGACAAACCCAAGGGGCTGTTTCACAAAAGCAACTGTGTTAAGGTTTACAGCGTGAAAATACTACAATAATAGCTTTAGAAATATTATCTATCTTTTTTGCAGTATTGATAAACTTGCAAGAGCAATACTGTAATTAATATTGCTATTGCCACTATATAAACAACTATTTTTCTTGTAATGGTGAGTTTAATAGAGATATCTAAGGAAAGTCTTAAATTCCTGCTAAAGAGTAAAGAGCAGAAGCAAGTATTCTGAGAAAGATAATTGTTTTAAAACGGTACTTTTAAAGATGCTCTTAGATAAGTAACCTGGAAGGTTACTTTAAGACCACTTTACAGGTAATTCTTCCCATTTTACAGATAATCCTCAGATCACTCATCTAGTTATAACCCAGGCCTTTGAAATTTCAGTTTGCTTTTCTTTCTACCTTTCCTATGCCACCTTGCTATTATTGGCAGGCATCTGTGCCAATCAGGTGCTTCACCTTTTGCTCAAAAACCTTCAGAAACTATACTTTGGGGCACTAAGTCATTGGATTATATTTTGAGCATTGAGATTTTATTATATTTACTTTACATAATTGCAAAAGAAATAATAAAAATTAAGTGCCAGAATATAGGAGTGAAAGACTATATATATATATATATATATATATATAGATACACACACACACACACACACATACATATGTATATACATACATCCTTGTATATATACACATATATACACACATCCTTGTATATATACACATATATACACACATCCTTGTATATATACACATATATACACACTATATATATATACATATATAGTGTGTATATGTGTGTGTGTGTGTATTATTTTATTTTTTGAGTTTTGAAAATGTTCTTGTAACAACCTAAAATATATAAATATATATCAGGGATTTATGTTATTTAAAATAAATACCTGGCTTCCTGGATGTACCGTAACAAGTGTCTTAAATAAGATTTTTGGACCAAATACCTTTTAATTGTAATGCAGGTAAATTCCTGAGGGAGGAATATAAGTTTCTCATCTATGAATAACCAGCCACAGGCAGCAATTGTGAGCATCTGAATAGCTAATGGTCATAGAGTGCTCTTGGTTAGAGCATTGTCGCTGTGAACTTGGTGAGGTTTTAGGAGTTACTGAAATTCTAATATAGGGCTACAAAGGCCCTACCTACTTTAGAGTTAAATGGAATCCCAGAAGTTTAGAGGGTGGTTGGAAAATGGCTGCCCATTCCCTGCAGTTTTCACTCAGTCCCAGGAAACTTGAAGGAATCTGCAAGATCCTCTTAGAACTCTGGGTTTCTCAGAGACCTGAACAGACTCCATATCTGAACTGTTTATCTGGAAGGTCCCTGGACTGGTACCTTTCCCCAGATGTTGGAATAGCTACCAAAAGTCTCACAGCTACTGGACGTAGAAGCATTTGAGCCTCCCTTGCCTTGACGGTTTCTTAAACCATGTTCTGTTTGGGGACTTACATTAGAAACTGGGGACATCATTCCTTTCCAGGCAATTCCCTCTCCAGTGCTCACCCTCAAGGCTTCAGCCACAGTAGAATCAAGTTCACTGTGAATTAAATTGCAGCTCTGATTTAAAGCCCTGGGAGCAGTTGTGAGTTATTTATTTATTTATTTATTTTTGAGACAGAATCTCACTCTGTCACCCAGGCTGGAGTGCAGTGGCACAATCTCGACTCACTGCAACCTCTGCCTCCTGGATTCAAGTGATTCTCCTGCCTCAGCCTCCTAAGTAGTTGGGATTACAGGCATGAGCCACCACACCTGGCTAATTTTGTATTTTAGTAGAGACCAGGTTTCATCATGTTGGTCAGGCTGGTCTCGAACTCCTGATCTCAAGTGATCCGCCCTCCTTGGCCTTCCAAAGTGCTGGGATTGCAGGCATGAGCCAACATGCCGGGCCAGCAGTTGTGTTTTTACTGTCTCTTTAATAAGTAAGCGTGTTGCCTTTATCAGAATATTTTCTGTTGTGAATGTGAACATTGCTTTCACCGTCAGAGACAGCACTACCTTTTACCCTTCATTTTTTCCAGGATTTCTGATCTTCTGCTAAATACTGCAGGGATAAGATGGCCCTTAGGGCCAAGGTGATGTCTTTGGTCTTGGTTTAGTTTAAGACAGACTTAACATGATGTTTTCCATTACACAGTGAAAAAAGCAAGAACACAAAACCAGGCACTGCTGTTAGGTCTGTGTTTCAGACATTGTGATTACTTTCAAATTATTTTAAAAGAAAGAAGGGAAAGGAAGGGAGAGAAGGGAAGGAGGGAGTAAAGGGAAGAAGAGAAAGAGAAAAGCAGGAAAGCAGGAAGGAAGGGAGAGAGGAAAGAAAGAAAGAGAAAAAGAAAGAACGCTCAGGCTCAATTTTCTGATACAGTCTGGCACATCCTGATACTCCCTCTCTTTTTTAAGCATCTGTGCTTCACTTGCTGTGACTTAAGAGGCTAAAAACGTTATTCTGATATTATTTTTATGAGAGTGGCAGCAAGAACTAAATTAAAATGTTTTCAATTTAGGTAAAATCAGCCAGGCATGGTGGCTCATGCCTGTAATCCTAGCAATTTGGGAGGCCGAGGCGGGTGGATCACTTGATGTCAGGAGTTGGAGACCAACCTGGGCAACGTGGTGAAACCCCGTTTCTACTAAAAATATAAAAATTAGCTGGGCACCGTGGCACATGCTTGTAATCCCAGCTACTCAGGAGGCTGAGGCATGAGAATCACTTGAACCTGGGAGGTGGAGGTTGCAGTGAGCTGAGATTGTGCCACTGCACTCCAGCCTGGGTGATGGAGTGAGGCTCTGTCTCAAAAAAAAAAAAAAAAAAAAAAAAGACAAAAACGTGTGTAAATGGTTTCTGAAATCGTGTTCTGCCTTGGTCATTGTAGATGCATCCTTTTGACAGCATTTGATCCTTAGTCATTCTTAAAGTCGGGATGATAATTTTTTTTCTTTTTTCATTCTTGGTAGTAAAGAACTTGGCTTTTACTGGTAGAACTGTTAGGAGCTGAAAAACATAAAGGGTGACTAGTCTCAGAGGCAGAATTTTAAAACTGGTAGCCTATGGGCAGATCTGGTTTTCAGAAATGTTTTGTTTGGCTTTTATTGTATTTTGAAATGGCATTAGTTGCTAACACTTAAAAATTAGGAATATCATGTAAAATCCAGATTTTTTGTTTTTCAAAAAAAAATCTAAAGAAATGACAATATAAGAAAGACAGAAACTGGCTGAGGTTAGGTAGTGGTTGCTACCTTTGTACTGGTTAGACTTTCCCTCCTCCACCTAGTTCTTCTGCAGCTGGCTTTTCTGGCTGTTATCTACCTGAACAGGTAGGTATTTGTGTTTGCAATGTCTTCATTAATGTTTACTGAGTAGTTAGTACTTCATGGTGTTACTACGGATGTAATATGTTGCTATGTCTTTACAAGATACTTCCATAGTTGCTCTTCTTAACTACAAGAATTTATAAGGATCCACCTGGAAACTCATAAGGATAGAAAGAATGATTATATATAACCTTAAAGAATATGGACTGACATTATTCAGACTCTTACTGCACCAATTCATATAGGTTTCATGGAGCTTTGATGTTTATGCTTAATTGTGTACATGATTTTGACTAGGTCTATGAATGAGGTATTTTTAAATTATATGATTTAGATATATCTCAAGAAAATAAAGTCACTCAAATGTAATTAAATTGTTGAAAAATGAAAATACCAAAATTTTGGAAAATTAATGTTTGGTCAAATAATGCATTCTATAGGAGGATGGTTCTATGTTTTTTCAGTAGAAAATGAAATAGATGGCCAGGTACAGTGGCTCACGCCTGTAATCCCAGCACTTTGGGAAGCCAGGGCAGGTGGATCACCTGAGGTCAGGAGTTTGAGACCAGCCTGGCCAAGATGGGTGAAACCCCGTCTCTACTAAAAATACAAAAATTAGTTGGGTGTGGTGGCGGCATATGCCTGTAATCCCAGTTACTCGGAAGGCTGAGCACGAGAATAGCTTGAACCCGGGAGGCAGAGGTTGCAGTGAATGGAGATCACACCACTTCACTCCATCTTGGGTAACAGAGTGAGACTCGGTCTCAAGCCCCTCCCCCCACCAAAAAATGAAATAGATAAAATATTTCCTTATTAAGAACCTGAAAACATAATTTAATATCTGAATTTATCTTTACTTTGACTGAATTAAAAGCAAATAAACAAGCAAAAGTGAATCAAATATTTAACTGAAACCAAATATTTCTGTCTATAAAATAAGATTTTACTGTGGAATCAGTTCATGGTCTCTTTACCTTTTTTTTCAGTGAGGAAATTATGATGTTAATTCCTGTTCTATGGAAACTGTTAGATTATGTTATCTGAAGGCTCCTAACCATTTGCTTGGTTTGATTTTAAGACTATGTACTTTAAAGTTTAATTAATACAATAATTGAAAAAGGTTTGCCTTTAGAAGATGAGTAAAATAATTTGTTTTCTTAACCTTATGAAGGAAAGGTGATACGTAAAACAAATGAATTACACTATAAGGATTAGGCTGGGTGCAATGGCTGGTGAGGCTGAGGCTGGTGGATCACATGAGGCCAGAAGTTTGAGACTAGCCTGGCCAACATGGCGAAACCCCGTCTCTACTGAAAATACAAAAAATTAGCTGGGCATGGTGGTGCATGCCAGTAATCCCAGTTACTTGGGAGGCTGAGACAGGAGAATCACTTGAACCCGAGAGGCAGAGGCTGCAGTGAGCTGAGATTGCGCCATTGCACTATAGCCTGGGCAACAAGAGTGAAACTCTGTCTTAAAAAAAAAAAAAAAAAGCAAGCAAACATTGTAAGGATTAAGTTAGAAATTGAGCCCTAAAAGAAGTTGGAAGTAAACTCTTGACTTATTTGGAAGTTTATAGGAATGTTAAGCAAGAAATCGGGTTTTCTTTTTTTTTTTTTTTTTTTGGAGACAGAGTCTCGCTCGTCACTCAGGCTGGAGTGCAGTGGTGTGATTTCTACTCACTGCAACCTTTGCCTCTGCCTCCTGGGGTTCAAGCGATTCTCCTGATTCAGCGTCCCGAATATCTGGGATTACAGGCGCATGCCACCATGCCTGGCTAATTTTTGTATTTTAAGTAGAGACGGGGTTTTGCTGTGTTGGCCAGGCTGGTATCAAACTCCTGACCTCAGGTGATCCACCAGCCTCGGCCTCCCAAAGTGCTGGGATTACAGGTGTGAGCCACCATGCCCAGCTTAACTGAGTTTCTTTAAAAAGCAGGAAAAAGCACTGTACATGTCTAAATATAAGGTGATACCAAGACGGGTGTTCACATGTTTTCCTAATGGGATATTTTGCATGCATAAAACTTGTAGACATGGATATAAAATAGTTAAATATCTACCCACATTTTAATGTATTAATTTATTTCCACATATACATTTTTAAAGTCACATATTACATGAAGTATTAATTTAGAAATACTACTTTTTTCCACCCATACAGTTCATTGACTTTATTCAGTGCTTCACATGTGATTTGGCATCAGTGTCTGTCATCACCAACTCCCCTGTTTTCAGTCATCTCACCCAGTTGTCCAGCACACATCATTTCTGCCTAAATTTTTTGAGACTCAGTATTTTTTTTTTTTTTATAAAACCATGATTCTGTCACGGTTAACTATATGGCAAACCACACATTCCATTTGTATAATAGGGAGACAGTTACTTTTTATATGTGTTCTATAGGTGAATATGTTTGATCTCTAGCTTCTTAAAGTTATCTTTAATGGACTTTTGCATAGTCATATCCAGCATTTGCAATTATAAGAAATAATTTCTAAATTTGTATGGATTTTTTGCTTTGAAAAAGAGATCTTGTTAGATTATATTACACCTATAAGCATTTAAAACTAATAATGTTGGGATTGCTTCAGCCCCATTTCTTTTCTCCAAACCAAACTTTGTTTTTCATGATAGAGTAATACAGAGACTTGGATAAGGATTTGGCTATGAGGTGACTGTCTTTCCTAAGACATTATTTTAGGGAAAGAAAAATACTTGCCTTATGCTTGTATATATATGATACTTACTTTTCCCTTTCAAAGTTATTCTTTTAATCTTTATTAAAGCACAATATAATGTAATAAAGCAGATAACCTGAGGAGAACTTCATTTAATGGCAAGTTGAGGTGATGTTATTAATTTTGTGATTTTTTTTCTTATCTGAGTGCATAGCACAATGTTTAAAATATCAATTTCTTAAAGAAACATTTCTATAAAAAAGATAGCAAGTGAGTCAATAAATGGATATACTATGTGGCAGACATTTTTAAATGAACATTTCCATAGCTGTATAATAATATTTATGTGAGCTTTTTACTAGAAGGTAGCACTTAATTTGGCAGGAGATGTTATCCTTGTCATTTCCTGATAACCATTAACTACATACTACAGAAGATAGGAACAGCTGGTGCTTTTATAACAAAGGTTGATTGGGGAGATGATAGAGCTTGGGGGATCTAAGAGGATTTAGAATGGTCAGTGGTTTCTGTCTTGGCTATTTAAAGAAATGCTTACTTTTAAGAATTTTAACTAATTGAAGTGGCAAATAATTTTACTTTCTTTCATATGTTCCATGAAAAAAATCTATTGTAACATTTAGCAGAAAAGAATATCACTTTTATGCTGGAGCTTCCATCGTTGTATGAAAAAATGTTTATATTATTAACATGCCAAAAGTATGATAATTCAGTTCTACATATATTAGCAATAAATTGTACCAATGAAAATAATGATTAATTATCACTTTTATCTCTTAACAGTGGAAAGAGTGGAACGAGAAAACCTTTCAGACTATTGTGTTCTGGGCCAGCGTCCAATGCATTTACCAAATATGAACCAGCTGGCATCCCTGGGGAAAACCAACGAACAGTCTCCTCACAGCCAAATTCACCACAGTACTCCAATCCGAAACCAAGTGCCCGCATTACAGCCCATCATGAGCCCTGGTCTTCTTTCTCCCCAGCTTAGTCCACAACTTGTAAGGCAACAAATAGCCATGGCCCATCTGATAAACCAACAGATTGCCGTTAGCCGGCTCCTGGCTCACCAGCATCCTCAAGCCATCAACCAGCAGTTCCTGAACCATCCACCCATCCCCAGAGCAGTTAAGCCAGAGCCAACCAACTCTTCCGTGGAAGTCTCTCCAGATATCTACCAGCAAGTCAGAGATGAGCTGAAGAGGGCCAGTGTGTCCCAAGCTGTCTTTGCAAGAGTGGCATTCAACCGCACACAGGTACAATTAGCATTAAACACTGTAATTAACAGTAATACTGGGGACAGAATTGAGATAGGTTATAATTATTTTTATCTCTTTAAAAAGCTTTATGGATCTCAGGACATAGAATTAGATTAATTAATAATCCTTAGTTAATGAAACGCTATTACCATTGATCCATGCATGACCATGATTAATTAACTAATTGATTAATTTTGATGAGGTAATGGACATCTTTGAACCCAACATGCAACTCAGGACCCCAAATGTTACTAATGACTTGGGTATGTACTCTCTCATCCTCTCCATTTACTGTTTGCAGATGTAACCCTGATCTTGAATTTTGTGATTATCAGTCTCTTGCCATTTTTTAAAACAAATTATAAAACTATGCATGCCCAGACAATCTATTTTTTTCCCTTGGTTTTGAACGTTATAAAAGAAATAAAATTATGTTTTATAATTTTATAAGTAAAGTTTTATTTAAAAATTTATAAAAATCCTTCAAAACATAAAAGTTAGATTTAAGATATTGATAAAATGATAATGGATAGTTTACTTTTATTTTTAATGTTTGAGAGAATTATATGCCAATTATAACACTAAATGTTGAAAATGTAAACAGTTAATTCACACGTCTTATTTTTATTGAGGGTGCTTATATGTAAGACATTCTTTTCTGCTAGTAGTTCTTAAACTGGAGTGTGCATCAGAATCACCTGGAGGGCTGTGAAACACAGACTGCTGGGCCTCATCCCATAGTTTCTGATTGAGTAAGTCTGAGGTTGGACTCAGAAATGGACATTTCTAACAAGATCCCAGGTGATTATGATGGTACTGATCCGGGGCCGCATGTTGAGAAAAACTTACCTAGCCCTTATATGAGTAAGAACAAAGCAGATGTGCATAATCTCGGGGAGCTAACGATCTAGTGGTGAAAACCAGGTAACCAGATAATTAGAGTAAAATGTGAAGTGTTATGAGTAATGTTGGAGAGTGTAAGCAATAGTTGTGGTGGAGGTTCATGGTGAGCTGGAGGTGAGGAATACTTCCAGGAGAATGAATATGGTAAGCCTTCAAGAAAACAGTAGATTAAAATTTCAGCACCCTCGTAAATGCAAGGCAGGAAGCTAAGCTCTATGTGGGTGCAAAGAGGAAAAAGATAATGGGCAAGCACATATGTAAACAACACTCTAGAGTATTAGGTTGTCAATGGGTTAGACCTTGAAGGATTAATAAAGTACAGCAGGCAAAGATGATGAAGAAGAAGATTATTATTTTAAGGTAAAGACATTCATAGGAAAGATGTTGAGTTAAAAAATGCAGGAATAATTTGAAGACATAAAACAACTGATTTCTGAGAAAAACCCTGTGAACGTACAGAATGTAGGAATGCTTTCATTTATCTGATACCTGTTCAGAGACACATGATAACACACGCTGTAGATGGACCTTACAAATGAAAGAAAGCATGCTGGATTGAAACCTCAATAATTTGGAAAATACAGGAATGTTTCCAAATTTAATGATTACTTCAGAAGTTAAGGGGCTGGGCACAGTGGCTCATGTCTGTAGTCCTAGCACTTTGGGAGGCCAAGGTGGGCGGATCACTTGAGGTCAGGAGTTCAAGACCAGCCTGGGCAAGATGGTAAAACACCATCTCTACTAAAACAGAACAAAACAAAAAAATTAGCTGGGCGTGGTGATGCGTGCCTGTAGTCTCAGCTACTCAGGAGGCTGAGGCAGAAGAATCCCTTGAACCCAGGAGGCGGAGGCTGCAGTGAGCCGAGATCATGCCACTGCACTCCAGCCTGAGTGAGAGTGAAACTCCATCTCAAAAAAAAAAAAAAAAAAAAAAAAGTTAAGTGAAAACTCTCACTGGGGAGAAATCTGATAAATGTTGGTAAATTGGATTGCCTGATGCAAGTTAACACTCAAAAAATGCACCTAAGTGAAATGTTATACCAGTTATAAATATTTTATGTTTATCAGTGGTTCATTGTTAAAGAGGGTCTGTTTACTTTTGGTTTCCACGTCTCTTGCAAGAAAACATTGAGGTAAGAATTTTGTAGATACTCTTTAAGCAATACTGCGTGAGTTAAATAAATAGCGTTTTTGTTAAGTCAGTTAATACATTTTTTCTCTCTTTATTCGAAAGTGTGTTGGATCTCTGGTTGAATTGAAATGTATTTCTATTATGTAGGCGATTTAAATTTTTATTAGTTTTGAAATTGTCGTATGATTAATGAGTCATTGAAAAATGAGTTTTTGTGCTGGGTGCGGTGGCTCACGCCTATAATCCCTGCACTTTGGGAGGCTGAGGGTGGCAGATCACGAGGTCAAGAGATCGAGACCATCCTGGCCAACATGGTGAAACCTCGTCTCCACTAAAAATACAAAAATTAGCTGGGCGTGGTGGCGTGTGCCTGTAATCCCAGCTACTTGGGAGGCTGAGGTAGGAGAATCACTTGAACCCAGGAGGTGGAGGGTGCAGTGAGCCGAGATTGCGCCACTGCACTCCAGCCTGGCAACAGAGCGAGACTCTGTCTCAAAAAAAAAAAAGAAAAAGAAAAAAAGAAAAATAAGTTTTTGTTAATGGTTGGGATTTTCTTACTGGCCTCGTGGCAAGTTTTGTTATCTCTTATTATATATATTCTACCTTTTTATGGGAAAAACTACTCTTTTTGGTGTAAAGATATTTTTTATATTTTCTTTGCTTGTAAAGAGTTATTATCAATTTGTAAGTATAAAAACTGCAAGTATAGTTGGTAGTTGATAAGAAAGGTAGATAATAAAACTTAAAAGGGATGGACACAGATTGAAAAAGGCCTTGAGTGCCAAGACAAGAGCTCTGAACTTTAACAGGCACTGGAAACCGTCATAGGTCTTAGGTAGGAATATGCTGTGCTCCCACCATCTTAATTAGGTCTTATGGAGGTTTGATAGCAAGAGGGTAGGAATATCATTTAGCAGGCTACTGCAAGTATCCAGGTGAAATGTACAGAGGTTTTGAACTAGGCTGCTGGGGAGGGTGCAGAGAAGAAATATTTTGGAAATAAAATGGACAGAAAGTGTATAAATGGATAAAGAGAGGAATAGAACTGACACCAGGCTTCAAGCCTGATGCCTGAGAATAAAGGTGTAATTATGAAGGGAATCCAGGAAGACATGGAAAGAGTGGTTGGAGTAAGGTTAAAGTGATAGTTTTAGATTGGGTTATTTTGACGTTGAAGTGTTGACCAACTTCTTAAGTGAAAATGTGCAACAGTCATTGAAAATATGAGTTTGTGGGGGGAGGGGGGAGGGATAGCATTAGGAGATATACCTAATGTAAATGACGAGCTAATGAGTGCAGCACACCAACATGGCACATGTATACATATGTAACAAACCTGCACGTTGTGCACATGTACCCTAGAATAATAAAAAAAAAGAAAAGAAAAAGAAAATATGAGTTTGGCGCTAGGAAGAAGAGTTATCAGGACTAGAGCAAGAGATTAGAGATGTTGTCACAGAGCCTGGGACAGGAAATGGAAGAGTCAGGGGAGAGAAGGGGAGAAATCACTGCTATCACCACCACCAGCAGCAGCAGCACCAGCCCCAGGAAAGAGAGAAGAAATGCCAGGAGATGGGGGCAGGTGGAGAAGGAAGAAGAGGGAGACAGTAGTGAGAGTATAGAGGACATGCGTGGAGAGTTTCCAGAAGAAGACTTGTCTACTTGTGGAAAGCTGAGAAGTTAAGAGAGAGAGGCTTAAAACCATGTCATGAGATTTGGCAGTTGGTTGGGAGAAGACTGGCGAAGTTTAGAGTATAATTTCATTAAAGTAGTGGGGACAGGAGCCAGAATTCAGGAGTTAAAGAGTGATTAGCTGTTGAGGATGCAGAAGTAAGTACATGACACTTTCCAAAATTTGGTGTTGAAAGGGAGGCCAAAGTGGGTGGACAGTTTGGAAGTGATAGGGGGTCAATTTGAGATCACAGGATTTGGGAAGTTCACAGCATGAACTGGTGATGATACCAATCATTGTGGTTTGGTAACGGTCTTCAGCGGTGCTGGAACTTCAGGACTGGGAGCAAGGAAGAAACACAGTGGGACTGTTTGAGGTTTGGTGCTGACATTTTCGGTATGGCAGGAGGCCAAGAGAGGTAAAAATCTCTTGTTCCCTTGACTCTTAGCTAATTTATACATTCTAATATTGACAGAGTCTGTTAACATCACTTGAAAATGAGTTTGGAGGTCCTGAGAGACTCTCACATGTTCCAGACATCACTCTTCCACTTTCTCTCGTGATTCAAAGTACTCGGGCAATATTTGTGTGTCCATAGTTGTCTGGACTGGGGTTATGAAAGGCTCTGGTCCTTTTGAGAAAGTCTGTTGCATACTACTGCAAAATAAAAATTGGAAGGATCTATCTTTTGGCTCTGTATTTTGCAGTTCTCTGTCTCTGTGTGTGTGTGTGTGTTGTGTGTGTGTGTTCGTTCATCTGTCCTTCATGTGCATGAATAGGCATTTCATGGCTAGCCAACATTTTATTGCCTGGTTATGTATACAGCTCCTTTGGCTAAGGATAAAATTGAAAGCATGGTTGTATTACTTTGGATTTTAGAAGCAAATACAGTATACATTTTATCCAAGTAGCATGAAGCATGAGAGAAGACTCACAATGAGGCAAAACAAAGACAGACCATATTGGCGAGAGTGTATACTTTGCCAAGGACCTAGACTCCTGGAGGTCTGTCTTCTCCCATATAATCCTTTTTGTCTATTTTTATGGATTAATGATTTTTCTTTGGCGTTGCCATCTTTCAAGTGCCAAGTTATAAAAGGTCTAATTGAAGCATGAAACACATTTTATTATTTTCCTCCTGCCATTAAATTTGTAAGATGGCTACACCTAGAAAGAAACATTCACTTTCAATCAACATGAGCTTGAGTTCATGGGCCAGCCTTGAGGATATCAAATGGAAACTGCGTAGGAATGTATGAGTATTTCCTTTTAAAATTCTGCTTTTAATTTAGGAAAGCTTTTCATCCCTCTGGGATCATAACCTGTTGTGTATAAAGCCCAACCTAATCAAGGTAGATGGTACTGACAGAATGACATAGTTTGAACTTAAGCAGGAGGTCAGCAGGCAGATTGTTTTTTGCTGTATGTACTGTAGTCACTAACAGCCGGACTGGGCAGCTGGTTTTACCAGCAGCATTGTTAAATGGAAAATATGGTATATTATGCCCCATGAAACCAACCATAGATTTTCCAAACGTTTAGACTTTTTTGAGTGGAGTCAGATGTTTATGGATGATATAATGACTTGCCAGCTATAATAAACAAAAATAAACATTGTAGCATATCCTCAGTCTATTGAATATTTTCCAGAAATAGTTCATGATCTCTATTATTCATATATTATCAAATTCAATAAAAAGCATTTTAATACATTTTGTCACCTTATATTTTGTGTTCCTGGATTTGTGCTTCATGGTTATACCAAGAGCAAATCGTGTGTGTTCATTTTGTCACCTTATATTTTGTGTTCCTGGATTTGTGCTTCATGGTTATACCAAGAACAAATCGTGTATGTGTGTGTGTGTGTGTGTGTGTGTATAAAATAAAATAATATGTAAACATTTACAAATAAACCTGGAACTGTTAGAAAAGAAAACCCTGCCCAGTTTTTCATGTTTAAGATTTCCAGATGAAAAACTTAAATTCATAATAAATAACATTTCAAATGTCAGTTCTCCAAAGAGAAACTATTAATTACCCTGTTATGGCTGATTCATTGTCACCATATCATTTGATGATGTAAAATAACACAGTTAAGAGAATAGAGCCATATTTTCAAGAGCTTCTTTTTAGTTTATTTTTATTTTAATAAATATGTCTTTTAAGAATATAAAATGTATTTGTTTGATAAAATGATGCCCTATCCACACTTTATGACAAGGTCATGGCATCTGCTGGAGTCAGAGATAGACAGCCTTTTGCCAATATTTTATTATTTATTTATTTTTATCCTTACATTTCTCTTTTGGTTTGCTAACAGAAACATACATGGTCTAAACTAGGAACATAAAATTGAGTCACTTGTTCTGGGGTAGGGATACAGCACATTAGAGGTCATGCAATGCCAGGATATGGGATCTCCAGCATGAGCCTGAGACTAACGTGTTTCTAGACACAGGGTGTGGCTGAGCCTTGTGTCCTGTCTGTGCCATTAGGTCATTATGACCTTATGTAAAATAAGTAAAATACATTCTGAGTATCACCACTCTTTTTTTTTTTTTTTTAGCTAGTCTTTTGAAAGATGAGATTAGCCCTGCTTTCTGTCTCTGAAGACTTTTATGGCAAATGAGACCCAGTGAAAACAGTAAGGTGAAAGTGATAAGGCATTTTCTGACCTGGTCATTAATATTCAGGCAATCCCATGATACATTTCTAAGCACTTTAACCTGTGGCCACAAAGTGAGATGGATGATTTTACACTGGAGGAGCCTCAGGCAGATAACATCCCAGCTCTGTTTTTGATGCTCCCCCGCCTCCCCGCTCCCCGGCCCATGGTTTTACTTCTGAAAGCCTGCGTCTGCTGTTAGGCTTTTCCGTTAACATCTCTCCAGTTTGGGCTACTGATTTTCTCTGCTCATCCTGGCAGAGTTGGAAATGCTTACCACCATCTGATGGGTACAGGAGGATGACAACAGGGCAGCTCCCAGCCTCCTGTAGTAGCGACAGCTCTGAAGCATAACTTCCACTCCAGAGCGCTCTGCAGGACCAGGCTGAAGCTGGGACTTTGCTTGCATTTCTTCTCTTCCCTGTCCTGCTTCTCACACTCCCTCAGCAGTTTCCCTTGGAAGTCCATCTTAATAAATCACTGGTGTGGTAGTCTCTATCTGAGGATCTGCGTTTTATCCCAGATTATAGGTCCACGCCATTTCCAGCCTAATTGGTCATGCCATAGGGTAGTAGTTTGAGTAAAACCTATCTATAGTTTTATGTCTACTTTCTCTGCAAGTCAAAAGCCATATGTTGTTATGGAACTAGTATAGAATTTTTTACTCCTTTCTTTTGAAAATATTATCAGTATTATTGTTTAAAACCTATGCCCCCTATAGCTCTGCAATTCAATGGGTCAGTATTGATATAGTCCAGACTGACTTATGGATATTGAATGTGGAGGAAAGAGAGAGAATGAATAAAAATGAGACAGAAACAGACGTTGGATGTAAGGCCTTATGAGATTTACCAAACTTGACTTAAATGAAAACTGTCCTTACTGGGTCCAAATGGTGAATTATGTGATTCTGTGGCTTTGAGAGTGGCTTTGCCTCTCGGCCCTACTCCTCCTGTGCTCCTGCAGTGATGCACATAGTGTCTGTGGGAATAAGCAGCTGTATCAGGTTTCCTTTTTTTTCCATATTCGTTCTTGCTTATATCCTGAATTTATTTTAGTGCTGACATAGTTTGACTTACTAGGCCTATGTACATGAAATATGTTGCTTGACTATTTAATTTGTTTACATCTTTGCCTTTTGACAGTGTGATTATGAATTCCAACCTTAAGCATTCTTTTGCCCTTTGTTACTTTGTGGACTTTAAAAAATTAATCAGGGATTTATGCCAGTATGGAAAGGTTTATGACAGTATTTTAAGACTTAATATTACTGAGGGATGGTTGTAGAATGCCCACTGACCTATAATAAGCATGATTTCATAAAATATGTACAGCGAATCTTCCTTAATAGATAAACTATTCTCTAATTTATTTGAAAATCCAATGACCTACATATTCGTATGTTCAGAAATCCCCCTTTTACTAACATTGTTTCTCCTCTGAGACCTTCCATCTGAGCAAATCTGTTAAATGAAGTAGAGGAAGCTTTGATCCAAACTAGGCTAAATCCAGTGGAACGGATGCCCTGCCACATGTGAATGGGAGCATTAGAATGCCAAAAAAGGGAAATTAGGTGCGATCCTCATATCTTCTCTATACCACTGTCTCCTTACCTTGGTAGCAGAGTTCAGGAAACATCCTTATGCAAGGAATTAGCAATAAGAAGACTGTATCATTTGAAAATGAAACATTTGCCATACTCATTATTTATGTTGTATGGGGTTTTTTTCTGCCTCTAGCACATCATGCCATAATTAAGAAAGTTTCAGGCTCATTTTGTGTCTCAGCTAGTTCTTCTGAGCCGGTTCTTGGAAACATGTTTTCAGTTGCAAGTACAGATGTGTTTTGCAAAATGTGCTATTCTTTTGTAACAGTAAGTCTCTAATTTGGTATCTTGCTCCTTCAGTTCATTGAAAAAGTTGTAGAGTTACACAATTTGCAACCTTACATCAAAGGCCTTGCTTGGGAAAGCTGTGCATCCTGGTCTTACGTGATAGAGAACAGGATTTTAAAAATCCTTTGGGAACTCATTTTGTTGACCTGTCCTCATTTGACTACTTTTAGTTTTTATGAGACTTTGCAAAAAAGTCTGCAGTTTACTCATCAAAGCCACATCATTTGAAGAAACTTAAGACAAGGATCATAAATACAATTTATGAAGTCACTCAGCAACTGGAGAATGTTTTCAATGGATTGGAAAATTAGATTGAACGATGTATCAGGAAAGCTGACAGTAAGGTCAACTGCTAAAATATAAACATTCATGTGAAATGGCATGGCTTTTGCTTTTATGCTCTGTTGACACAGTGTTTATAGTATATTCATGCCCCAAATTATTAAGGTTAAAAATGACTCAGGACTTACTAAACATTATATTTTGAAGTGGCACAGTTAGGAAGTGATATGTAGCAATAACATGAAAATCCTGGCAACCAAAATATTTGGGAGTCTGAGCTTCAGTGTGTTACCAGTCAGTTTTTTGGAGTAGAAACTTCTCTTTTAACTCCTTTGTTTGAGTTATACATATTGTTAGCCAAAGGTTGGCACAATTTAATCATACATACAGTTTATATTTCTAGAAAATTTGACCTTTAAGGTATTCAGAATTCTGTCAGCCTACGTCTGGTCTCAGTCATCATTATTTCTCACTATCCAATAGAGATACAAGCACCCAGCAAGTCATAGAGTAATAGAACACAATGTAAATCCAGGGATCTTGACTCCATGGTCCAGTGAGCTGGTTATAAAATGACAAGGAAACCTGTGAAAAAAGGAAGTCCACACACTGAAAGATGAGCTGTAAATATGAAATGCCGCAGATCAAGCATGAACCCGTTATTGAGTTTTGAAGTAAATAATATACCCTCTTTTGATTTCAGAACATTAAATTAATAAAGTAGGAAGAGATGGCCCTGGTTGCTTCATAAAATAAACAGTCTTTCATTTCAGGATCACTAGCTTGAATTCATAGATTTACAGATTATAATAATATTAATATCTCCCAGGATAGCAGTGTCTCAAAGTTATTAGATTGCTTGAGGGTAGCCCTGTAGATAGCAGGTTCCCTTTAGTTCCCCTTGCACATATAAGACTATCTGTTGTTAATTGGCACCTTTTTCAGGCACTCAGCCACAAAACGTGGATTGATAGGTCAGAGGGCTCATCTAAAGAGACTTGGGGAGATGATGGCTTTGTTTGTGCTCTGCCTATAGAGAAGGCTAATTTAGCAGCTGTCAAACATATGCAACTCTCCTCTCACTTCTAAATCCACCTGAAGTAGAGACTTGTATGTAAAAGAAGACCTTTCTTTTCTCCTTTCACAAAACTCATGCAAGAGAATCAGAAGAAGCAAACATGATGACATACTGGTCTGTCTTGTTCTTTCTTTCTTTTTTTTTTTTTTTTTTTAAGACAGAGTCTTGCTCTGTCACCCAGGCCCAGAATTCAGTGGTGCCATCTCTGCTCACTGCAACCTCTGCCTCCTAGGTTCAAGCGATTCTCCCACCTCAGCCTCCCGAGTAGCTGGGACTACAGGCATGCACTGCCATGCCTGGCCAATTTTTTGTATTTTAGTAGAGATGGGGTTTCACCATGTTGCCCAGGCTAGTCTAGAATTCCTGAGCTCAGGCAGTCACCCACCTCAGCTTCCCAAAGTGCTGGGATTACAGGCGTGAGCCATCACTCCCAGCCTATCTTTTCCTTTCATCCCTGACCAATGTGCAAAGTTCTTAAAAATTAGTTGCCAGACTCATTATAGAAAATTCAGGCTTCTCTGTTTTTACTAAAGAAAACTCACTTTTGGTAAGTTTTATAAGCTTGTTTCACCATTCTCTAACAGGGAATGATTGACTCATTTTACACAGATAGAGGTCTCTATCCTCAATGAGGACTTTTACCTCTAGTGAGTATATTTCAGTAGAAACCTGCACTTTTTTTTTTTTCTTGTTTGTTTGTTTTTAAATGAAAGTCTTGCTCTGTCGCCCAGGCTGGAGTGCAGTGGCATGATCTTGGCTCACTGCAACCTCTGCCTCCCGAGTTCAAGTGATCCTTCCACCTCAGCCTCCCGAGTAGCTGGGATTACAGCCATGTGTCACCATGCATGGCTAATTTTTTTTTGTATTTTTAATAGAGACAGGGTTTCCTCATGTTGGCCAGGCTGGTCTTGAACTCCTGACCTCAAATGATCTGCCTGCCTCGGCCTCCTAAAGTGCTGGGATTATAGGCGTGAGCCACCACATCCGGCCGAAACTTGCACTTTTAATGTGAAAGTCCATTGTTGTATTATTTAACTAGTCTCCCGAAATTCTGAGTGATGTTATATTTACAGTATGATTTTTATTAAAAAAATACAAGGAAGCACTAGCTTTAAATTCTGTTATTTATATATTTTTCACCATTGCTCAATTAAAGCAATTTTAAAAATATATACAAGGCGTTTTCCTTTCATGGTCATTTATTGAAATGATGACCATTTGGCCTTGGGTTAATTGCATATTTGCTCAAATAAAGTGAAGGAAGTTTAAAGGCCAGAAATGCTGAGAGAAAAATATAATTGTTATCAATTTGAAATTACTAGGTTGTTTCAATTCTGTATACAGTTCTGTGTCTAAAATTGTCAGTATAGACTGCAGAATTTACTTCCAAAGTTCTCTGACTGCAATACCTATAAGAAATACTTTTTACATCATGAGCTGGTACACACCCCCAGATGAGCATGTGCACACACATCTGTATGTCTGTCTCTAGCTATATCTCATTTCTACCTCTCCCTATCTGTATGTTTCTAAAGCAAAGGCTTCATGAAAGAAAAAAATCCTTCATGGAACAATGCTATTACCATGTATTAAACACTTTGGTACTTTGTAAGGTTTTTTAATTCCAATTCATAATAGAAAGTTAGTTATGATATGTTAATTATGATCCACTAATAATTATGACCCATGTTTGAACAGTGATACAGATTAAAGCTGATTTTTAAAGATAGCAAAGTTACTTAGAGAAAGAAAGTTGTTTTACTTTTCTGAAGTATAAATTGAATATTTTAATTTAGTGTTACCTAGAATATTCATGTGGTCATTTTGCATCATATAATTTATTACATTTTTCTTTATACCTTCTCTATGTCAAATAGTTTTAATTATTCCATTTCCTGTAAGTTACTTATATTTTCTGCCTTCTCTATGAGAAGACGTTTAGCAAAATATAACTAGAGTGTCTTGAATATTTAAAGTTGTAGATGTAAAATAAAAATTGTACTGTGATGTTTATGTATTTATTCATCAAATATTAAGTATTCAGAAACTATACTAGGCATCCTAACAATGGCTAACATTGATTAAACTCTTAGTATGTATCACATACAGTTAGAAGCTCTCTAGGGGACCCTATAAGGGAAGCAGAATTATTTTAGTTTTACAGGTGAGGAGACTGTGCCATAGGGAGATTAATTGATACTTGTCCAGTTAGAGCCCAATTTCGAATCCAGCAAGTCTGACTTCATGACTCATACTCATAACTACTTTATTCTCAATCATTTCTGCTACCACAGAGTGGAAGATGAAGGGCATAATCCCTTCTTCAAAGAGGTACAGGGGTAAACAGACTTTCAAACCAGTAATCCTTTTGTGAAATCATTAGGACTGTGACGTGTCCCATGTGCTATGTGAGAACAGATGCTTTTGACCCTGAAGGTGATTAAAACTAATGCAGAAATATTTCAGCAGGAAAGAATAATATTTTGTAACTGTTTCAGAAAAAGTCAGCTCAAGTGTTAATAGACTGCTTTGCTTATATCTGAAGGCATCTGATACATTTGAGATATAAATATTCAATAAATGTATTTGTTTTGTTTTAGGAAAGTACTATTTTTGCCAATGTTTTGACAAAGTAGCCAAAGCTAGTAAATTTTTGGGGCAGGTTGCCAACAGTTGTTTTACGGAACATTCATGGAAACTAGGAATAAGAAGGGCCCAGAACTTTGTGAATGAAATAGTCATAGTGCCAGGTACTTGAGGTGTGAGTAGAAACCATGTATGTGCCCAGAGCTGAAGAACACTACTAGTAAAACGTTTCCAAAGGGAACCTGTTCAGTTCTGTTTGCTTTCACTTTTTGGTGCTAATGTGTTTTATAAATTTTGACTTGGATTGTGCATAGCCTCTTATTCCAGTACCTAAGACTTCCTAGAGACACCAAGGAGGAAGGGATAATCATTACGTAGATTAAGTATGCAAAAACAAACAAACAAACAAAAAACATTAAAGTTGCCAGGAATCTGATTTTGGCTAATTTCCTCTATTGTACATGCTCAAATGTGGCTTGGTCAAAGGTATTGCAGTTAAGGGAACACAGACTGTTTTGGCTTCAAGAATGCTCTGTTGTATCTACTCACTTTGTGTTATGTGGGTACTGTATTCTGATGTGAAAGTTGCCACAAGTGAAATTTTATTGTATCCACAAAAAACAAATCTGTGAGACAAGTGTTTTACTTAATAAATTACAGACTTAGGGTGCCTGAAATATTTGCTCTAAAATGAAGTTTGCATGACCCAAAATTTCAGTTTCAGTTATCTTGTTTTCAGCAGGCTGGATGAAAAGATCTTGAGTATAATGTGAGTCATGTTTTCAATATGTAGTCTCCAGAGCCTGCTGTTCGCTGTTCAGCAAAGATAGGACTCCCACTCCCAGAAATTTAAAAAATATGCATTTGTTGCCTTCTTAGAACCATTCCTATATATTACCAACTGGCCGCTAAGTGCAAAATATGCAGATTCTGCCCCCAAGGAGTTTACTGTATCATGGGAGGAAGGTTTTATAGTAGCACAGTGCAAAAGATGTCTCATAAATGTGAGGTAGAACTATTGCTGTTTTGGTTCAAAGGAGGGAGAAAGTATTTCCAATTGCAGTGTACTGTACATACATATACACATGTATACCTAGTCTTTTAGTGCTTTGCAGAATATATCTCTATAGTAACAACATTTGTCTGCAAATGTTACTTTTGTATATGCATTTATATTTGCAGAATACATTAATTCCCTTTAGATGCTCAATTCTATCCACCCCATCCGACAAAAATGCCACATGCATAGGCTGTCTTTCCTAATAAAGAAATATTGTAATAAAAGAGAGGTTTTATTAAACTAATGCAATAACGACATTTTCTTTGAGGATTTAACACATCATTTTTAATAATAAAAATCAAATTGTCATTGTTGTGCCCTGTATACCTTTTATTCAAATCAGACTAAGTACTCTGGCTTCGTGGCTAAGCAATGCTCTGGGGTGTGGGGGATGGGGTGAGTATTTTTAGCATTACACAAATGAATTTCAGCAGCCAGATTCATAGTGGGGTTGTAGATTATGAATACAGAACCCAGGGAAACCTGTTAATATTCGTGAACTGAGGGGGAAATGCCTCTCATGAGTATCTAGAAGGAAATGAGAGACTGGAGGTTAGGAGAGAAACGATTTTGTTGGGTCAGCTTTCAGGTAGTAGGATACCAGTACTTTCTACAGCCATGTCGCTGATTTAACCGCTTTGGCTAACTCTGAATTGACCACTGAAATTTAAGAGTTTATTTTGTGTGATTAGACTAGGTTTGATATCACATAGTTTTCTTAAGAGGTTACCAGTTTTTTGCTTTCATGTCAGCTGGACACAGATATTTTAGAATTATGTGAAAATTAAGGCTAGCAAGCATACAAAAGGGGTGAAACATGAGGAATAAGGGACCTTATTTGGAAGGAACCTTTTTTTTTTTGACATTTCAAGGGAAACGTGATAGGTTATCCGGGGGCAGGGTGGATGGTTGGCCCATATGAGTGCCAAGGCTCCTTCCACCTCTAGCCTTCTGTAATTTTAATCTGTAAAATGGGAGGATGTGATTTGTTTTAACTTTACTAATTGGTTATGACACCAATTGTTTAAAGCAATATGTAATTATGAACTAAAATACATTTTCACTAACATGTTCTGAATCATATACCTTTAAAGAGATGTAACTTGATTTCTGAAGATGAGTGTCATCCCAGAATTAATAATTAAAATATAATATGAGGGGATAGGGCTTATTTTCTCTATCTAGTCCAAATGTTTCTAAAGAAGTGCTCAGCGTATGATTTTACTTTTAGCATAGGAATCAGAAGTACATCTAAGCTGTCTTTGAGATTTACATGACATTTGAATGTTTATCTTTGTTCACATTGGAACCTAACACTTTCCTACTATATCCTTTCTATGATAAATGAATATTTTTTGGATCAAGTTACTTCAAAAGGTACATGTTTTAGTAAATAGATGAGCATTGCAAGTTACCAGTTCTACCTCTCATTTCAACTGCCACAAACAGAAACAAAATTTCCAGAAAGGAAAACAGTCTCTAGCTAGCTTGAGGCTTTTTCCAAAGGGAAGTACTAGGGTTTGGCTGGGCCAGTTTCCTCAGTACACACCTGGTGTATATCACTTTAAAAAATAAATTATGCCTCATTAAGTTACAATTAAATGGAATCGTGATCATTTGTTTTTCTGGAAGGAAGATGTTTTGCATATTGAAAGCCTAATTTGTTGCAGGTGACAAAAAGGCTGAACAGATTATCTAATATCACTTCATTTTGGGGGTTAATGTTTGCTGGTTAGCTTGTGTATACTTCAGTAGTTCAGAATCATATTAATGTAGACTCTTATTATATTTTTGCTTCAAAATATCTTCTACCACTTTATCAGTTTTTGCACTTTATTTTACAGCTTGTAAGGAAACAGAGGCTTGTCTTGGTATTCTGGAGTACCCATGTGCTTGCTTTCTTCAAATGTTCTAATACTCCCCAGCTTCACACGCTGCCCAATATTCATCGTAACTTTATATCCATGTACTATCTATATTTAAAATTCCAGCTAAGTTAAGTCTTACCTCTTCCAATTTTTTTTCCCTGAATCCTGCAGTTGATAATACTTTCTCCCTCCTTTGAGCCAAGGTGACACTAGTTCTGGCTTGCATTAATAATGCTTGGCATCTTTTACATTGTGCTGCTATAATACCTTCTCCTTCCCATCATATGGTAAACTCCTGGGAAGCAGAATCTGTCCCTTATTAAGTCTCTTCATCCCTCTCAGAACTTTGTATTCAATCATAAATAAGAAATGAATTAATAGACTGATCTGTTTTTTTTTTTGAGACTAGGTATATTGAATTTGGGGGTTCCCTAGATAATCAATGGGAGATAATGGATTTAGGGGCTTCTGAGGTAATCCATGAGAGATATAGCCTAATCCTAGGGAGTTACCTATGGTCTGAGAGCCGTAAAGAACAGATATCTGTTAAAATCTAGTCAGTAATGACTTTAACTGTTGCTGTCAGGAGTGGCATGTCAGGCTTAGCATTCCTAAAGCCTGGCCCAGGTGTGAGTTCTCTTATTGCTCTCTTCCAGGGTTAAAGGCCCATCAAAGGTAATTTCTCACCTGTCCCAGACAAGATGTCAAAAGCTAGTGCAAAAACTTGGAAGTAGATTTTATAGAGCCAGTCATGATAACGTTTCCCAGACTTTTCTGAATATCAGCATATATTGTACATGCTAACAATTTGGGACAAACTATATAAATTGTTAAGGAAGTATGGAAATCAAAAGCTCATTGACACAGAAAGTACAGACTCAGAATCTGTAAGGTCATTTAATTTGTTATAAAGAAATATTTTAAAATACTAGAAAAAAATAAGGGCATTAATTTTTCATTTAAAAATTAGCCTCAATTCTTTGTTTTGTGTGTAGAGGTAGCAAACAGGCTAAATTATGAGCAAGCTAGATGGCATTATAATAAGTTATTGCTCATTTCGTACTTTGAATTATTTTGCTTTTAATGAATATTTTGCCAAACTCATGTATTCTTTGGTGGTCCTGGAAATTATATGAAGCTTGCAAAATGTTAATTAGGCTATGGAAAAGGCCAACTTCCTTCTTTTTCCACTGACTTGTAACCCAAGAATTATTTTGGAGGGTATCTCTCTACCTTGTGCAGATGTTCATTCTGCTCCTTTTAGTCAACATGTTTCCTGGTCTTACATAATCTCGGCTAACACTGTGGAGGGAATTGTTTTAATGTGTCCCTGGAGAAGGTTCTGTTGCCTACGAGGAGGAAAATACTTAATGATCACTTTACTCAATACTTGCAATATATTTTAATATGATTACTGATATGAAAGTTTAATAAGCTATATCCTGGTTAATTTATTAATTTCCCTCCATTTGCACATTCTCAATATTCATGACCTTTCTATTCATAAAAGTGCATCTTTTTTTCAGTGCCCAGGTGCCGCGCCACATTTTCTGTATCCCAGGCTGCATAATGGGAATGTCCAAGTGACACCTCCAGCTTGGCTGGTTGATAATTAAAATGCCAGATGACATAGTGGCAAGGGCTTTAGAAATATTTATGTGAGAGATAAATTATTAATTTATGTTCTATTCAAGACAGTTTCAATATGATAAACATTTACTTATCTTGATAATTAGGTGGGGTGATTTGTGGTATGTGAAAGTTATGCTGTCTATTTTCTTCTGATTTTTTTCTCCTCTGATGATTTTCAACTAACGAAATAGACTCACTTTCCATTTATAAGCATGCAGAATTTGGACTACATTTTTAAAAAATCCCAATTTAAATAGTTAAAAGCACATAAATAACTCAAATGAAAAAGACTCAACAAAACAACTAAAACTCTTCTTGTGCCCACCAGTGAGCCACTTGTTATTGAAAATGTCTGAGGTGAAAAGAATCTGCTTTGGGACCATAGCTACACATATGAGAGTTTTAATAAATAATTTAAAACAGTGTTCTGATTCTCTGGGGGTAATATGTGGAGGTGACACTGGCTTCCTTGTTGGTTTGAGACTTTATCTTCAATTAGGCAAATGAAACAGAGGAAACAGTATATTCCACCACCCTTTAAAAATACAAATATTGTGTCTCTTTCACCTCAGAAATGGTTGAGCAGTCATTCTCAAGGATACTTCATATTAATTTTCCTTGGAGATGGATTAATTTCCCTGTAAGGTTTTCCAGTATGTAAAAAATGTAGGAGAAGAAGCTATACAGTTTCAAAATGGAAAAAAAAAAACAAGAAACAAATTAAAACACTCTGTGTTTTAAAATTTTTTTTATTGATTGAGAATGAACAAACATAATTTTGAGCCATGGTCCATTAGAACAATAGTTTTGTTATGTCACTATTTCGTATCCAAAATCTTTCCCATAATAAACTCCACAACTTGTTAAAATAATTTCACAGAGGAAGAATAGGTTTATAAACTTTGCCTTTGAGATCTCTTGAGTATAATCATAATAACTAAACAAATTTATCCGTGTTGACCCTAAAACTCCTTCAAGTTTTAGTAATTTGAAATTTATTGAAATACCAAATTTATGAGAGTGAAAGGGAGAGGAAGGAGGGAGAGGAAAAAGACCAACTCATCCTTTATATGCAGAATTTATCATTAAAGAAAACTCAAAAAATATCAACCTTAGTGTTTTTTACTGGTATTGAAAGTTGAAATCCACTTTGCTCTTGCTTCTCTGCATATTCATTTGAAGATTTTTATCTTCAAAACAAATTCATTATGAATATTTCAGGTTGCTTAGTGCAAGTGGAAAGTAGGATAGCTTTAGGCAGAACTGACTTTTAATTTCAGAGAGTCGATACTTAGATTGTATCACATTTTCTGGAAGATAAGTGTCTCACTCGTTGCTTCTAAAAGCATGACAAGAAATCTGGATTGTTTTAAGAATCATGTACCAGTCGGTTATTTTTACATACACATCCTACCTTGTCCCCTTCTTGGGCATGCATGCATGCACACACACAGACACAGACGCACACAAAAGACACTGATCTGTAGCTTTTCTACCAAGTATTACTTAGAATTTCTCTAATCAAAGTAACATGACATCCAAATTGTGAAACTGTCAGATGACATAGTACTTGTAAGTTTCTTGTAGTAAAATTGACTATGTGATGTTCTGAGTGGTGATTGCTTCCTTGGAGTGCTATGTGATACAGTTCCTATAACTGGCATTTGCTTCGCTATATTATAATGCATTGCTTTATTTTAAAACATTGCCTACCTTTCCCTGAAGATTTTTGGACAACTAGAGATAGCATATTCCTCTTACATCCATTGCCTTTTCATATTTAAGCCACATATTAGAAATCTGATAGTGTTTCCTTTGCATTAATTTTCACCTGAGTGGAAATGTCTTTGGCATCTGTTCTACTTTACTACAGTTAAAGAAGTGACTTTTCATGATTTCAGTTGCCCCATCTGTTCTAAGATATGGGATTAACATCTCAGGTCTTCCCAGGAGGATAATCCTAAACCCTGTTCTTATACTGCTCTGAGAAGCAATATATTAGCTGGGAATATAAAGTGATGTCTCTGTGTGATAATCCAACAAGTGTGCAGAATGGAAATAGACCTGCACCTACCCCCAGTACGACAATGTCCCACCTTAGATCTCCAGCCCTTTTCTGGAGTCCATACTACTTTTCTCTAGACTTGGCAGCATTTTCCTTTTCTTTGTGAATTCTCTGTCGTCAGAGCACATGAAAACCCTGACTTCCTATTTAAATCTTTCTATTTGGGTGAGTCACACATTCAGAAAGTATCTGGGCCTATCATGGCATTCCGTGCACACTGTTATTACAGTGTGCTCAGCCCCTCGCCAGAGGTGACTTCATTTTCATTGCTTTAATGGTGACATTAGGGTTTCCCCCATGAAGACGTCTCATGAAAGATTTGGGTGCCCTTTGTACATATGTAAGGATAACTATTGTGTGTATAGATTGGGAAATTATCAGAGGGTTAACACAATTTAGCCATTTGCTTTGCGTCTTTTTTTTTTTTTTTTTGCATAAGAAATATCTCTATTGAAAACAGTGGCCGGTCATACAGAAATTCAGCCAGTTTTTTTTTTAAATTGATGTAAATCTACCATGCTGTTTAAATGTCGAAACTAAATTTACCAAACTTGGCAGATTTGTAAAGCTAAGCAGGACTGCCAAGTGTTCCCAGTTTCAAGCAGAGAGAGTTCTAACAGTTCCTGAAATACTTGTAGGAGGCACCTGGTGGTAATTGCAGTTTCACAATTCTTCCCAAGTGCCTACCTTGCTAGCTGGCATGTCTGTACACTGATGATTATTACAGTGATGATAAAGTGTCAGAATAGAACAGTCCTAAAATAATGCATATCCCCCGGAAGGCAAGCACATTGACTTCATATCGGAGAACCCTAAGGAATTAGTGTGAGGTTCTTGACATCACAGCGAGCTGGTTAAACCAAACAAAGGAGGAGAGGGGTGGAAGACAGAAACCACACACATATACCTGCAAATGTGACTTGGTCTGTTTTTTTCCCCCATTTAATCAGGGATTGTTGTCTGAGATTCTGCGTAAGGAAGAAGACCCTCGGACAGCCTCTCAGTCTCTTCTAGTAAACCTGAGGGCCATGCAGAATTTCCTCAATCTGCCAGAAGTGGAGCGAGATCGCATCTACCAGGATGAGAGGGAGCGGAGCATGAATCCCAATGTGAGCATGGTCTCCTCGGCCTCCAGCAGTCCCAGCTCCTCCCGAACCCCTCAGGTGAGAAACTTGCTTTCCGTATTTTTCACTCTTTGTCTTGGAAACATCTTGCCTTCACTAGTTACTGTGTTTTCCCTCAAACATTGAGAGACATAATTCAAGGATTTCTTTCCTTTTTTTCTTTTCTTATTTTATTTTATTTTATTTTAATTTTTTTGAGATGGAGTCTTGCTTTGTCACACAGGCTGGAGTGCAGTAGCATGATCTCGGCTCACTGCAGCCTCCGCCTCCTGGGTTCAAGGAATTCTCCTGTCTCAGCCTCCCAAGTAGCTGGCATTAGAGGCACCAACCACCATGCCCTGCTAATTTTTGTATTTTTTGTAGGGATGGGGTTTCACCATGTTGGCCAGGCTCTTCTCGAACTCCTGACCTCAGGTGATCCGCTTGCCTTGGTCTCCCAAAGTGCTGGGATTACAGGCGTGAGCCACCGTCCATGGCCAATTCTATGATTTCTTAATCCGCTGAACATGTTGGTCAGAGGATATGAACTTCTGACCATATATGATCCCATACTATATTTCTGTCCCTTTAGGAAGTCCCATTCTTCCATACGTGGTAGGTGAGGGGTAGGAAGGTAGGAGTGGGCACAGGGGCGGGCTCTAGGATGTTTATACATAGCTGCTCAGTTAGGAGTTAGGGCATTTGTGTTGAAGCTGAGTTTGCATAGCAAGCACACTGCTTTCCCTCAAATTGTATGTTTATTTGGTTGGGCTGGATGGGGTAGAGGTGGCTGAGGGCAGGGGGCAGAGGGTAGTTGAAGCTCTGTTTTATGTAATCTGAAAAAGACAAAATGGAGGAACACTTGCAGTGGAAGCATGCATATGCAGTGTCCAGATCAGAATGACTGAGATGTCACTCAATGATCCTTTAGAAAATGATGGTGGAAAGGTAGGCCTTAATTATTTTCCATCCTAGGATGATCTCCCCACAGAATTTGGTGACTTCCATTCTTCCTCTCCACACACTTGAAAAGTATTCTTTTCTTAGGCCCTCATGCAAATGTATACATCTAGTAATGTGTGCTTCAAAGCTCCTAACTCAAGGGTCAAGGTCTCAAGGCAGTCAGGGGTCATTTCTAGTTCACATCCAAGCCCACTCATTTCTGGCCTATCCCCTATTTCCCCTAAACTTTTACTACTCGATAGATTTATGATAAGGCCAGTCCGTTCACTGTTGCTATGATAGTTGCAGGTTCTGTCTGAGTGCTAATTCTCAAAACCAGTATTTAACAGGTATAAATTTTTTTTGTTTGTTTTTGAGAAGGAGTCTCACTTTGTTGCCCAGGCTGGAGTGCAGTGGTGTGATCATGGCTTACTGCAGCCTCTGCTTCTCAGGTTCAAGTGATTCTCCTGCCTCGGCCTCCCGAGTAGCTGGGATTACAGGCACATGCCACCACACCAGGGTAATTTTTTGTATTTTTAGTAGAGGTTGGGTTTCACCATGTTGTCCATGCTGGTCTCGAACTCCTGACCTCAAGTAATCTGCCCACCTCGGCCTTGCAAAGTGCTGGGATTACAGGCATGAGCCACCGTGCCCGACCTAATGGATATACATTTATACAAAGCTGAAAAATGGGCGGTTCAAAACCAAAGGTTGTTTTGCTTAGATATTATAGCTTTGGTTTTGCGTTTTCTGATAAATTCTAAGGAACTGATTAAGCATAGAAGCAGAATTGTATCCTAGTAGAAATATTTGAGCTTTTTCAAGTATATCCATTTTTTCACACATTTTAACTCTTTTTATATTTTTGTACTCTGCAATAAACTTTTAATTGAAGATTACTTTCTATCATGCACTGCCAAATTGTGTTACTTACACTTCAGTCTTTAGTGAATTATGAGTTTTAGTTACTGTTTGAACCAAAAATAAGTCTCTTGACTGCTTACTTTGGATGAGTATAACCAAGCATTTTTGTTTACTTAAAAAAAAATCTGGGGACATACATACTGAGCTAGTAAGTTGGGCAAGTTGTTAATGTGCACTAATATTTACTTCTGCTAAATTCATCAATATTTTTGCCACTTTTGAAGCCCATTAAACCATTATAGAAGAGCCCAGGCATACTTCATGGCCATTTGACAAGGCAGCTCTTCTTAGAAAGTTACTTCTGCTTGTTAGAAATTAACACAGGTCTGTGTATTTGTTTTCAGCTCTTTTGTACTATTTTCCTAACAAGATTATATATCGTAGGCACCTTTTCAAAGACCTAATAGCTTTCAGTGCCAGACTGACTTACAAGGCCCCACAGTTAGGGTCAGTATTTTGCTTATTTTGACCAGAATGCCATCTAGAAAATTCATACAGATGCCCTTTAGGGATAGGTGTAGCAGGGAAATCTCTTATTTAATATCACAGTTTTGATATTTTTGAAAATAAATATTTAAACATGTTTTTGAGAATACGGTCATGGCATTGCATTTGTACATTCTCTAGAATTGTCTTTTTCTCTTGGGTAAAGATTGAGAAAGGAGAGTTTATTAAAGTCTTTTAAAACATTTCATGATTACTGACTTAAAATTCTTTACAGTCATATCTCAACAGTAAAGATCGTAGTACAGTACAGATTTTATTGTGAGAACAAGTATTAGAGGAGTACTCACTGACTCAGCCTTTTAGTTGGAGTCAGCAATTTAGTGCACACAAGCAGCTTGACATTGATGCAGGGAGATTATTTTCCAGACCCCATCTATACTTTATTAGTAGCTGAAAAACAAATTGAAGAAATTTGAAATTTGAAATTATACCTCCAGTCTCTTTTTATTTCTTCAGCTGGCCAGCATTCCATGGTGTACTTAATAATGACAAAACAATACTAAGATAAGAATGATCATTTGTTAAAACGCTTACTGTGTATTAGGTGTTGTGAACATTTTGCATGAATTCAGTTGTCACCATTTTATGGTATTATGCCCATTTTACAGATGAGGGAACTGAGGTTTAGATGGATTCAGTAACTTGTGTAAGGGCACATGGCTGAGGGGTTTCGTCTTAGCCCTCATGGTTGGAGAGAAGGCTTGACCAATCAGGTAGGATGAGATAGTCAGTGAGGCAAATTAAGAAAACTGAATTGAGAAAGGGCAGACATGCTATGCTAAAACGTTCTCTTAACAGGGAAAGCACTGTGGGTTAACTAGAAATTTTGAGCAGAACAAATAGTTTATTTTAAAAAATTACAGATAATTGAATTTTTAATGGGAAAGTCCCAACATAGCAAGAAAATTCTTACAACAGCACCTGGCATAAATTGGAGATTTTGGAGGCAGTGTGTAGTGCAGTGTCCTGAGCCCATGTTTTTGAGCCTGAAAGACTTGCGTTCAGATCATGGTTCCTTCACTGGCTGCTGGGTGTCCTAGGTTAAGATCCTCTTTTATTTCAGTTTCTTCATCTGTAAGATGAAAATAATAATATCTAACTCATTGGAATCTTAAAAGAATTAAATGTGAAAACAAATGTTAAAATGCTTTCTGGAGTACCTGGCCCATAAAAAGCACGCCATAAATTATAGTAATTATTGCTTTGCGGTAATTAGAAAATAGTATGAGAGAAGGAGGTAGAAGAAAAATGGCAGAAGTTACTGAGCACTGTTAGGAAGCAAAGCCTTTATGGAAACGTAGGGCCTTAAGTTCTGCCGCTAGACACCATTTGTCACAGAGTCCACACTGCCTGTTACATCTTTCTCTGGACCTGCATACTGCTGGATCCAGTAGAGAACAGCTCAGGGCATCCGCACAGGGAAACTTGTGATTTGGAGATAACTCTGTTGGTTTGAGATTCTAGGGTGAATGGGGACAAAGAGAAAAAACCCAGGTTAGGCCAATTCGGCTGGTAGTGCACAAGGATCAAGGATGTCTTTTCCTGAAATCTTGCTGCCAGAGGTTCTAAGAAAATGTCTCAGCCCTCTCTTATTAGACACCAGCAATGCATTCTAGGGCTCACACCAAGTAAATGTTATGACCGTCTTTTGGATTAAGTAGATTCAGACATTTTAGGGTTATCCTAACCCCAAGAAGTACAGACTTCTATATTGTCCTTCATTTGTCTCTGAAGCTGATGGGAAATCATTCAATTAAAACGAGCACTGCAGAATACATAAAACCGCAATATGAGTTTAAGAAAATGAAAACGGCACATCAAAGGCATTGTGAAGCCTAGTTTTATGAAATGAAATTTTGTTTCATTTCCACTGATTTCCTAGGTGAAATTAGGTGACTGTCTGGGTAGCATAATGATGATAATGATGGGAAACCATACATACTCGAATGACATATGTAAAGCTTTAATAAAGAATAAGAGAGACTTGGGAGTGCATTAAATTGAGTAATAATTTATTATTTAGAGACCTCTACCCATTTACTTATTTTTTTTCTGGAAGAATTGGCTCTTATTCCAAGGTGTGCCATTTTTAGAAAGAAAAGGTTAACTGTGTGTGTGTTCTGCATGTTTGTTTTGTAGTTAGATGGTTGCTTATAGTTTGGTGTCTAGGAGAGCCATCCTACCTGTGAACCTTCGTCTGGGATGCTGTGAGAGAACAGGGTTGACAGGATTCTGCATGTCCTATAGGAATGCACTGCAATTATTTCCAATCACAATTAACCTGATTAGAATAATGGACAGGAAGTGTCCCTCTGTAGCTAATGCAGTTTGGCATCAGCTGACTGAAATCCTTTGATAATTTCTGCACAGATGGCTGGGCTGAATGCAGCACTTTTTAAATTATTATTTTCATGGTCTCTTGGTAGGCCAAAACCTCGACACCGACAACAGACCTCCCTATTAAGGTGGACGGCGCCAACATCAACATCACAGCTGCCATTTATGACGAGATCCAACAGGAGATGAAAAGGGCCAAGGTGTCTCAAGCCCTGTTTGCCAAAGTGGCTGCAAATAAAAGTCAGGTGAGTGGTTTTTAAAAAAGCAAAATCGAGGGCTGGAATTAGATCCTTCTCCTTCCTCCACCAATAAAAATACATCTGTTCCTATAATAATAATAACAGTAATAACCCCCAAGAAACCTGTCATGTTCTGCCTTTTACTCTAGTTTGCTTTTATTCCCATTGGAGTTCAAAATAGAGATGAAGCCAAAACTTGACCTTTTTTCTTTTAAAGATTAAAAAAAATTAGCCTCGAATGATTTCTCTCCTTATTCTAAACACTGCAATGTACCCTTTTGTTTCTCTCCCTTTATATATGTGTGTGTGTGTGTGTGTGTGTGTGTGTGTGTATGAACAAAACTTAGAATGTATATAACAGCACCTTTCTGAGACCAAGTTTTAGCCAAGTCTCATCACCTTTCCTGTTCCCACAAGGGGAATGTCCAACTCTGTTATAATAACCACTTTTCCCCAGCCCCAGAGACACCTTTTGATGTCAGGTGTTTCTTTTATGTACAGAATACAGTTGATTTTTTCAGGAGAAAACACACGTGGGGGGAGTGCAGAGTAAGTGCTAAAATCTTTTAACAGAAAAACACAGAAGCTTATCCAGTAAAATTTTTCAGAGTTCTGGGATTGTGGAGAATGTAATGCTCTGGGGAAAAGAGCAGACAGATGCTTAGGTTTTTTATTTCTGAAAGCAGCAACAGTTGATGGGATCTACTATCTGCTTCAATTCTTCATTTAAAGGGACAACTTCTGCCCAAACCTAGAATCCTAGGTTTGAGGTGCATGCTCACTTATGTATACCTAGGGCGAACACCTAATGCAGAGTGGAGGAAATAAAAGTTAGTTAAAGCATAATTTTGAGAGTCCTTTGATTCTGAGCTTGATTTCCTCTGTGTCCTTATATGACAAATGTTTTCATCCCTACATATGTAAATAATCAAATGGTTGATCATCTCCCTAACAAATCTTCTGTTGTGTGCTATAAAGAAAGGAAGTGACTGAGTATTGTATTTCTATTAAGCAAGAAGGTTTTCAATAAAAATTAAATTTTTAAAACTGAAAAACTTCAAACTGTAGTTAAATGTTATATTTAGATTAATTATAGAGTACAGGGTTAGCCTTCTTTACCTGCAGTTTTAACCTGATATAGGTTATTTTTAGATGTTGATAAAAGGAGGGGAGTAGAATATCAAGGAACTTGGAAAGGGATTGAAATGTTTGTTTCCCTTTTCAATTTCAGTGTAGTAAGTTTTCCAGATTACTCTGACTTTCTCTCTTCAATGAAATCAGTGAAATACAGTTTGCTAAGACATAATGTCCAACCATAGTATGAAATACATGAAAAGAAAATACCATAGAGCCTTCTTAAACTGTTAAATGCATAAAATCCCATGTACCACATGGCAAAATATAATGAGAGTTGGAGCTGTTAAACGAATAAAGCTGTTAAATGCATAATGCCACTTGGCAAAACTACTGTGCATTTAATGGTTTTCCACTGTGTAATAAAGGACATATGTGGTAAATGTGCAGTGAGTATAAAAGCTGCACAATTGATTTTGCAAACCTGCCCCTTAGTTGTGACTTGATGTAAATATCAAAGTTTCACACAGTCCTTCTTTTATAAGCAGCTTTCAAGAAAAACTGAAGACCACAGTCTGAGAACTTGATTCCAAAAGCCTGTAATCTTCCTGTTGATTTAGCAGTATGGCTTTTGGAAATAGTGATGCCTCCAGCCTCCTAAAATAATTCAGGTAGCTGATTGAAAGCTGCTTTTGCCAACTGGCAGAAGCTTAGCTCTCCAAATTTTTGATGTCTCCTGAAGAAATCAGTAGCCCTGATTTCGTAGAATTTGGAGAAGAACATAGTTCTGGGAATTAATATGCTGAAGGTAAGATTGAGCTTAAGTGAGGATAAGATGCTTTGAGGTTGTTCCTTTTTCACTGGGACAATGATCTCATTTTCATCTATGAGTGGGGAACCTTATTGTAAATAGCTGACTAGATAGGCAATTCAGGCACTATGTTTATTATGTTTTTTTTTTAAAAATGATACTGCCAAACAAAATGAATTTAATTGGCAGTTTCAAAGGCAATTTAACAAAAGATATTCACTCCATTTTATAAGTATCAGTATTCATTTGATAAAAAGTACATTTAGTGAAATCAATTGCATGATTTGGTACATGGCATATATATTTGGTGGCTATCCATAAGGTGTATCTATGTGTGTGTACCTGTGTGTACATGTGTGTGTATGTGTGTATATATATACACATATATGTATATATGTATATGTGTGTATATACATGTATGTGTATATACACATATATACATGTATGTGTATACATATATAAATCTATAAGGTGTATATATGAGACTGAGATATATATATATCCATAAGGTGTATCTGTGTGTGTATATAGACATATATATGTCTATGTATAGACATACATATATATCTATACATAGACATATGTACATACATATATGTCTATACATAGACGTGTATATATATGTCTATACATATGCATACACATACATACACCTTATGGATATATATATCTTAGTCATATATATACACCTTATAGACTTATATATCTCTCTTAGTCATGACTAATCATAGGACTTAACCTTTTCAAGCTGCAGAGGGGAGTGGCCACACCCACTCCATTGTATTGTGAGGACGGAGAGGAACAAAGATTTTTCTCTTCCCTTGCATTTTCTTCCCTCCTTTTATTTTTCTTTGGAGGGATCTTAAGTTCTTGCAGTGACTGAAGAGCCAAATGCAAGGGCTTTCCCTTCTCCTGAAGGTGAAATTAGGGAAACAATTAAGTAGTCTTGTGAACTGGAGTTGCCTTGAATCCCTGAAGGCCGAGTTCAAATATGCATAGCAACCTTCTCCTTCCATTTGAAATTTATATGACCCCTCCATTAACACTCCTTGGTGTTAATTGCTGTAATCAGCTGTTAACAATAATTTCTAACACTGCCCTGTGTGTTAGGGAAGCCTTGAATGGGGAATAGGAAGAGGGAGGAAAGTTTTAGAGAGAGTAGGAATGGTGGTCCAAGAGGGTCCTCGAGGGCTGTAAGTGTTTAAGTAGGAACCAGGCACAATGCAAGGATAGGGGTTCAGAAAAGGAGTTGAAAGGGTGGCAAACTGGTTCATTGTGAAAATCCATTACTGGGAAGTGTGTGTATATGTTTCCCTAGTGTATGGGTTACATGAGGATGCATTTGTAGGGTCCCAGACCACCTCCTGCAGCTCAGCTCTAGTTAGTCCCTTGGTGATTGCTAGGCCAGTCCATCATCCACTTCCATTAGGTATCTTCTATCAGGCCCTTGCCCCTTTCTTCGTGGGAAAGGAGTCCAAGAAGGATAAGACCAGAGGGAAAGACATGTTTATACACATTTCGCCTTGTACTTTTCCTTCATTTTCTATTTAGGACCAGTTTAGTGTTTTAAAATAATTTTCTGTGTGTGAATTCTGAGGATTACCTTCCTTTTCTGTCTGCAGAATACTCAGATCATGGAATAGAATGACAGTGGTAATTCTCTGTGAATTAGGAGTTAGGGGTTCTTAGTAGAAGCCATAATGTAAAGGCATATGGAGCGTTTTCTGTGTAACTCCAGTCTGACCCTCACATACAAAGGGCCACCAGGGAGCGAATGCCCCACATTCTGTCTGCGTGGCCACAGGAATGCCTTGTTCCTCAAAAGCTTCTGCTAATCTTGCTGGCCCTCTTCTGCAGATTCTGTAGGGCCGCTTTCCCCCTTTCTTCCCAATTTTACCCAATCACCCGTGATCTGGGTTGTAGAAATCTAGAGGAGAGAAAACATAGTAACCTGTGGGCACATCTTCTGCGGCTCTCAGGGGACGGTTGTGTACTTTGACAACATCCTCAGCCACATTTCTCTCCCTTGACATCAATTACCCCATTTCCCAGACACTGATTGTTTTTTTCTTCTCATATCCTGCTATCTTCTCCCTTTTATGGGCTACGATAGGTTAGCTCATAGAATGCTAAGGATCATCTGACTTTTTTTTTTTCTTTGAGAGGAGAGTTAATCTTTATTATTTATTATTATTATTTGTATACCCGAAGACTCAACACTACATATGTGATTGTTTTTTCCTACTAGGTTTGGGTAAAAATAGAGTAGGGAGAGAAATGGAAAGGGGCTTATTTTTAATCTCTGTTTTCCCTTCCCTCCATTAAAAAGATAAACCAATGAACAAAAACTTCCGAAGGGCTGTGGACTTGCTTTTTGTATCAGGAAGGTGGAGAGAAACTGATACACCCTGTTCTGTTCCATACAGACAAGGGGAAAAAGACGGCCTGGTTTTAAACCCCAGATGGTGATAATGAAAGGGGGTAGTGCCAGAGCCTGCTGGGATAAAAGAAAAAGGGTGATTTTGGAACCAACAGGGAACCAGGGGGGTCTCTGGTGAGATGATATTAGTAAGATGTCCTCATCTTTACAAAGGTTTAAAGACCTCTGCCAATCCTCCATGCTACCTATGCCCTTGCAGGCCCACTGGCTGCAGGAACTGCCACTAAAGTCAGGAATGAGAGAGTTTTTCTTCCTACTACACACTTTAGAATGGGAGGCATAATTGTGATCCCATTGTAGCTAAAAGAGATGGATTTCTGGCTTGTAATACACAATTCTAAAATCATTTTCCCCATAGAAACTATGACCTACATGGTGATTGGGTTTCAGTATGTTCTATGCTTCATGTACATTAGGATTAAGTGGATTTTGTGTACTGACCTTTATGCCTTAGCACTATGTTTCTACAAAAAAAAAAAAAAAGTTTCAAGTTCTCAACTACTTAACAAATTGTATTCCTAAGTGAGAGTGTACTTATGTTTTAGATGTAGTTTACAAGCTCAGATTTTATGAACATTGCTTTTTTCTTAAAATCTCTCCTTATAGGTGGTCTAATTTGCTTGACAGGCTAAATAATTTAAAACATCTAGGTCTCTGTGGAAGATTCTTTTTATATAAAAGAAAAATAAAGGAAAGAGAGTAATTAATTTTTGTTTTTGCATCTCTTCTTAAAATGTCTCAGGTACATATTTATACATTTTTTAAAGAAATAATTTATATTTTGTGATTACGTAAGTAATTTAACAGCCTCATTTTAAAAAATTCAGAAAGTGACGAAGAATATGAAAGTGAAAACATGGATCACCCATGATTTCATGACCCAGACATAGTTAGTATTAATATTTTAGAATCTTTTCTTTCAATGTGTATATGTTTGCATGGGAGTATATGTGTATGTTTATGTCCTAATTGATATCGTAACTGTGTAACACATAATTATGAGACAAGTTAAAACTATAATTTTTTAGGACAACTTTTTTATGTAGGAGAGTAAATTTACAAAATATAAAAAATTATCTTGTCTCATTACTTAGTTTCCTAGCCTTTAAAAAATGTTGCACAAAGATCAAAGTTTTGCCATTTTGCACAAAAAGTGCTTTAATGTTGATCTTATATTATTAAGTTTCCATTTTGAGGATGCCTTTACTGGGGCTGGGATAACTTAGGGCCCTGGAAGTAGACATGTTGCTGACCTGAGCTCTCTGGTATAAAGACTAACAGAAACTATAGGCCATAAGATACCCTGTGTAAAAGTGAGTTGGTGGTCTGCCTCACTGCTAATGATTTTGCTTTTGCCATTTATATTCAACATGTAAGGTAGGAAAAAATGAGGTGTACAGCCTTGACTGAGTAGCTGCCAGGTAGCTTTCTTCAGAACACAATCATTCTGAGAGCCTATCATGGACCAGTTTCCACTCTTGTCAACTGGGCGAAATATACTAAAATTTAGGGGTGGTGTTCCAAATTCAAATTCAAAAAAGTTTAATATATGTACGCTAAAAATACCATTTGAAAAATATTATATGCCTAGTGAAGAAATTTCTCAGATTCCCAAATGCCAAACTAAGTGGTGTGAACATAGTGATATGATGCGCGAGCGTCAAGTTGAGCCCTCCAGTCTCCCCTCTTTTTTCTCTTGGTATAATCTCAAGAAATCAGATTCTAGTGAAGGAATCTCCTCAGACATTCCCATAAGATCTGTTTTAATATCAACCTCATGATCAAGAATTGGGTTCTTTTTACCACCCTCACAATTAATTATGTTAATGTTTCATGCCTTAAAATTAGTCTTTATAGGAGTCCTTAGACAATCAATAATAATGATGATAATGAAGATTAATCAGACTACATATGCAGTTCTTAAAATGTCAAATACTTTTAACTTATCACTAGTTTTAAACTCATTTTAAGTTCATTTTATCCTCTGCAGAAACCTTTGAGTTCATTATTTTGCCTGTTCCTGACTTGGTAACTTTGGAAACTTGCATGTGTCTTTGAAGTAAATTAGGTTGCCATATTAAAGCTTCCTCTCTGATTTCTCCCCAGCTGGTTAGGGAAGAGGACATCGAGTTAAACTGTGGTTCTTACAGTGGGAGAATGTTGGTATCTATGAATGGTTGCTACCACTTTGCTGTTGAGACTATTTAATCTTCTTTTCACAGGGCCAAGACCTAGGGTAAGGCAAGCTAGCTGCCTGGGGTGCAAGATGTAAGAAAGCACACACTTGTCAAGCCATTCTGTTTACATTTCATGCCCTAGTTGCTTGTTCACCTCATTCTAGTCCCACCCTGATCTTTAAAAAAAGTTTTACTCCTGGTTGTCTGCCCTGTCTGGTTTCCCCAACCACTACCCTGCCCATACCGCCCCACCCCTGCCACCCACCCATTATGATAACTTCTTGAGGAAGTTTGCAATATACAGTGATACGTCACAGGTATGCTGGCATTTGGACCTGAAGGGAGGTGCTGGAAGCATTTTGATTGTTTTCAGTTTGATATTTTAGCCTAGTGCATTTTGCTGTTAATATCTTTCTGCCGTTGAAGTGAAGAAGTCCAGGATTCTAGATTCATTCTTCTTTTTTGACAAACACAAATGGCTTTTTAAGGTGCATGTACCCATGTATGCATGTATGTGTGTTTGTACGTATTTATATGTGTAAAGGTGTACCAAATCTCCATACTGTTAAATAGCTATGCATATTCCGTGTATGCTAAGGAGGGCAACAAAATTTTGTGTAATCCCCTCTTGACTTGAGCCCAGCAGAGGTTTAAAGGGCTGTTCTGAAATAAAATTTTCATTACTCTCAATTACAGACTCAATCTTTACAGACATATCCATAGAAATGTCAGTGACATGCATAAGATAACCCAGACATAGCTAAAAATTGGTCCCTGTAAAAATACAGTTTAGAATTTAGTATACAATTTTGAAAAGTAAAGAAGCAGATCTTCTGTACTTACCACATTTAAAGTATAAAATAATTAACCTTGAACTTTAACCAAATAGCCAGCACAAATCTTTTTTCAGGTTTAGATAATCTCCTTGTCAGGGATTCATTGAAGCCCTTGACAAGCCTTCCTTGTAGTTAGGCTTTTATCCATTTCAGTTTTCTTGATTAGGTTATCTTGAGTCATTAGGGGGTTTATTTATTTTAATAGACACTTATTGGATTCATGAAAAGAGAATTCGGTGACGAAGAAACAAGAGCTGAATATTATCTGGCTCATTTCACACTTCAGAAGAGTCTCAACCATCTGAAGAGAAATCCTTTCACAGTTACAAAAGTTTGTTTGGGGACTTTATGTGCTTCCATTTAGAAAGCGAACTGTCTGTGGTTAATAATATGAGTTTCCTTTTGAGATACTCAGAAAACATTTCCCTTTGGTTACATATGCTGACATTTTCTGTATTGAAGATGTGGGTGAGTAAATGGCCTTTTGCATTTCTGCTGCAAGAATCTATGAGTCATTCTCCTGAAGAACTGTTCATTTGCTGAGATATTCATTCATTAGAGTTCCTAGAGGGGCAAAGGGAGTGGGGGCTACTTACTAATTAGTAGGTGAAGTAACTCATTAGCTTTGTGTTAGTCATATCAAGGGGAATAATCACTGTGACAAGGCCCTGCCTTCAAGGAGCATATACAGCTTTATTCAACAGGGGTAAAGTTATTAACTCTTGTGGGAGATCAGAGCAGGCTATGAACTTGTGTTTAGTGCTGAGCAAGTTCTAGTTTGTATTTGTTCTGAAATATTGTAAAAACTGGAAAATTAGTCATAAACCTAGACCAATGTTTTTTAAGGAAAAAACATGGGGGCTGTGAGAAGTTGGGGTCAAAACCAAGTGTCCTGGGGAAGAGAAAGCAAGCCACTTTGTATGCAGTGGCATTTCAGTACCATGGACAGGAACCCCACTCTTTTCATCTGTGGTGTGCCCCTCCCCTCCTTATCACTTAACATGTAAGATTTACAGCCAAGATTCAAACTCTTATCTGTTAGGCTCCAAGCTTGAACACTGGGCCATATTATTGTTTTGTGAAAGGCCTCCCTGGTCATTTGAACATTCTCAGCCTTTGGTATGTGGTTTGGAGGATATGTCACTCATTTATTGTGGACTTGAAATATTTTAATCTTTTAAAATATTTTATAAGTGAAATAGATATTGCCATACCTCATTCATTTTCAATTGAAGAGAGCTTTAAAAACTCTAATATTAACAACAGCAACGACAGAAATACATGCATATATACACACAGAGAGAGAAAAGAAAGTGGTTAAAATGATAACAGATTATTTAAATGATTGATGTAGTGTGGTTCTTTATGATATATGTCATGTCTTTTTAGAATGAACACTCCTAGAGGGTAGAACTTATGAAGTGTGCACTTTACCAGTACCAGGCCATTGTGGGTCCCAGTTAATACCAAGCCACACAAGTTCACTATGAAAAAAGATATCTAGTCTAGGATAAGTCATGCTCTTGACTTTATGATAGCCTTTTCCCCAACAACTTCTTCTTAAAAAGGAAGAAGGTGGGGGAAAGAGATGAAAAGAAAGACGAGTTAATTCTTCATCATGTCAGTTAAAAAGCCCTCAAAGACTCCTAGGGCCCATAAGATTAAGATAAAAATTGTTTTTTTGCATGACATTCTTTATAATCTGAGCCCTACCTTCATTTCTAGACTTTCAGTCCTCTCCCCACCTGGTGAAATCTATCTTTATCTTCCAAGATTCACCTTGCATGCCATAATCTCAATGATGACACTTTTCCTGAACTGCTTCATGGTCAGAATTACTCACTTTCTTGTTGGCAGTCTCAATTAACCTTTCAAGTAAAAAGTAACAATGACAATTAGATAATATATGTAATGTACTAGCCCATTCATTGCATGGCATGCAGGAGATGGGTGCTCAACAGAAAATTGTTAACAGAATCAATGTCCTGAGAGACTACTATTACTATTTGCAATTTATATAATGGACCATTTTCCCTATCGTATTCATGCATTAGAGATAGGGAAACAAACCTTAGAACAGTGACAAAGTTGCTTCTGAGAATTGGTGCTTCTCTCAAACAATAACTTTCTGAATTTGAGTCCATAAAACATTCCTCTAGGCTAATTTCTGTGTACTCTAATAATTTTGGTTCAATCTAATGACTATTTATTGAGAAGCTACTATGTGCAAGAAACCATACTCTGCTCTGAAAATGGTAAAATGAGTAAGAAACAAACCCTTGCCCTCCACTCCCATCAAGAAGCTAACTGTTCTGATGGGAATGCAGACATACCCACCCCTAAAAATAATAATGATCAAGTTGTGAAAAAGTATAAACAAAATGCTTCAGGGTTATGCAAGAGTGAGAAACAAATGAGACCACATCAGCTGAGCCTTGAAGTACAGCTTCTCATGGGGAAAAGAAGTTGAGTATGAGACATTCCATCTAAGAGAGTAACATGGCAGAAGCATGAAGGTGAGAGTGTACCTGTGAGTAATTCACAGTGGCTGGAGCACAAGGTCAGTAGGGGAACTGGTGGGAGACAAGGTCATGAAAGAAAAATGGAGGCAAATGGTGTTTTTTTATTGTTGCCTCTAGTAATGTTCTTAAATTGTGAACTAGAGGTTCTCTCCTTTATGCAACTCATTAATGAAACTATCAACTTAATAAAAGATAAACTAGGAATTTTTTATTCATCTTCCAGAAAGAATTAATGGCACATTTCTTCAAATAGTAAGCATGTCTAATACATTTACAATGTGATTTGCTTTGTAAATGTAAATTGATATGCAACTTTTCAGGAACACTTGGATTGTAAACAAACTATATCTTGACTGGTAGGAGTGTCATCTCACCTGCATAGTTGGAAGGGCAGTCAGAGTTGTTTTTTCTACTGAGGGAAATATATTTGTTTAAGAGGCTGATGAGATGGCTAAAATGAGATGTGAATAAATATTATTTGCTTATGCACCCTAATGCTTGGGAACTTTTAACCATTGATTGCAAGGAAGCAGTCTTTGAACTTATTAATAGATTCCTTCTCTGGATTCAGATTTTGAAGGTAAAGTTTTAATTGCGAACCTGTTGGTATTATTACACTTAGGCTCCATGTATATTTTTCTCTATAAGTTCCAGGAATTTCCTGTATCTAAAAAAAACTTTTTATTTTGAACTAATTTTAGACTCACAAAAATGTTGCCAAACTAGTATGGAAGGGATCATTGCACTGTATTATATATCCCTCCCCTATCTTCCCCTAATGTTGACACCTTATATCACCATATGGCAATTATTGATGATAGGGCAATTATCAAAACCAGGAAAGTGACATTGTTTCTATACTGTTAACTAAACAAAAACCTTATTCTAATTTCACCTGTTTTTCTACTAATGTCTATTTTCTGGGACAGGATCGTAGCCGGCAACCACATTGCATTTAGTTATTATTATTCTCCTTAGTCTTCTGCAGTCTGTGACGGTTCTTAAGTCTTTTCTTTTCTTCTATTACCTTGCCATTTTTGGTTATTTTGTTGAACACTTCTCAGTTTGGGTTTGTTTGATATTTTCTCATGTTTCGACTGAGGTTATGCATTTTGGGCAAGACTACCTCAGACATGATGTTGTAACCTTTGCAGTACATTATATCAGAGCATTCGTGGTGTCAGTATATCATCACTAGTTATTTGACCTTGACCACTTTGTCAAGGTTATTTTTTATTTGTGCCTTTAACCCTGATGGTTTATCACTATCTGCTTTTTCTGACAGATAACAAGGTAACAGATCATGGAATGTAGAACCAAAGAGGAACTTAGAGACCATCTTTTGTTAACCCGTCCTTTTACAGTTAAGCACCCAGGAGCTTGAACAGTGTAACTATTTGCCCAAAGGTCACCCCGTTATTTAATGACAGACCAGGAACTTAGCAGTTAGGTCTTAGAGATCCAGGTTTGATACCTTCTACATTCCTAGCTATGCTCAAACAGTTATAATTCACTCAGTCCTAGTTTTACCAGACTGTAAAAGCTAAATGGACTCTAGGAATATACAGCCAACCTTTGGTCAAAACTTAAAACCAGGCTAAGAGAGAAATCCCAGGGAAGCATATACTCCACAGTTCATGGTGCCCACTCACAGAGCTGTCCAAGGCTGGAAACCAGATGAACTTCTGTATCAGCATTTCTGAAATGAAAATAATTCTCATGGAATGCTCCACATAACACAGAGAAAACAACAAAAACCTACTTGAGATTTTTAACAGAAAAAGGAGATTTGTTTATTAATAATTCATGAGTTCCCATTGAACATGCACGACAGAAACAGTGCTATTCAATAGAGAATACTGTCATCTGTCACTGTTTTATTTGACATTTACACTTTTTTTTTTTTGCCTGATACTGCAAAACTTTCTTGGATGGCATGCAAAGATTATATAAATGAAAAAAAATCCCAATATGGGGACCCTTTATCTCTTCTGTGATGGGGTCACTCACAATTACATACATGTGTGTTCATGCAACTGCGTGGCACTTTCTCACACATTCATTAGCCAGCAAACAAGCTAATAAGAGACCGTATTGAGAAAACAGAGATAAGCATCCCAAATGGGCTGGTGAAAAGATGATATGAATAAAATGATGGTGCATGAGATGGGAAGTGAGGTGGAAGAATAGATTTCCTGAAGATAGGCTTACAAATACATGGAATGAGCAAGCGAGCCAGAGTGAGGGGAAGGTAAATCATGGCTGCCATGAGGAAAACTAACACAAAAATACATTACCAGTTCAGATACAAAATAAATACCTATATATGGCATCACAGGAGCGCCCGTAGGAGGGAATAACGGCCTTTAGGAGAAGAGCAAGGTAGAGTTAGGATCACCTTCCGATTTTGTGCTACTATAAGGCTCTTGACAATCTTTCTGCTCTGTAGGTTATTATTTATAAAAATCACAGAACCAGCTGATACATTCATAAGCTAATTACTGAGGCAGCTGGGTACACATGGTGCAATATGTCCAAGGCTGTGAAGTATCACAGATTTCTTGGGGCCTGCTGTGGTGGGGGTGCGCTGTTGAAGGCTCCATCCCTTAATCTGATCAGCCAAGCAAACACTTTGTGGGGAAACTAGATTAATAACCCTCTAAATACCATGAATGTGCTTCATCTTCAAAACCGGGTTCCCTTAAACATGCTATTAGCTCAGCTCCATCAGGGATTTGAGGAAGTTCTCTGGTGCCTTAAGAACAGGGTCTTGTTGGCTACCTCCCTGTGCCAGAAATTAATTTGGTTTGCTTATGTCTGCACACATGATCACACTTGTGTCTAATCTGCTCCCTAATAGCTTCAAGGTCAAGACCTTGCATGTCAGTGGGCAAATTGAGCACTACACTTCTTAAAGACTGATGGCAGACAGCACACAGTCCATAATGAGGCCTGTAGTGTTGTTCTAAGTGATTGTAATGAGTGCAGATTATAACAGCGCATATAAATCAAATGCGGCAATGAATGTTGTGCGAGACATTCCCAGTGTCATAAGTGGAGATACCACTCAGCTGTCACCTGTCTTCTTTCAAGCTGCGGCTTCCCACAATGCAGTTCAGTCCTCAAGCAGAACAGCAGGTGCTGTCTTCCTTAAGGTCTGGGTATCTCAGATCTTCTTCTTTTAACAGATGCAGGTTTTTGTTTGTATTTTCCATTAAATGGTTAGTCTCCATGCTCTTGCCTCCCCTGGGAGATGTTAAACATACCTGTTTGAAACATTTGAAAGAATTCAGTTGGAGACTTATTCAGATCTATGAAAAGATAGAGAAGTAGGAGCTTATTTTTCCACAGATGGTTTATTTTCCATTTCAAGAATTCTTTTACTTTATGCAAAGAAACCCTTGAGGAAACACTTGGGGACTAGATTTTTAAAACTATAATTTATTTTCTGGTATGGATAAAAAAAATTGTCTTCATTTTTTATATACATTGCACCTTGAAAATCAACCATGACCTGCCTTTCAATTGAGTTGAAAAAAAATCTATGAAAATACTTGGAAAAAGATTTCCAAGCAAATGATAAGATACCTTGTTTTCATTCTTCCTAACCTTCTAACTCTCCCAAGCTTCCAGTTTATTGCAAGAAAAGATCAGGTCTGCGCAAATGTGGCCTCTCACTTGTAAAAACAAGGCAGTGTTGTGTTACAGATTAGTTTATAAATCCCTGGTGGCTTCACAGTTCAGTGCCTACAGCTGCTGCAGATGGGCCTGGGTTTTTGTCTCTTCGCGGTGCTGCAGCCGGCAGTTGAAGGAGAAAATGGAATGATCAGGTTATTAACATGGAGGCCGCGAGGAAGAGGCTGCACAATGAGAACAGCTGGTGTTGCTGTCTTGGCTGATGCAGCAGAGATAATCAAATCTTGCCTTTTTTGGGGTAAAGGCAGAAGACACAGTGGAGAGTTAGACAAACAATGGCTTATGATATTATATGGGGTTTTTATAATGCGTGTCAGGAACTTTCATTGGCTTACAAGTGATGATATAGAATTTGTTGAGGTTTGGGAATTATTTTTCACAAAGTCATTCGTGTTTATGCACCTCTTAAGAACATTTTTTTACTCTTTTGCAAGAGACATGATGTGGGACAGTTCTTGTTTTTAAAATTAGTGATGTAGCTTAGAAATGATGGGTTAGAAAGCTACTGGTAAAATATTTTGACATGAGTCAGTGAGCGATGTTGACAGCATCCTCTGTATTATTTTCATATAATCCATCATTATTTGCATTACATTTTCTTTCTCATGCAGTTGCAAGAGAGAGAACATCCGGATGCCAGATTTTGGAAGCAGACATTTGCAGGTGTGACCTGACCAACTGCCTACCTTCCTGCAGGTGTGGCTGTTGCGGGAAGGTGATGGTTAAGAGGGCCTAGAGCCCGAGGTATTCAGAGATTGAGCAAATATACATTTCTTTTCATTCTAGCCAAGGTTGTTGCTTCTATTTTGTGGAGTTATTGATAATTTTAAGAATATTTCCTCCCTAGAGAATTCAGTGTTGTTTACACCTAGACAATTTTTCTTTTTTAGAATTTGCTGTCCTGTTATGCATATTTGTTTATCTTCACTCTTAGCATGAAATGCTGCCCAGTTGGGTAATTTTAAAAAATTGTAGCTGACTGACACAAATTACTTTTTCTGAGAACAGATGACTATAATCTTGCTAATCTTTTACAGAGAAACTGCAATTGAGAATATATTCTATAGGCAGGGTGATACGATATCTAACAAGAGGAAAGATTCTTGGGCATTGGTATAACCACCTATGTGGTCAGGGGTTGGTTTTTAGAGTCAGACTGTTTCACTATCTCCCCACGTTGGCAGGAACAATTTTGACAGAAAAAGATGTACTGTGATGGCACTGGACCGCAGTCAAGGCCCCCTCAGCTCCTCTACACTCTGCAGGTTAATGCAAGCGACCTCCTCTCTCTACAGGGCTGGCTGTGTGAACTGCTCCGCTGGAAGGAGAACCCAAGCCCAGAAAACCGCACCCTCTGGGAAAACCTCTGTACCATCCGTCGCTTCCTGAACCTTCCCCAGCATGAGAGGGATGTCATCTATGAGGAGGAGTCAAGGCATCACCACAGCGAACGCATGCAACACGTGGTCCAGCTTCCCCCTGAGCCGGTGCAGGTCAGTGTCCCCGACCGCCGTACCCCACCTGATCAGGGCTCTGTGTGCCAGCAGTAGCTGCTGAGGGTCCAAGTGGCACACACCACACCAACTTCTGTCAGAGGGTGTCTCATGCCAGGTCCCCAAGTACAGAAGACGCTGTCGTCACAGTGGGTACTGTGTGTATGTGTATGTGTGTGTGTGTGCATGTGCGTGCGTGTGTGTGTGTGTATGCACACACAAAGAAAAATGACTGAGAAGTTGAATGCCAAAGACAGCTGCTTTCCTGAGATCATTTTACTTGTGGGATTGTAAAGCCAGAGCGCTCACGGAGAATTAAATCTCTCGATCGGAAAACATGGTTTCCATCAGTTCATTTTCTATAAAAAACCTGTGAAGTAGTTTTGCATCCAAAATCCCTCAAAGAATGTTTGATTAGACTGAGGAAAAGAAATAGCCACATGACCTAGGGAATACCATTGAACTCAGCTGAACCTTGAGAGACAGATTGTGACAGATTCTTAGAATTTTAAGATGAGTTTTTGCTGTCTTTGGTTACATCTCATTTAGAAATCTGCCTTCCTTTGGATTGCGTGTTTTGTTGGCTTAGTTTTTGCTCTCATTGAGAGAAATAATATTGCTTTGCCATAGTAATTGAGTTTAACTACTGACACTTTCCATAGTCTAAAATTAATTGCTTTTAAGAAGAAATATTAGTTGAGGTTTCCAACGTTAGACCCCCTAGAGTTTGGCCCACAAATTGTTTTGGTAGGTTATAAGATGGGCCTGCTGCCCAATACTCTCAATTTCAGCTGCCACCAAAGAGGACCCTTTGGCCTGTCTCTGAATCTCCTGGAGTAAGAAAAAGAAAGTTGAGGCAGGAGTGCATATGTGCACATGTGTGTGCAGAATGGAAGAGGAGAATATAAAGGGAGAGTGAGGCACAGTTTCTTGATAAAAATAGAGAGGAGTGGTGAGGGA